>NC_000013.11:95343888-95646918 GCF_000001405.40 Homo sapiens | reverse complement strand
AAGTGATTCTCCTGCCTCAGCCTCCTGAGTAGCTGGAATTACAGGTGTGCACCACCATGCCCGGCTAATTTTTGTATTTTTAGTAGAGACGGGGTTGCACCATGTTGCCCTGGCTGGTCTCAAACTGTTGACCTGAGGTGATCTGCCCACCTTGGCCTCCCAAAGTTTTGGGATTACAGGTTTGAGCCACCTCACCTGGCCTATTATTCTTTAAACCATGTATATAAAACCAAGGTTAGGTATCTGAAATGGGAATATGAGGCAAAATAATTAATATGTATTGAATCAGACAACACATGTGATTTCTGCCCTTCTTTATTTATCGCCTTCATACTAAAGGACATTAGCCAGGTAATATCAATAACTATTTTCAAATGAGAGAAACAGAAACAATCATTTGAAATAAATTCAGCTACAATGCTTTTGTTTATTTACTGTACAAAATGATTAATGTTCACCAGTATTATTATTTCATTCTTTAGGATCATTTCTGTCTTCAAAAAGCAAATATTTATTTGAGGACTTACTAAATGCTCAAAATGCTGGAATACTTGAGGTTCTTATAGTCTGACCGACGAGAGAGATACCTTAATCATTAAAAATATGTATACCATTATACAATTGGTAAAAGTGGTTTGTGCATAGATCAAGAATGCATCATGGCTGCTAAGTCATGCCAAAGTCAATTGATTCTTCTTATTCCAATTCTACACCTGTAGGGTAATATACTGACAGTGGGGATGGGAAATACATGTAACTCAAATGGTATGTCAACAAATAATATTAATTAAGCAATCATCTCTCTCTCTCTCTCACACACACACACAGACAGCTACCGAGTTTGCAAAAACCGGATTTTGCAGAGCAATGGTCCTATCTATCTCATATTGTCTGAAATTCCTTTCTTTTTTTTTCTTTCTTTCTTTTTCTTTTCTTTTCTTTTTTCTTTTTTTTTTTTTTGAAACGGAGCCTCGCTCTCTCGCCCAGGCTGGAGTGCAGTGGCGCGATCTCGGCTCACTGCAAGCTCCGCCTCCCAGGTTCACGCCATTCTCCTGCCTCAGCCTCCCGAGTAGCTGGGACTACAGGTGCCCACCACCATGCCCGGCTAATTTTTTGTATTTTTAATAGAGACGGCGTTTCACCGTGTTAGCCATGATGGTCTCGATTTCCTGACCTCGTGATACACCCGCCTCGGACTCCCAAAGTGCTGGGATTACAGGCGTCAGCCACTGCGCTCGGCCTATTGTCTGAAATTTCTATCTAGAAATCTTTCCCCATAGTACTTAGAGGATTTTTATAGAGATCTTGAATTTTCTTTCAAAATAATTTTAAAATTAGACCAATTTAAAATCCCATCATGGTCATCTTGGCCTTATGGCTTCAAATAAAACTAAAGCAAGGAATTCAACATAAATACATATTTAGCTGTTGCTATGTTTGAAGCCTTGTGCTAAAGTATGGTACAAAGTTGATTCTGTCAGGGAGAAGCACAAGGAAAGGCACTTTTACAACGGCATGTTGGTCCAGTAAAAGTTCTGCAGCTACTCCTCTCTAATTTAAAAACATATATATATATATTATATATATATATATATATAGCTGCATTAGACACTTAGGTTTTGCAAAAGATGCCTTCATTTCTCATGATGGTATATACATACGTTCTGGATTACTTGTTACTTAAAAATACTGACTTTTGTCCCACGTGTTCCAATTTTAGGTTACATAAATGAGCACACTACTCCGGACCCACATCTCCTGTAATTCAGTGCCTAACTTTCTACCAACAAAGATCCGTGCCTTTCATCCTGAAGTGGGCATAACGGAAAGAGACGCAGAAACCTACGTGGGTTTAAATCCTAGAGGGCTTTGGTGAAAAGTCCCTAATCTCGGTTTTCCACGTCACTCAAATGCAGGGCCACATTAGATAGCCTTTTCAAGGTCCTTCGCATCTGCAGACTTCTGCGATTAAAACGCATCTCTTTTTGGAAGATAATTCACCTGAAGCTCCTCTGGGAAATTAGCTTGCTGAGGGCCAGACCAACAACCGGGTAGGAGCGAATCTGGTTTCTCTTTGAAAAGCCTTCCTAGGGTTAGCATCCAGGGCCAGCAACGGAGCGCGCCCCCGAACCACGTGTCTGCGCCAGCTGCCGGATTGGCTGAGCGCATTTTAGCGCTGCGGTCTAGACGCTCGCGGTCCCGCCCAGTTGCCAGAGGAGCCGGGACACCGAGGGAAGAGGCCGGAGGGAGATCGCGGAGGGGAGGGGGCGGGAGGGGGGTGGGGTATCCTGAGTCGTCCGTGGTCCGGAGTCTGGAAGGCCCTAGAGCGGCGCCAGTCGACCCGCCTCGCCACAACTTGCCCAGACCAGACACGTTTCATCCTGCGCCCTGCAAGAAGGAGCCGGCCTGCCTCTCTCCGCTTTGCTGCTCCTCGGCCTCCGCGGGCCCGGCCCGCGTCAGCAGCGACCCTGGGGTCTGGGTCCCCTGTGTCGCCCCCGCCCGCCTGCAGCGCCCGGCACCCGCCCAGGAGCGCGCAGCTGGGGTGAGCCGAGACCGGGGATGCGCCAGGCGCCCACAGGAGGTGGCTGACGGGGCATCCCGATACCCGCGAAGCCGGCCCTCCTGCCTCTCCAGGCTGCGAGCCGAGCCTCTGCAGATCCAGCTGGAGTAGCCGCCGCTGCCCCCACTGCCTGTTTGCCTTCCAAGGAAGGGCGCCGAGGTTCCCCTGGAACCCGCGTCTCTCGGCTTTTGTCTGCTGGTTCGGCTGCCCGGCGGTGCCATGCGCCTGGGACTTGAGGCGCCGCGCAAGGCTGGGGGCCCTGCCCGGGATGGGGGAGGGAGGGAACGGGAAAGCATGCCCCCTTCTTTCCTGTTCCGGCCATCTTGTGACCGAGATCCACGCAAGGGGAAAGGGGTGGTCAGCGGCACGACGCCCCACGATGGAGTGTGGCGGCCAACGGAGATGGGTACCTCGGGCCCGCAGGCCTCTGCGCCCAGATCTCAGCGGGGGCGCGCGGGCCACCCCCACGTTCAGCTCTGAAGCCCTTGGCCCAGATCATGGGTTAATCGTTCTAACAGGCCAGAGGCAGCAAAAATAGGAGGGATAAAGGGCCAGGAGCTGATGTTTCCTTAACTAAGCGCCTAAGTCATTCGATCGTTCTTCATTCACGTGTCCATTCAGCAAATTCTGAACGCCTTCTCCGTGCCTGTCCTCTGCTAGGTTCTAGGGACGTATACTTGAGCAAGAGAGACCACAGCTCTTGTTCCCGCTGATCCTGCAGCCCAGTGGATGGAGTCCAGAATCTACAGACCTGCCAGGTCGGTGTCTTGATGCTCTTAAACAGATGGAGGAAGCTAAGTCTTAGAGCTGACAATTTGTTCTAGATCAGGGAGCAAGTAAGTGACAGAATCAAACTTTGAAACTATTTATGTCTTTAGCACTTTTTATGCCTGGTTGCAGGGAATAAAGGCCAATTAACTTGGACATATGGTTTATTTGAAACCATATGAAGTGCGTGTTTTATTTCCTGGATGTTTTTGCATGGGTTTATTTCTAGTTAACAATATCTTGAAAGTGCTAAATATATTTGATATTACAACTTTGCTTCCAGTTACTCTGAATTGTATTTTCCTTTCTTCTGTTCACATATTTGGATGTTAGGAAAGAAAAAAAAATTCCTGATGTCTGGTCCAAGCAGGAATTCCCCGGTGGATTGGGGAATGTCTGGCTTTTCCTCAGCTTATTGATCTCTGTGGTAACCACTGGAGGCCCCCAGAAGACCCATAGAAATGAGAGGCCTGAGGTCTACAAGTCGCTGCTAGAAATATTTTAGCCTCTCCAAAGCCCAGAATGCAGCCCCGACCCAAGTTTGTAAGGTAAATACCATGGCCCTGTAAAACTTGTTGGTAAAGCTGATGGCTAAAATCCCCCTCCATCTGTTTCTACCTTCAGCATTTTGAGTATGTATCCTTTTGGAAAGACAGGTGAAGTATTACATATTTTGGGGAGTTCTTTGGTTCGTACTTTTATCAAAATGTTATATTTAGGCTGCTAACCTACAAAGGAAGAAAGACTCCATTTAAAAAGCAACTTGGGTGTCAGAAATCTAGAAAGCCTGCCATCAAATATGATTAACTGCAAATTTCATTTAAAAAACAACTTTATTGAGATATAATAAAAATGTACCCTTAACTTTAAGGACACAATTCGGTGAATTTGGCCAAGTGTATATTGCTGGGTAATCAACACCACAATCAAAATGAAAAACATTTCTGTTATGCCAAAAGCTTCCTCATGCCCTTTTGCAGCGAGTCCCCCTCTATCACATTTAATTATATATATTTTATTGCTTAATGTTTTCTAAATCGTGTGTAAAAGATGAGGATGAATAGATACTACTTTTTTTTTCTTTTTCTATTAATGATGGAATGAATAGATATTTCTAATTTCAAAGCCTAAGGCCAGGGCTACAGTGAATAAATAACCAGGGGATGGCAGTTAAGACCAAAGGTTCCCAGGGATGTGGCTCCCCACGCCTGCCTTAGGGACATGGAGTGTCCAGCCCCAAACGCCAGGGAGGGTGGCGCCCTGGGGAGCCGGTACCCAGGAGGTACCCTCTTCGGGTGAACGGCTGTGTCCACTCGGGCTCGTCCAAGAGGTCTTCTCTGGTCCCGCAGGGTTCTGGGTGCACGCTGACCCTGCGCGGGCAGACGCGCCCTTTGCTCCAGGTCCGGACCTGGGCGCTGCTATAGCAACGTCCTGGACGCCCAGACCTTAGGCCGCCGCCGCCGCGGAAGCGAGGAACCCGGCCTTCTCCCGCTCCTGAGGGCTGTGGCGGCGGCGGCCCGGGAGGCGGCCCAGGCTGGGTAAAGACCGCCCGGCTCCTCCTATGCAAGCTGAGGCAGCGGATTGGTTTTCAAGCATGGTAAGAGGCGGGAGGCC
This sequence comes from Homo sapiens, assembly GCF_000001405.40. Taxonomy (NCBI): domain Eukaryota; kingdom Metazoa; phylum Chordata; class Mammalia; order Primates; family Hominidae; genus Homo; species Homo sapiens. Next base: position 95,641,976 of record NC_000013.11, on the reverse strand, counting down.
GGGGCGCCCCCGACGGGGATGCCGGGCTGGGGAGAACCGGGGCTTCCCCGGACCCCCAGCTCCCCAGCCTGCCCGCCCCCCATCCCCGCCTCCCGCCGCGCTCTCTTTGTGCCCCCCGCAGCCCTTCCAGAAGCATGTCTACTACCCGCTCGCCAGCGGCCCAGAGGGGCCCGACGTCGCTGTGGCCGCCGCCGCCGCGGGTGCGGCCTCCATGGCCTGTGCGCCCCCCAGCGCGGCTTCGGGGCCCCTGCCCTTCTTCCAGTTCAGGCCGCGGCTGGAGAGTGTGGACTGGCGGCGGCTGAGCGCCATCGACGTGGACAAGGTGGCGGGGGCTGTGGACGTGCTGACGCTGCAGGAGAACATCATGAACATCACCTTCTGCAAGCTGGAAGACGAGAAGTGCCCACACTGCCAGTCGGGGGTGGACCCGGTGCTGCTGAAGCTCATCCGTCTGGCGCAGTTCACCATCGAGTACTTGCTGCACTCACAAGAGTTCCTCACCTCGCAGCTGCACACCCTGGAGGAGCGGCTGCGCCTGAGCCACTGCGACGGCGAGCAGAGCAAGAAGCTGCTCACCAAGCAGGCGGGGGAGATCAAGACGCTCAAGGAAGAGTGCAAACGCCGGAAGAAGATGATCTCCACCCAGCAGCTGATGATCGAGGCCAAAGCCAACTATTACCAGGTGGGCAGCTGTGTGTGAGCACGATTCATAATCCAGTAAACAACTCAGTTCCCATTTGATAGGCCTGTCCCGTATCACCACTCTTTCTTCTTAAAGATTTATATTGTATATCAGAAGACACAGTATATTTAAGCAAAAACAGTCATTTAACCAACAAATGTCATGGTTCATTACCTTCTGCAGACAATCAGGGGATTAATAATTAAACAACAAATGTCGTCTGTGGTGCTTTATGGAAGTTATCTAAATGCTGGTTGTTGAAACACTTTCCTCCTCCGAATCAACCTCAACATGAAAAAACCATATACAAATTGCTGTTGAAGCCAGTCCCCAAACGATGCAGAATGTTTAAATTTGTAGGGTCTTTTTCTCATTTTTATAAATTTTGAAATACTTTCAAACTGACAGAAAAGTTGCCAGGAGACTGTAAGGAATTTTCATGCGCCCTTCACCCAGATTCCCCCATTATTAACATTTTCCACAGTCCCTCTATTTCTGTATACATATTATTATTACTTTTGAACCATTTCACAGTGAGTTGCAGATCCTAAATATTTCGATGTGTATATTTTCTAAGAACAAGAACATTCACTTACATAACAGTATTTAAAGAATAAAATATTTTTATCTTCTGGTCTTAATCTTCTACTGTTTTGGGTTAGACATTGAGTCCAAGATAAATATTGCAATTTTTGAGTATAACATAAACCAATGTATTTTTTTTTTATTGACTAGTTGGAGGAAGTGCAGAAGGTATAAACAATGATTGAGAAAGATATTGAAGTAAGCAACAGATTAACAAGATTGATGTCATGCCCTTACTTTCTAGTCCTTTCGGCTGACTATGGCTTAAAAGGCCTCACTGGATTTAGGAATAGTGGAGCTGATGCATGAATGCTGGAGAGAACTGGGTGCAGGGCAGAGAAAATGGTGCAGTTAATATTGCTCAGGACTGACCCAGCAGGAGTGTTGAGTGTTCTTAAGATAGGGGAACAGTGGCCGGGTGCAGTGGCTCACACCTGTAATCCCAGCACTTTGGGAGGCCGAGGCGGGCGGATCACGAGGTCAGGAGATTGAGACCCGAGACCATCCTGGCTAACATGGTGAAACCCCGTGTCTACTAAAAATACCAAAATTCGCTGGGCTTGGTGGCATGTGCCTGTAGTCCCAGCTACTTGGGAGGCTGAGGCAGGAGAATCGCTTAAACCCAGGAGGCGGAGGTTGCAGTGAGCCAAGATAGCGCCACTGCACTCCAGCCTGGCAACAGAGTGAGAATCTATCTCAAAAAAAAAAAAATAAATAAAAATAAAAAAGATAAGGGAACAATTAGGAATATTATTAGAAGGACTTAGTGTTTGGTCTTGGGTAGACAACCCTGAGGTATAATCTTCAAATGACACTGGGCATTGCTAATTGCTTATTTGTTTTATAAATGCTGCTTAAAAATTAAATATTTACAAATAGTGCTAAGATGGTTTTTTTCTTGTGCAACGAATATAATGGATTCTATTTAAACATTTTTAAAGATTTATTATAGTCCAGCTTTAGCAGCCATCTAGTGAAATGTTAAAACCTCTAACATACAGAAATTGTATGTTTATAAACTTTTTTTTCCTTTTTTGGGGTTACTATAGAAATGGCTGTTATAAGAGAAGATTTTCTTTCTTTCTCTTTCTCTCTCTCTCTCTTTTTTTTTTTTTTTTTGAGATGGAGTCTCACTCTGTCGCCCAGGCTGGCGTGCAGGGGTGCGGTCTTGGCTCACTGCAGCCTCCTTCTCCCGCGTTCAAGCGATTTTCCCACCTCAGCTTCTTGAGTAGCTGGGACTACAGGTGTGCACCACCATGCCCAGCTAATTTTTGTATTTTTAGTAGAGACGAGGTTTCACCGTGTTGGCCAGGCTGGTCTCAAACTCCTGACCTCAAGTGATCCACCCACCTCAGCCTCCCAAAATGCTGGGATTACAGACGTGAGCCACCACACCTGGCCTAAGAGAAGATTTTCAAATGTGAATGATAAGTAATGATTAAAAGGTAATGACTCAATTTATCAAATGAGTGACACCTACTACTTTTTCAGCTACCAGACCTTGGCAAGTTGCTCAACCTCCCTGTGCCTCAGTTTCTACTCTGTGAAATGGGAATATTAATTGTACCTACCATATAGCAGTTGTTAATGGGGATTGAATGACTTAGTGCATAGACTGTGCTTAGAGCAGTGCTTGGCATGTAGTTAGTTATTGTTTTAGCTAATACCTGGGAATGAGGGAAAAACGTTTTGTGGCATGACAAATACTAAAGCTGACTTACTACAAAATGTGAACAATCATATGACTGCTATCATGTGAGTTTTTCTTTCTTCCCCTATACAGAAAATCCAAAGCCTAGACTCCTTGTTCTGACACAATGATTGGGTCCACCGCATTATCAGTTTTACCTTTGAGAAATTGTGGTCTCATTCTCATTCTCATACCACTTCTCTTTGTCTCTACTCCCTTTGCTTTAAGAAATCATAAGAACTGAGTAGCTGAGACAAAAAAAAATTAAAGATGCCTGTTCTTGAAGGCTTGAAGACACAGACAGACAGACACACACACGCACGCATCCTAATGGGTTTTTTCCCCCATGGGGTGTGCGTGTGTGTGTGTGTGTGTGTGTGTGTTGTGTATAAGGGGGGTAGTGATGGCAATGTGTAAGGTCTTTTTCCTCAATATTTTATTTAAAAAATTTAAAATGCAGAAAAATTAAAACAACAATATAGTGAATACCCATATATGGGGGATTTTAAAAGAAAAATCTCATCGATTTTCAAATAAAAATTAGTACTGAAATATTATAAACATACAAAAAAGTGCATAGACTAATGTAAGACATACCATATACCCACCTCTTAGATTTAACTCAGGTTAGGCTGGGCGCAGTGGCTCACACCTGTAATCCCAGCACTTTGGGAGGCCAAGGCAGGCAGATCATCTGAGATCAGGAGTTCAAGAGAAGCCTGGCCAACATGGTATAACCCCATCTCTACTAAAAATACAAAAATTAGCCAGGTGTGGTGGCGCATACCTGTAATCCCAGCTACTTGGGAGGCTGAAGCAGGAGAATCACTTAAACCCAGGAGGTGGAGGTTGCAATGAGCTGGGATCACGCCATTGCTCTCCATCCTGGGTGACAAGAGCAAAACTCCATCTCAAAAAAAAAAAAAAAAAAAAAGATTGAACTCAGGTTAGCATTTTGCTATATTTCCAAGATAGCAAAATGTTTAAAGAGTTTTAAACATCTTAGAAATAAATAATTTTCCCTTCCTCGATTCTCAGAGAAAATCTGTTTGACTATATCCTTCCTATTTATGTTTATGAACATATAAAATATTTTTATGAACATATGTATTCATAAGACAGTGTTTTTAAGTTTGAAAATTTTCTATAAATGATATTATACTTATAGATCTGTACTAATCTGCCAAGGCTGCCATAAAAATAACACAGGTTAGATGGTTTAAACAACAGAAATGTATTTTCTCACAGTTCTGGAGGCTGGAAGTTGAAGATCAAGGTGTCAACAGGGATGGTTCCTGGTGAGGCCTCTCTTCCTGGCTTGTAAACAGCCACCTTCTTGCTATGTCCTCATCACATGGCCTTTTCTGTGTTTGGAGAGAGAGAGAGAGAGAGAGAGAGAGAGAGAGAGAGAGAGATCGCTAATGTCTCTCTCTTTTTCTTTTTTTAAAGTGAAGGGGTCTTGCTATGTGCCCAGGCTGGCCTTAAACTCCTAGGCTCAAATATTCTTTCCGCCTCAGCCTTGCAAGTAGCTGGGACTACAGGTGTGAGCCACTGTGCCACACTTACCCTATCAGATTAGGCCCCCCGCCTTATGATCTTATTTAACCTTAATTATCTCATTAAAGGCCTCATCTCCAAACACAGTCACAGTTGGAGTCAGGGCTTCTCTCCCAGTTTGGAGAGTTACACTATCCAGGTTGGTAACATTCACATTCTCTTACTCAGCCATAATGTCTTACTTGTTTTTTTCATTGGTTTTATATTTATGTGCTCATTCAAAATCCTTTCACCTCAACATCTCCATTCTTGAGTTTCTCATTTTGAATTATCTCTTAATTCATAGGATTGTCAAAATGATTTGTCTTACCCAGAAGGCCCAAGAGTGCTGCATTTCTTCAACTCTATCAAGTTTGAAAGACATATTGGATGAAGAATATTCTTAGTCACACTTTCCCTCTGAACTTTTTGATGTGGTTCCTTTGTCTTCTGGCAGTAAATGTTGCTGTGAGAAGTTTGAGGGTGGCCTAAAGTTTTTTTCTTGTGAGTGACTTGCTTTTTCTGCCTGCATGACTGAAGAGTCCCTTCTTTCTGCTTGAAGCCTAGTAGCTTTCTAGGGTATGTCTTGGTGTTGAGTGTTCTGTATCAGTTTTCCCTGGAACCTGGTGAATTCTTAATCTGCAGATTCAGCTTTCACTGCACTTCAGAGAAACACTCTTGTATTCAGTCTTTAAATTTTGTTTCATTTTTGGCTTCTCTACTTCTGGGAAACCAGTTACCTTTATGCAGTATTGATTTTGTCCATTAGTTCTCCGTACTCTTTGGTTTCTTTCTCATTGCTTTAATTCTTTCCTTCTAATCTACATTCACTGTGATAAATTATGTCAGCCTTTCCTTTAGTGAGCAATTCAGTTTTCAACAGTGTCTCTTTTATTCCTTGCTTTCTCTTTTCTTTTTTTCTATTTTTTTTTTTTTTTTTGAGTCAAGGTCTTGTTTTGTCACCCTGGCCCCGAGTGCAGTGGCGCAATCTTGTCTCACTGCAACCTCCACCTCCCAGGTTCAAGCGATTCTCCGGCCTCAGCCTCCCGAGTAGCTGGGATCACAGGCATGTGCTACCACATCTGGCTAATTTTTGTATTTTTAGTAGAGACAGGGTTTCGCCAAGTTGGCCAGGCTGGTCTCAAACTCCTGACCTCAGGTGATCCACCCACCTTGGCCTCCCAAAGTGCTGGGATTACAGGCGTGAGCCACTGCACCCGGCCCTATTCCTTGCTTTTTCTTATTTATTTGTTCTGCAATGATGTTTCAGATCTTTTTTTTTTTTTTGTATTTTATCTTTCTTTTTAAACTCATTCTGGTTTTTTAAAAAATCATATCATTTTTATAGAATGTATGCTACTCTTATGTTCTGTGATGTGAATAGATTGTGAAGAACATCTTTAGATTCCTTTCTTAATTTATAGATCCCCTGCAGTAAGCTTTATTTTTGCATGCCATGTTTTTCCTCCCTTTTCCTCCCTCCCTCCCTCCCTTCCTTCCTTCTTCCTACCTTCCCTCTTTCCTTCCCTCTTTCCCTCCCTACCTCCTTACCTCCCTACCTTTTTTTCCCCTCCTCCCTTTGACAGGGTGGTGTGTTTGCATCCTCTCCATCATCACTGTGCATTTCTCTCATCTTACACTTACATGGGCAGCCCTGCTGAAGCATTCTACTTGCCCTGATAGAGTGGCCGTATTGCAGTTTGAAGGCTGGATGGTCTCTGTCTCTGTTAGGAACAGTATCGTTAGAACACCTTCTGGCAACATGTGAACTCTGGGGTGGGGTGGGGAGAGAGGGAGGCATAGCTTCCTCTTCCTTTCCTTTCTCCAGTGCTGTACACAGCCCGAGAGCCTATATGACTTACATCAGAGCTGGTGTGAGGGGTCCCTAAAGTTCTATAGGTGAACCAAAGCTGTCATGAGCCCGGGAGGTTGAAGAGATGCTTTAGGGATTCTCTGAGATGCAATACCAAGAAATATACCAGAATATGACTGGGCACCGTGGGTTACACCTGTAATTCCAGCACTTTGGGAGGCCAAGGTGGGTGGATCATTTGAGGTTGAGAGTTCGTGCCCAGCCTGGCCAACATGGTGAAACTCCATCTCTACTAAAAATACAAAAATTAGCTGGGAGTGGTGGCGGGCACCTGTAATCTCAGCTACTCAGGAGGCTGTGGCAGGAGAATCGCTTGAACCTGGGAGGTTAAAGCTGCAGTGAGCCATGATTACGCCACTGTACTCCAGCCTGGGTGACAGAGGGAGACACTTAAAAAAAAAAAAAAAAAAAAGGAAATATGCAGAATGTTAGTTTTAGAAACCAAAGCCTGAAGTCTGGATGCAGTTACACTGATTAAGAGTAAGGCAGCATGGTGAACAAAAGAACATGTTCAGTGACACAATGGGCATGAAAAGAGCAAAATCCAAATGGAGGGAAACTCTGCAGGACAAGCTTCAGCCCCTTCAGCAAAAGGATAGCAAGGAAAAAAAAGAGGTGGAGGGGAAACCTATAGACTAAAAGAGTGTTAAGAGACATAACCATCAGTTACAGGATAGGGATAGGGTCTTATTTGGATCCAGTTATTAATAATTATTCCAAAACAAACCGAATGTTTTTTCTAAGACAATATGTGAAATATTAGGGAAAAATAATCAAATTAATAAAAATTAAAAATTATCCAAATAGTTGAATATTTGTTTTTTAAAAAGGATTTAATTTTTATATTTTATAAGGTGGAATAATGGTATTATGATTTGTGTTAAAGTCCTGTCTTCCTTTTAGAGATACATTCTGAAATATTTACAAATGAAATATATAATATCCAGGATTTACTTCAGAGTAATCCAGGGGTGAGTATATAGATGGAACAAATGGGATTTTTGCTTAAAATTTCAATCAGTGTAAAAGTAGAAAAACAGAGGTATACGTGGAATTGACTTCTTTTTTCTCAGAAAATTTATTTTAATAGGTTATACTTCCAAGCTTTTGTTCATTCATATATTAAGCCTGTGTTCTGGGGAGAAAGCTAGAGGCCCTGCCCTCAGAAATCTATATTCTAAAACCTGGAGGGACTGGGCTAGAGACAATAAACAAGTGAAGTACACAAACGTGAAAATATTAGCCAGTGAGATGTATGAGGATGAAAAGAAGACTACGTGATGTGACAGAGACTGTGACAGGCAGGAGGATCTTGAGGATTTTGTTGAGGACATGCTGTCATCCTCAGCGTGGAAGATGCTTGATGAATGACATCTTGAATGTCAGGAGAAGGTGCCAGCCATGGGAGGAGGGTCTGGATAAGATCAGGCAGGGGCAACAATGAATGCAAAGCCTCTGAGATTGGCATGGCTGCAGGACAGAAAGAAGGCTGGTGTGGCTGGAGTGGCAGGGGCAGGTTGTTGTTGATAGAGTGGAAGCTGTCAGTCTAACAAGAGCAGCATCAGGGGCTCCAGAAAGCAGCAGAAGGGCTCCTTTAACTGTCAAGAGGTAGTTTTCACTGCCTTGTCTTCAGTTTGGGAGGAATGCCCTGGTTTTATTTTTATTTATTTACTTATATTTTTACTTTTTGTAGAGATGGGCTCTCGCCATGTTGCCCAGGCTGGTCTCGAACTCCTGGCTCAAGTGACCCCCCAACTGCCTTCGGCCTCGTGCTGGGATTACAGGCATGAGCCACTGCACCCAGCCTGGTTTCATGTCTCGTCTATTAGTCATGCTTTCAGTATCTCTTGCTAGGATGGTATCGTTCAGCGAGAAAGCGCCCAAGAGGTAGTGCTTCAGGTACCTGAATTTTTTTTTTTTTTTTTTTTTTTTGAGATGGAGTCTCGCTCTGTTGTCCAGGCTGGAGTGCAGTGGTGCAATCTCAGCTCACTGCAGCATCTGCTTCCTGGGTTCAAGTGATTCTCTTCCCTCAGTCTCCCTAGTAGCTGGGACTACAGGCACATGCCACTATACCTAATTTTGTATTTTTTTGTGGAGATGGGGTTTCATCATGTTGGCCAGGCTGGTCTCAAACTTCTAACCTTGGGTGATCTGCCTACCTTGACCTCCTAAAGTGCTGGGATTACAGGCGTGAGCCACAGTGCCTGGCCAGGTACCTGAATTTTAATTGCAATTAAGTGGGACGACAGTCGTTACAGACACTTGGATTTGTTGCTCTCTCCTTTTCAGTGCCATTTTTGTGACAAGGCCTTTATGAACCAAGCTTTTCTACAAAGTCACATTCAACGCCGCCACACTGAAGAAAATTCTCATTTTGGTGAGTAATGAGTTCTGTTTGAAAGCTCTTTTCTTCCTGCTCCCTTTTTCTTTTGGCAATGAGACTTGGTCCAGTGCATTTCCCAGTCCTCTTAAAAGAAGCATCACGGTCCCTGTCAATTCAGTAAGTAAATATGGAGCCCTCAGGAGGTGCATACAGTGCACCAGGTGCTGGAGATACAGCCACAAGCTGAACGGAGAAGCCCCACTCTCTCTCGAGTTTTACATTCTAAAGGGGGTTGAGGAGACACATTTAAACAGATAAATGAGTAATTAAACAGACAAATGAGTAATTCTTCTCAAATGGTGGCAAATGCGATGAAGATCATAGCGCAGGACAATGGGGTAGAGAGTGACTCCAGGTGGGGTGAAAGTCTCAGAAAAGTGTGTCACAGGCCAAGGAACACTGACTGTAAGGGACGTGAGGTGTGCTGGGATGATGTGTTTGAGGAACAGAAGGGCTGGTGGAATGGAATAGAATAGGTGAGGTGATGGTGTGTGGTGAGGCTGAAGTGCTGGGGGCCTGATCACAGGAAGCCGTGAAGGCGTGGGCTGGAATGTGGAGTTTTTATATGCGTAAGGTGGAGCCACTGGAGGATTTTAGGTAGGGGAAGGGCATGATCTAATTAATGTGTACCTTAGCATGACCCTTCTAGCTGTGGATAGAGACTACTGTTGGGGCGACAGTGGAAGCAGTGGATGAGTGAGGGGAGGAGGCTGCAATCGCAGCCGAGGTGAGAGAGACGGGGGCCTGGACCAGCTTTGTCCCCAGGCAGGTGGGCAGGTGAAGTTGTAACAGATAAGTTGTGGACCCAGAAGCTACAGAGGACCCTGGGTTTCTGTCCTCCATGTTTGGGTGAATGGTGATGCTTTCTGTGATGGAGGGCCAGGGTCGGGAGGCAATTTCAAGGAGGAAGAGGGCTGAGAGTTTGTACTTGCCATGGGTGCGTTTACATCACATGTGCAACAGACATGCAGGTGGGGGTACTGAAGGGCTGCAGCTTAAGGTGGAGACCCAGGCTGGAGATTTAAATCTGGGAATCACTGGAGTAGAGCTGGTCTGGCTGAGGTCACCTAGATAGAGAATAGAAAGTGATGAGGTCAGCCCCAAGGTCTTCCCAATGCTAGGAGCTCAGAAAGAGCAGCAGCAGAGAGTGAGGAATAGTCTCTAGCAAAGCTGGAGGGAAACCTGGGGAGTGTGTTGTCATGGAAACCAAGGGAAAAGTATTTCACAGAGGAGGCAGTGGTCAGTCATATCAAATGCCGCTGAGGTACAGAGTAAGATGAAGACTGACAATGGACGGCTGTTGTCAAGACGGTTGTTGGTGACCTTGGCACAGCAGCTTCAGTAGACAGATGGGGACAAAAGTCTGATTCCCCTGAGCTGAGCTGAGTATCATGAGGGAGTGGTCCTACTGTATCCAGACATTGGTTTCAATAACACTTATTGGGAAGGAAAGCAGAGACATGAGGCTTCATCTGGACAGAAATGTGAGACCCAGGGACAACTTTGTTTCATTTGATGTGGGAGATACTAAGATGTGTTTGGGTGTGCACCACCGACAATATAGATGGTATGCAAAATGAAGACGCAAGAGAGGGGAGGGGACTCTGAGGCTTACCAAGGAGCCAGGTTTTCTGCCATTGAAGTATTCTCAAAAGCAAAGAATGTAAGGGCTCTTTCTCCATGGGCAGATCAAAGCTTCCTGCAGATTGCCACAGTAACCCACAGAAATTCTTATTTTTATCGTTTTTTGTTTTTTTTTTTGAGATGGAATCTCCCCCTGTGGCCCAAGCTGGAGTGCAGTGGTGCCATCTTGGCTCACTGCAACCTCCTTCTCCTGGGTTCAAGTGATTCCGTTGCTTCAGCCTCCCAAGTAGCTGGGACTACGGGCACTCACTACCACACCTGGCTAGTTTTTGTATTTCTTTTTTTTCTTAGTAGGGATTGGGGTTTTGCTGTGTTGCCCAGGCTGGTCTCGAACTCCTGGCCTCAAGTAATTCATCCCCCTTGGACTACCAAAGGGCTAGGAATACAGGCGTGAGCCACTGTGCCCGACCTCATTCTGATCTTAAATGTTCTCAGTATCTAGACGTGGGTACTTGGCTTATATACTCAGTACCTGCATTTCCCTCCAGTTTGGGCCAGGTTGTTTCCATTCTTGCCCATTTCAGTTAAATAGATTACTTAGGAAATAGCTAAGCTTCGTAGAAACAAAAATAACAGCATAATAATCTCATTAATAAGTCTTGAATCACTGATAAAATTTAGCAATATTTTGGAAAGATGAAATATTTTAATTAATCTACCATTCTTCAGCGTGAAACTGACCTTCTTTCTCTTCTGTTTCAGTATCTTATTCTAACTCATACTCGTTTCAGAGAGGGTTTCAGACTCTGAAACGAGTATTATTTCTTCAGGTCATCTTTGAGATTCTGACTTTCTACTTTGGTTTCCATACCTTTCATGTCTACACTCACAGACACATGTACATCCATTCAGTCATGTGTACATCTGCATGTAAGTACATGTACATAAGTATTCTTCCTTTCACTTGTTGCTTCCTTTTACAACTTTTCAGTACCTCACTTCTACCCCAGTTGATAGACTATGGCCCAAGTTTGCATTTTGAATGCCCCCCAAGTCCTCTGCTTGTATTAGCACTGATGGGGTCCTCAGAAGAGTTCAGCGGGCACCTAAAGGATGGTGACCACAGAGATTTCAGTATGGTGGTGCCTGCAGAGGAAGCTGTTGCTTGCCTTCTGTGATTGAGACAGGCACCTCTAAGAAAAGCCCAGAGTGCCACTGGGTCAAAGCACCCTGTATTATTCCTTGTTACCATTATTGCTCCCTGAAGAGGGCTCTCATGTATCTATGTAGGATAATCCAACCTCAACACAGCGGCTGAAAGAATCTGCTAAAAAATAATTCAGTGCCCCAAAATACACTGGGCTCCAAATAAACTAAAGAGCAAAAATTGGCTCATGTGGCATGAAACAAGTAATCGTATCCCAAGTAAGAGGACAGTTTCCTTCGTGTTATCAACAGGACTGTACCCCATAAGTTTCCAGGTACATTTGGTAAGAGATGGTGTTTTAACACGATTTTCTGTTGCAACAGAGTATCAGAAAAATGCACAGATTGAGAAGCTCCGGAGTGAGATCGTCGTATTGAAGGAAGAGCTGCAGCTCACCAGGTCTGAGCTAGAGGCTGCACACCATGCCAGTGCAGTCAGATTCTCCAAGGTACCAGGCAGAATTCTGTGGTATTTTAATTACAATTAACTGTATGTAATTCAATTATGCCATGGACTCTAATAAACAGAGGACACTTAAGAGTTTGTGAATTTGACAAGATGATTGCATTTTTTATTGCCAATCTACTCTTTAGTATCTTACTACAAAGCACATCACTGGAAATATATTTCTCTATTTTTTGAAAGCCTTTTAGAAAATTGGGGTGGAATTCATATAACACACAATTAACTTTCTAAAATTTTGCTTAGAACAGAAGTCTGACACTTCTCATTCTCACTGGGCTAAAGTCAAGGTGTCAGGAGGACCATGTGCCTTGGTAGAGGCTATAGAACAGAATATTTCTTGCTTATTTGGTTGCTGGCAGAGTTCAGTTCCTGGCAGGTGTAGACCAGAGGTCTACACTTTCTTCCAGGCTGTCCATTGAGGGAGGGCTGCTCCTAATTTCCTTGTGAGGCTCCCCATACTCCTGGGCTCCTGACCCTCTTCCTCCATACTCAAAGCCACCAACAGAGGGTTGAGTCTCCCTCATGCTTCCGATCTGTTTCCTTTTTTCTTTTTTCTCATCTATGTGACCCTTGTGTCAGCCCATTGGGTGCTTGGAATGACTTGTTCAGAGATACTCGGGGTGATGAAGGGCCCAAGAGGAAAGAGGCCCATGATTCATTGAGTTCTGACTTCTGTGGGTCACTGTGGGTACACCGTGGGTACCACGTATGCCATTGTTTATCCAACAGAGGGTTGACCTTGGTGTACCTAATGGAGAGAGTAAGGCCATCAAAGAGCATTTATTTCCTTGTGACTGTTGGAGTGACAGTGTGCTTGGCTCTTCCTTGTTTCCCCCATGGGGACAGCAAGTGTGACTTTCTAGGGATAACAGCAGTCATTTCACAGAATCATTGACAGAGGCTTCTGTCTTCCACATGGGCTCACTCTTTCTCTTTCTTTTTAAATTGTAATATACCTATAATGTAAAATTTATGATTTTAACTATTTTTAAGTGTACAGTTCGGTAGTGTTGAGTATATTCACATTGTTATACAGCCAATCTCCAGAACTGTTTTGTATTGAAAAACTGAAACTCTACCCATTAAACAGTGCTCCACTCCCCCCTCCTTCCAGCTACTTTCCCTCTCTGTGATTTTGCCTGCTCTAGATACCTCATATGAATGGAAGCATAGAGTATTTGTCTTTTTGTCATCATTGGCTTATTTTACTCAGCATAATGTCCTCAAAGTTTATCTATGTTGTAGTGTGTGCCAGAATTTCCTTCCTTTTTCAGGCTGAATGATAGTTCATGGTATATGTATGTATACCACATTTTGCTTATTCATCTGTTATTGGACACTTGGGTTGCTTCCACTTCTTAACTATTATGACTGATGCTGCTATGAACAAGGGTATACCAACATCTCTTTTAGACAGTCATTTTACAGTGTACAATCCAGTAGCGTTTAGTGTATTCACAATATTGTGCAACTACCATCTCTCTAGTTTCAAAACTTTCAACACCCCAGAAAAATAACCCATACCCATTAAATAATCACTCCTACTACCCTCATCTCCTGGTAACCACGAATCTTTTTATGTCTATGAATTTTCCTATTCAGTATATATCTTTTAAAAAAAAATATGTACACCACGTGTGGTGGCTCACAACTGTAATCCCAGTATTTTGGGAGGCCAAGATGGGAGGATTGCTCGAGCCCAGGAGTTCAAGACCAGTCTGCGCAACATGGTGAGACCCTGTCTCTACAAAAAATTAAAAAATTAGCTAAGTGTGGTGGCATGCGCTTGTGGTCCCAGCTACTCAGGAGGCTGAGGAGGGAGGAAGATGGCTTGAGTCCAGGAGGTCAAGGCTGCAGTGAGCTGTGTTCACACCGCTGCACCCCATTTGGCTACAGAATGAGACCCCATCTGAAAAAAAAAAAGTAATGTGTGACCTTTTGTGTCTGGCTTTTTTCACTTAGCATGATGTTCTTGAGGTTCATCTAAGTTGTAACATGTATCAGTACTTTGTCGGTCTTGCTAATATTCCATTGTATGTAGGTATGCATAGACAATTTGTTTATCCAGTCATCCATTGAATGACATTTGATTCATTTTCACCTTTTGGCTCTAATGAATAATGCTACTATAAACATTCATGTGGCAGTTTCTATGTGGACATATGTTTTCATTTTTCTTGATTATATACTTAGGAATGGAATTGCTGAGTCATATGGTAATTTTATGTTTAACTTTCTCAGGAACCACCAAACTGTCTTCCACAGTAGCTGTACCATTTTACATTTTCACCAGTAATGTTCTTATTTCTCCACATCCTCACCAATACTTGTTATACTTTTCTGTTTTCTTAATTAAAGCCATCCTATTGGGTGGGTGGGAAGTGGTATCTCATCGGAGTTTGATTTGTATTTCCTTAACAACCAATGATATTGAACATCTCTTCATGTTTATTTTCCATTTGTATATATCTTAGTTGGAGAAATGTCTATTCAAATCCTTTGCCCATTTTTTAATTGGGTTGTTTGCCTTTTTCTTGTTGAGCTGTATGAGTTATTTATATACACTAATAGTTTCATCACTTTAGCTCTATTAGGTCATTGGTCTATTTTGAGTTAATTTTTGCATGTAGATTGAGAGAGGGGCCCAACTTTATACTTTTGCATGTGGTTTATCCAGTTGTCCCAGTGCCAATTTTTCAAGAGACTATTCTTTTTTCATTGAATGTTCCTAACATCCTTGTTGAAGATCAGTTGACCATAGATGTTTGGGTTTATCTCTGGATTCTCAATTCCATTCCCCTAGTCTGTATGTCTGTCTTTATGCCAATATCACACAACTTTGATTACTGTAGCTTTGTAGTAGGCTTTGAAATAGATAAGTGTGCATCTTCCAACTTTGTTTTTCTTTTTCAATATTGTTTTGGTTATTTGTGGCCTCTTACAGTTGCATATGAAATTGAGGATTGGCTTTTCCATTTCTGCAAAGAAGGTTATTGGAATGGGATTACATTGAATCTCTTGATTGCTTAGGAGAGTATTGCCATTTTAACCATATTAAATCTACCAATCCATGAACATGGGATGTCTTTCCATTTATTTAAGTGTTCTTCAATTTTTACAACAAAAATTTTCAGTGTACAAGTCTTTTTCACCTTTTAGGTTACATTTATTTCTAGGTATTTTATTCTTTGGGATGCTATTATAAATGGAATTGTTTTCTTAATTTCTTTCTTGGATTGTTCATTGCTGGTATATAGAAATATAGCTGCTTTTTGCATGTTGACCTTGTACTGTGCAACTTTGCTGAATTTGTTTATTACTTTAGTCGTTTCTTATGGATTCTATGTTATTTTTTTAAAATAGTTGGTAGAATTCACCAGTAAAGCCATCTGGTCTGGGACTTTTCCTTTTTAGGAGGTTGTTGATTACTAACTCTATCCCTTTATTTATTGAAAGTCTATTGAAATTTCCTTTGTATTGGGTCAGTCTGGTCATTTGTGTAGGAATTTGTCTATTTCACCTAGATTATCCAATTTGTTGCTGTACAATTGTTCATTATATTCTCTTACAATCCTTTTAATTTCTCCAAGATTGGTAGTCATGTCCTCACTTTCATTTCTTATTTGGGGTGGCTGAAGGTTTGTCAGTTTTGTTGATCTTTGTAAAGAACCAAATTTTGGCTTCATCTATTCTCTCTGTTGCTTTCCTGTTCTTTGCTTTATCTTTGCTCTAATTTTCATAATTTTTTTCTTTCTGCTGCCTTTGAGTTTGGTTTGTTCATCTTTTTCTAGCTAGGTTATTTATTTAAGATTTTTCTTCTTCTTCTATATTTGTTTTTTGGAGATAGACTCTCTCTCTGTTGCCCAGGCTGGAGTGCAGTGGCACAATCACAGCTCACTGCAGCCTTGACCTCCCAGGTCCAAGTGGTCCTCCCACCTCAGCCTCCTAAGTAGCTGGGATTACAGGCACGTACCACCATACCTGGCTAATTTTTTTTTTTTTTTAATTTTTGGTAGAGATGAGGTCTCACAATGTTTCCCAGGATGGTCTCAAACTCCTGAGATCAAGTGATCGTTCCACCGTGGCCTCCCAAACTGTTGGGACTACAGGCATAGCCATCACACCTGGACCTTTCTTCTTTTTAAATGTAGGCTCTTACAGCTGTAAATTTATTTCTGAGCACTGATTTGGCTGCATCTCATGAATCTTGGTATGTTGTGTTTTCATTTTCATTAACCTCACAGTATCTTCCAATTTCCCTAGTGAGTTTTTCCTTAACCCATTGGTTGTTTAAGAGCACGTTGTTTACTTTCCACGTATTTGCTACTTTTCCAGTTCCCTTCTGTTACTGATTTCTGGCTTAATTCTATTGTGATCAGAGAAGAATCTTTGCATGATTTTGATCTTTTTAAATCTGAGAAACACTTTATGGACTTAAAAAAAGGTCTTCCTGGTAAATATTCCATGTGCACTTGAGAAGAATGTATATTCTGCTATTGTTGGGTACAGAGTTCTGTATATGTGTGTTAGGGCTAGTTGGCATATAGTGTCGTTCAAGTTCTCAATTTAGATTTTAAAAACCCTGAAGGTCATTGAGAAATCAAGTGCTGACCTTGAATTTAGCTCCTGTAAATCTGAATTTGTATTTTCTGGGGGTGGGATGAAGTTACACTATCCAAATTGTTATGGTGCCAACAAATGTTCTTTTATTGCTCAATATATGTTTTCTTTAAAGTATATTTACATTTTATATATTATGGCATGACTTTTATACAAGTTCATAGAACACAAAAAGCTGGAGGCTTTGGGCGTCTGTGTTGGTATTTTAAGGGATGTAAGGACAAGAGGATTCTGTGTGCTGCCTTTAGTTTAGAAAAATCATTGTGCACAGACCTGCCATGATAGGAAATGTTGTTACAAGCCTCACTGAAATAAGCAATACTAGCTAACATTTTTGAAGTGATGCTATGAACTTTTATTTTAAATATTGCTTATTTTCTTCAGACCAGAACTTTTAAAGATGTGTATTAAAATAATTTCAGGAATATGAAATGCAGAAAACAAAAGAGGAAGACTTTTTGAAGTTATTTGACAGGTGGAAAGAAGAAGAAAAGGAGAAACTAGTTGATGAAATGGAAAAAGTCAAGGAGATGTTTATGAAGGAATTTAAAGAATTAACTTCGAAGAATTCAGCATTAGAATATGTAAGTATTAAACCTAGAAGTTCTTATGGTATTGATTGCCTTGAGAGGTGGTGTTAGGATGGCATTAAGGCCAGGGGATCCAGCAGTTACTTTATGTTACCCTCGTGCAGACATTCTTCTCCCTGAGAGTCTTGAGGGAGGCATAGAGGAGACAGAGTGAGTCAGAGATGTTTTGCTGAGAATGGGAGCTTTGGCCTTAAACTTCAGTGCAGAACACTCGTGGTGAGATATAGAAGACCCTCTTCTATGATGGTCCCTCTTTTCTTATCTGGTTAGGTTAGCCTTGAACTGTAAACTCCTCCCTGAGTTTTGGAACTTTCCATTGTCCAGTGGGAAGGGAAAGAAGCAGACCCAGAAAGGCTAAGAACCTTTGCCAGGCTCCCTCCTCAACCCAGGCCCAGGTGGGGTCTCTAAAGCAAGCAAGTTATGGCTAAGTGAGCCCCTCTCCCTTGTGGGAACAGCCCTGGTCCATACAGCCCCAGCCTCATGCATAGATGATACCTGAGCTGCTTCTTTAGAAAGCAGCCAATCAATCAGTGTCCTTCTAAGAATTCTAAGCTCCCTGGTTAGACTTGACCTGAGTCTTCTTTGGGGAAAACGGAGAAAGGAAGGGAGCTGAGCGAAGGTCCTTGAGCTCCCTCTAGGGGCCAACAAGTTTTATAAACGAAAATAGAGATTTTTGGAATTCACCTGAGGGCTTTCCTAAAACTCTTTAAACTCTAGCGTGAGATTTGGCGAATGGCCCATGAACCAAGTCCAGCATACCACCTGTTTTTGAATGGCCTCTGACATAAGAATAGTTTTTACATTTTTACTTTTTATTTTTTTCAAGACAGAGTCTCTCTCTGTTGCCCAGTCTGGAGTGTAGTGGCACAATCTCAGCTCACTGCAACCTCTGCCTCCTGGGTTCAAGTGATTCTCGTGCTTCAGCCTCCTGAGTAGCTGGCGTTACAGGCACATGCCACCACACCCAGCTAATTTTTGTATTTTTAGTAGAGACGGTTTCACCATGTTGGCCAGGATGGTGTCGAACTCCTGGCCTCAAGTGATCCTCCCACTTGGGCCTCCCAAAGTGCTGGGATTACATTTGTGGGCCACTGTGCCCAGCCAGTTTTTAAATTTTTAAAACATTGGAAAAAAAGAAGACTATTTTGTGACACAGGAAAATTTCATTAAAGTTCACATTTCAGTGTCATGAGTGAAGTTTTATTGAAACACAGCCATGTTTGGTAATTTACGCTCTGTCTGTGGCATTTTTGTGTGGGAGCAGTAGAGTTGAATGTTTTGTCTGAGACTTTGTGTTACGAATCTGCATGACTTATAACTGTTGCTATTGACCTTGGCTACCTGGCTGTGGTAGTGTTTGTCAGGTTTCTCCACTGAAGATTTTCTCTTTTTTCCTCCTTTCCCTGCTGTCCTTTCTGAAATGAAGTCACTATGAGCAGCCTACACTGAGGAGAGGAGACGTGCGCTCCCCCATACTTTTGTTTTTGAAGTTAATGTGTTACCTTCTGTGGTTTTCTGAGGGTTTTTGCCATGAGTAACATTGGGAATAATATGAAAAGAAAAGGGTAAAATTAAAAACGTTATGTCCCCAGTGGATTTACTGATGTGGTCCCTGGACAGTGTTGGCCTCTCACTAAACTAGCTTAAGAACCAGGTGCATTCAGTTCTTCTGTTTCTGGTACCTATTAAGTGCCCATAAAAAATTTTAAGCCCCAGCTGGGCCTGGTGGCTCACACCTGTAATCCCAGCACTTTGGGAGGCTGAGGTAGGCAGATTGTTGTGTGAGCCCAGGAGTTTGAGACCAGCCTGGGCAACATGGCAAAACCCTGTCTCTACAAAAAAAATACAAAAATTATCTGGGTGTGGTGGTGCACGCCTGTAGTCCCAGCTACCTAGGAGGCTGAGGTGGAAGGATTGCTTGAACCCAGGGGGTTGAGGCTGCAGTGAGCCATGATCATATCACTGCACTCTAGCCTGGGCAACAGAATGAGACCCTGTCTCCAAAAAAAAAAAAAAAATTAGACTCGTTTAAGATTAGAAAGTTAGATTTTCCTTCCCCTTTTTTCACCCTGTACATATTCTGATAGGAAGACCAGCAAGCAGTAGAAACAAACCAGTAAAACCACAGGGAAGCAGAAGCAGGAGAAGCGTCCAAGAGCGTCCAGGAGCGTCCAAGAGGGCAGTCAGATTTAAAACACAGCTATGTGCTCCCTGATTTTATTCTCTGTTTCCATCTTATGAAAGTCTAACTGTAGTACTGAGCTTGAATTTTATCTTATAGCAACTGTCAGAAATCCAGAAGTCCAATATGCAGATCAAGTCCAACATAGGCACATTAAAAGATGCACACGAGTTTAAAGAAGACCGTTCTCCATATCCCCAGGATTTCCATAATGTCATGCAGCTTCTTGATAGTCAGGTACGTGCAAGTGGGTGACAGCTGCAGTGGATGCCTTCCTTTTTCTTAGTGAAGTAATTTACAGTGAGTGTCATCTGCAGAAAAAGTGTTTGTCTTTTTTAGTAACCCTGAAGGTGACTAGCTGTTATTTTTCTCCTACAGCATGCCTAAATCATAAGAGGTGTTTGTTACATGCTTGCTGTTGGCAAATAGCATACACAACAGTTGGCAGAACTGTTTTGTTTCTTCTCTCCATAAAGTCAATTTGAATTGGTTAGTATAACCTAGCTATTCATTTTTCATCTTTCAGATGTAGCTCTCAATTTCAAAAGGTGTAGAAGGGCATATTGAAGCACCAGATTTAATTTTAGAGTTTAAATATACTGCTAACTGTATTTTTAGTAGAAACGGGGTTTCACCATATTGGCCAGGCTGATCTTGAACTCCTGACCTCAGGTGATCCGCCCACCTCGGCTCAATTAACTGGGCGTGGTAGCAGATGCCTGTAATCCCAGCTTCTCGGAGGGCTGAGGCAGGAGAATTGCTTGAACCCAAGAGGCAGAGGTTGCAGTGAGCTGAGATCACGCCATTGCACTCCAGTCTGGGCAACAAGAGTGATACTCAGTCTCAAAAAATAAATAAATAAATACACACACACACACACACACACACACACACACACACACACACACACACACTGCTAACTGGTCAGCTGATGATCTGTTACATTTATCAAACATAATCACTTTCATTTGGAAGTGACAGCGGTTTAGGGGAACAATTTTTTTAAACTAGGAAGCAAATAGAGATGAGAGCTTATGAATTCAGGATTCTTTTTTAAAAGCCTGGGTCATTCTAAAAAAGGTAAGTAGACTTTGGAAACAGGGACCACTGCTTCTTGCTTCAGTGCTCACATGTTTCCTCCCTGACCCAAATCTACCTGCTCCACTGCAGTCAGGCTGACCATGTCCCTGTCCTGTCTGAAGTCCTTCAGTGACCCTTATTCCGGACTTCCTACCAGCACGCAGGGTCCTTCGGATTCTGGGCCCTGGGCCATCTTTCTCTGTTCTTTGCTTTCCTGGCACTCCAGCGGCCCAGCAGCCCATGCCTCTCAGAACATGCCCTTCTGTCTTTTTCCTCGGTTCTGGCTGCTTTCCTGCCTGTCCTGCAGCTCCCAGTTTTCGGGACCTGTCTTTTACTCATTCTTTAGTATTCAGCCAGGGGGGCAGGTACCGCTTTCAGAAAGTTCTCCTGAGCCTCTAGGCTATAGCATTTCTGTAGTCCCTAAGTGGGATCTGATGACATACACATTATATGTGGATTCTCCATGGCTGTGTCTACTCGCCTCCCGTGCAGAGCAGGGCCTGTCTTTTTATCTTCTTTTAGCCTGCCAGTGGCCATCCAGTGAGGTGCCTGGTATATGGTAGGAAACCAGGAGCTGTGTCCTGAACTGAACTGTTGACAGTTGCTTCCAGCAGGCTGTAGACTACAGCTGGTCGCTCATGAACTGAAGGATGTGGCTCTAAAATCCTAAGGTCCCACCTAAATTTCTTCTGTTTCTGTCCTGTGAGTTGTGTTGTCAGTTCAGAACCCATGGCCTCAGAAACCTTGGTGTTTCCTTTTGGCCTCTTAGGTTGGCAAACTAGCACCTCCTTTTGCAAATAAAGTGTTACTGGCTATGTCCCAGTAACATTTTATGAGTGCTAGTTCATTTACATCTTATCCATGGCTGTTGTCCCAATACAGTTGTGGAATGACACAGCTGTATTGTGTTGTGTTGTGACCAAGTTGTCTGGCCCCCAGAGCCTATGATATTTACTGTTAGCTCCTTACTAAAAAATTTTTCCTGACCCCTGCCTTATGGTAAAAGATTAAAACCAGATGCAAATGTATTTAAGCATTTTTGACTGTGTATATTCTAAAAAATACCAGCTGTATTAGTCTGTTCTAATACTACTGTAAAGAATTACCTAAGACTGGGTAATTTATAAAGAAAAGAGGTTTAATTGACTCACAGTTCCATAGGCTGTACAGGAGGCATGGCTGGAGAGGCCTCAGGAAACTTATAATCATTGGCAGAAGGACAAAGGGGAACCAAGCACGTCTTAAGATGATGGAGCAGGAAAGAGTGAAGAGGGAAGTGCTACACACTTCTAAACAACCAGATCTTGTGAGAACTCACTATCATGAGAACAGCAAGGGGGAAGTCCACCCCCATGATTCAATCATCTCCCACCAGGCCCTTCCTTCAACACATGAGATTTGAGTGGGGACCGAGAGCCAAACTGTTTCACTAGCTAAAATTTTACCAGATAGATAGTTGGGTTTCATAGGTATTCACTAAAAAGGAAGCTCCCATATTGCATAGATCTCATTGTTACAGTTGTACATAAATTATTCTTTTATTCTTTTGTAGGAAAGCAAATGGACAGCTCGAGTTCAAGCTATTCATCAAGAACACAAGAAAGAGAAGGGTCGGGTAAGGTTAAGAAACCAGTGGCCTAAAGTGGGCCATTTTTTAAAGAAATATTTGCTTTCCTTTTTAATAAACATAATATTTGTCCACTTAATAACATTTGGGGAGAAATGTGTAGCAAAATTAAAATTACCTATAATTCTAACACCAAAATAACCACTGCTACTACTTTCTTATAATTTGTT
The DNA here is from genome assembly GCF_000001405.40 of Homo sapiens. Lineage (NCBI taxonomy): Eukaryota > Metazoa > Chordata > Mammalia > Primates > Hominidae > Homo > Homo sapiens. Next base: position 95,619,702 of record NC_000013.11, on the reverse strand, counting down.
TTCTTTTTTTTTTTTCTCATGAAACTTTTTTAATGGGTCTCAAAATTCTGTGACAAATTTTTGGTCAAGTTGTTCCCATTAAAAAGTACTGATTTTAAAAACTAATAACTTAAAACTGCCACACACAAAAAAGAAAACCAAAGTGGTCCACAAAACATTCTCCTTTCCTTCTGAAGGTTTTACGATGCATTGGTATCATTAACCAGTCTTTTACTACTAAACTTAAATGGCCAATTGAAACAAGCAGTTCTGAGACCATTCTTCCACCACTGATTAAGAGTAGGTTGGCAGGTATTAGGGATAATATTCATTTAGCCTTCAGAGCTTTCTGGGCAGACTTGGTGACCTTGCCAGCTCCAGCAGCCTTCTTGTCCACTGCTTCAGTTTTCTTGTATGCATTTCTGTAAGTGTAGAACCTCATATATACATAGTTTTACAACATTCGAATTATGTTTTGTAGGTTTGTACACTTTTCACTTTATATATCATAGACCTTTCCTAAGTTTTAAAGTATTCTTCAAAATCATGACTTTTAATGACTTTCATGATGATCTTATTGGATGTATCATAAGTGACTTAATCATTTCTTCATTGTCAAATACATGTTTCTGATTTTTTTGTATCACAGAACTGCAATGTAAGTAATTTTTTAAAAAGGCAAGAACTGTTTACATTAAAATCGCTTTAATGAAAACAAACTTTAATTATGACACTGATTCTCTTTCACCTGAGTACATCAGAAATTTAAGTGTTAAAATGTGTTTACACTAGTGCAAAACATCTAAAGTAGATGTATTTGAGAAGGTCTTAAAATAGGAAAACTTCTGTTTATTTTTTCACTTGAAATTGTGTTTTGTACCTTAGTATTTCTTGTAAATCTTTTCTGAATGGAAAAAATGTTTCCTCTTTTGCACATTTTCTAATATTACCTTTCTTAGTAGAATATTAAACGACAAAAGATCATATAATATGTATGTGTATAATTGCAAGGATGAAGTGTGTTCAGATGATCAAAAAATTTATCAGCTTATATTTCTCCAAAGTGGAACAAATACTGAGGAAGACGGGGAGAGAAAAAGAAACTGGGAACAATACTAGAGCCAAACTAAAGCAAACAAAAAATAAAAATATTTCACAAAACACCTGCAGTTCTTGAGGAACTTCGATGGGAAAGTTAGATATTAATCTACCTTTAAGATTGTATCATTGCTAGAAAAGGAAGTAGGAAGCACTATTTTTCCTCTATTCCATTTAAAATATCATTTCATCATGCAAATACTTTATAGTGATAATACACAGACATACACCCAATACACATATCTATAGATATACACATATACAGTAGTTTATATTGAAAATTGTATCACTGATGTGGCAGTTCAATTTAGGAGATATTTACTGAGCATCTGCTATGTACTACACTTTATAAGGCTAAAAAGAGATGTGGAACAATGCCTGCCCTCAGACCGCTTACAGTACAGAAGGGAGTAGGAGTGAGGCTACAGCTATGGGAATCAGGATGGGATAAATGCAGAGTGCCCTAGGGACTGAACAGAGAGAGTTTCTTGAAGTGGGATTAGGGCTGTGTGTGGATCATGCCCATGTTTACATCTTCAGCCTAAACAACTCTTCTGAGTTCCAGATCAGGTAGCCAGCTCAGTACTCGACATCTCCATGGGCTTCTCAAGTGCGACATGCCTAAGATGAAGTTCTTGGGTTTGTTCCCCAGACTTGGCAAATGGCACCCTCGTTCCTCCAGATGCTCATCTTGATTCCACCTTTCTCTCTCAATCCCCGAGTCCAGGCTGTCTGCAGGGCCCACTCTATGGAACCAGTTCTTCTGTACTTTCCTGTTGCCCTGCATTAACTAAGCCTCCATTTCTGAATGGGCCCCAGGGTGGGTCTCCTCAATTCCAGCCTTCCCCTTCCTTAGTCTGCTCTCCACAGAGCCAGCAAAATAACCTGGCTGCTGGCCGCCATTCTAGCCTCAGCCTGACCCCCCCGCCCCACCCCCTGCCTTTCGGAACCTCCTCTTTCCAGCTATGATGACTTTCTGCTAATTTCTAGAACATTCTGGCCTTTTCCTCTTTTATACCTGGTTTTCATTGTTGGCAAGCCCTTCGACTTGCTCTTCACATGGCTACCTCCTTCCCCTCAGTATGAGTTTTCTATTCTGTGTAGCAAATGACCACAAATTGAGTGGGTGAAGATGGCATGTATTTCTCTTCTCAATGTCCGTGGGATAGGAGTCCAGGCAGGGCTTGGCTGGGCTCAGGGACTCACAGGCTGCATTGAGAGTGTCATCTGGGCTGTGTTCCTGTCTGAGGTTCCTTGTGGTTATTTGAAGGGCTGAGACTATCAGGTTCCAGAGGCTACTCCTTCTCCATAGCAGTGCACAGCATGGCTGTTGACTTCAAGGCCAGCTAGAGTGTGTCTCTCTTGCTTTCATTCTCCCGCTTCAGGAAGGGCCTGGGACTTCTTATTTCTTTTTTTTTTGGGGTGAGACAGAGTCTCACTCTGTTGCACGGGCTGGAGTGCAGTGATGCCATCTTGGCTCACTGCAACCTCCGCTTCCTGGGTTCAAGCGATTCTCCTGCCTTAGCCTCCCGAGTAGCTGGGATTACGTGCCACCATGCTGAGCTAATTTTTGTATTCTTAGTAGAGATGGGGTTTCACTGTGTTGGCCTGGCTGGTCTTGAACTCCTGACCTCAGGTGATCTACCCGCCTCGGCCTCCCAAAGTGCAAGGATTACAGGCGTGAGCCACCATGCCTGGCCTGGAACTTCTTTCAGGGGGCTCACCTGAATAAGACAGGCCCACACAGGATAATCTTCCTTTTCATAACCTCAAAGTCCACAGATTTGGGACTGCTATTGCGTCTCCAGAGTCCCTTCACCTTTGCCGTATTCTGTGGTTGAGAAGCACAATGGAGGTTCTCCTCAGACCAAGGGACAGCATCACACAGGGGGTGTACACCAGGGGTACAACCTTGAGGGCCCCCTGAGAACCCTGCCTACCCCATTGCCTCTGGCCTCTGGGTCCTGGTCACCTGATGTCACTCTATCCAAGTAGGTAGTCCCTTTTCTTTATTATTCCCATAATATCTCAAACAGAGTTCTGAGCACTATTTTAAATAGTTTACTTGCTTATTTGTTTCCTTGTTTATTGTCTATCTCTCCAATCACGTCATTGGCCCTCTGAGTGAAGGGCTCTGTCTATTTAGCTCTCCATTGTCTGCCCAGCATCCACTCATGTGTCTGAAATGTGGTTGGCACTCACTACACACTTGCAGAATGAATGTGGAAGGTAGCTAGCTAGGGCATCATTCAGCCTTGTTTTCATAGATGGAGAAAGGCTGATTGTAGGGTTCAGAAGAGCAGGGTTACCAGAGTTGTCTGGAGGTCTAAGCACCATCTGCTGTAGGGAGGACACTAGTCCACGTTTCCACCCTGCACCCAGGGAGCTTCCCCCGTGGCAATGACTATGTAGTTAGGACGATGGCGTTCACCTCCCAGCATATTTTATCTATGGCAGCTAAGATGCAGGATCCCAGGAGCAGTGGATGGTAGTTTCTCTGCACCACAGGTGGCTCCACTGTGCAAGGAGTGTTCTCCTTTGTCCCCCTACATTACACTGAAGCAAAAGTGGCCTGTTCTTACAGTTCATGTCCTGGTGTCCTGGAGCTGACTCATATCGGCTCTCAGCTGTGCACATTTCTCCTCATCAGGGTGTTTTTTTTGAAAGCTGATTTAACCAGCACAACTTTGGTTTCATGGGAACATTTAGAAATAAATGGATATTTGTAGTTGCCATATACTTAAGCCTTCTAAGAGTTCTGTGAAGTAGATGCTGTCACTCATTTTACAGGTGAGGACACAGGGGCTTAGACAGATGCTGTGTTGCCCACGGTCACTGGTATTTGAATGCAGGCCCTGTGTACTCCAGGGCATACTACACTGCTGGCCTGTCTAGCTCCAGGCACTCACCTGTGAAGCTCCCAGCCGGGAAGGAAAACAGGCAGTGACAGCTTCAAGTGGTTGCTTTTCTGTAAGGACGCAGGATCTTTTCTTTGGATGCTCTGACATGGTAATCCCTAACCAGGGATGCACCTCAGAATTACCTGAGACTCTTTTCCAAAGTACAGGTGGCCAGCTCCACTCCCTGAGATCTTGATTTAGTAGATAAGTCTGGAACACATGGATTTTGGAGATAAACAAACCAAAAGCCACCCAGGCTATCCTGTTTTGGATCTATGGTTTGAACCACTGCTCTTAGATCATTAAAATCCCTACTCTTATTCTTCAAGCCATCTTTCTAGCATTGGTATTTAGGGACAGAATTCAGGTTTCTTTATTAATCGGGGGTGGGAAGGCATTTTTAAAATCCTGGCTCCTTTAAAGCTGTCTGTGTTTCAGACAGTTGTGGGAATTTCAGTGGCCTCTGGCTGGAATAGAAAGCGAGTTACAGTTTTTATACTTTGTCATTGCGAGTTGTGATAGAGAGAAAGACGGACAGTTGTCATGGAGGAAGAAGGTGAGGCCTTTCCTGGTTCTGAGTGGGGCGCATGCCTCACATACTAGGTATGTGGGGGCGGATTTGTGCCACCACTAGGCTGCACTCCTTCCTCGTCTGTTGGTTTGACTTGTTTAGAAGCTGCTTACCTCTCCCTTCTTTGCTCTTAAACCCTAACAGAGGGGTGAATTCAATCAGGTTTAGTAATCTCTGCCTGAGACCTAACTATTAATTATTCCACATGATTGGTGCCTGCTGTTCCCACAATGCACATATTGTATTTCTCTGTTTAGGGAAAGTTGCATTTGCCAACTTTCTATTGATTTACTTAGATTCTTGGCAATTTTTTTTGTTTTAAATAACATTGGTAGGAGTTCACAGGCAGTCACAGATAAGCGATGGCATGCCCTTTTTACCCAACAGAAGACTCTTGAGAGCTTGGGAGGTTGTCAGATGGTCACATAATGAAGGAAGGGAGGATGGGGTGATGTGGGCCAGTAGGGAAAAATGCATAGTGCTTGAAATGGGATCACAGAAAATGGGCTCATGAGCTGCAAACTTCAAAATAATTTCTGGCTATGTTTGCCTAGACCCTCTCCATTCCTTTCTCCATGTACTCTTTTCCGTGCCTTTCTGATTCATTCTTAACTCTTCTATTAAGAATGATGTTATCCCTTAGATATTCCCACATCTCCTTTCTTCCTGGGGCCTGGAGCAACTCCCCATGTAGTTGATCAAGGCCGAGATCCTAAACCTCCATCCAGCAGCCTGGACATTTATACTGGCTTTTCCTTCTATTTTCCAGCTCAGCATTTCCCAGACTGCTTTGGAGGCCACTTTTCCAGGGGCCTGTAAAGATGTAGTGAAAGCTCTTGACAATGCCCTCCTTGGGGGAGGTTCTTAGTATCCACTAGGAAAGGAAAGATTCTTTTTAGGTTTCACTCGGAAAATCTTTCTAGATTGGTTCCACCCAGTGTTTGTCCAGCCTCATAGGAGCACAGAGCATTTCAGAGGCAAGGCTGTGCAGGATGCTAAGACACTGCTTTTTTTTTTTTTTTTTTTTTTGAGACAGGGTCTTACTCTGTCACCGGGGCTACAGTGCAGTGGCTTGAGCATAGCTCACTGCAGCTCCAACCTCCTGGGGTCAAGCAACCCTCCCACCTCAGCCTCCCGAGGAACTAGGACTACAGGCTAACCCCACCACACCTAGCTTAATTTTTAAAACTTTTTGTAGAGACAGGGTCTTACTGCATTGCCCACGCTGAACTCCAACTCCTGGACTCCAGTGATCCTCCCTCCTCGGCCTCCCGAAAGAGCACTGACTTTGAAACTTGCATGTGAAAGTTTAAGTCTGGGCTCTGCCCACCTTCGGCTGTCTCAATTAGAGCCAGTGACTTTACCTTTCTAGACTTGAGTTTTCCTATCTGTACGATGGGGCCAAAACATGTGTCCATAACATTGTGGTGTGGATTCAACAAAATGAAGTGCATCTAGTACACAATGAGTGTTAATTTTCTAAAAGCAAGCAAATGAGGAAATGCTGGTCTAGGTGCCCTTATATACTCATCTCAGGCACGGACACTTCCTGCTCCTTTATTTGATCAGGATACCCTGTCACCACTTCCAGGACATAGACTTGGAATGTTCTTCACCCCAATTATGAAGCCTTTTTTTTTTTTGAGACGGAATCTCGCTCTGTCACCCAGGCTGGAGTGCAAAGACATGATCTTGGCTCACTGCAGCCTCTGCCTCCGGGGTTCAAAAATTCTCCTGCCTCAGCCTCCTGAGTAGATGGGATTACAGGCGCCCGCCACCACACCTAGCTGATTTTTGTATTTTTATTAGAGATGGGGTTTTGCCATGTTGGCCAGGCTGGTCTGAAACTCCTGACCTCAAGTGATCTGCCTGCCTCAGCCTCCCAAAGTGCTGGGATTACATGCACGAGCCACCACACCTGGCCTCAAGCCGCCCCCCCTTTGTTTCTTTTTAGCCTTCTGTGTTTAAACAACTACTGAAATTGCTTTAAGCGCCTTTCCTTCAATTATTGAAAACAAATTCTTCTTGAATTCTTTTTGTCCAGTCTATGATCTTCCATGACATTATCTCTAAAGATGAATATGTCTGTGTGTCTCTGTATCTCTGTCCTCTGCATCTCTCCCTTTCTTTCCCTCCCTCCCTCTTTCCCTCTAATCCCCACCATTCCCCCTCTTTTTCTCGGTAAACATCTATCAGTAAACATTTCTCAGAGAACCTGCTGAGGGCCAGGGATTGTGCTAGTTTCTGGGAATATAAAATAATTAAGATGGGGCTGGGCACGGTGGCTCATACCTGTAATCCCAACACTTTGAGAGGCCAAGGCGGGTGGATCGACTGAGTTCAGGACTTCGAGACCAGCCTGGTTAACATGGTGAAACCCCGCCTCTACTAAAAATACAAAATTTAGCCAGGTATGGTTGTGTGGGCCTGTAATCCCAGCTACTCAGGAGACTGAGGCAGGAGAATTGCTTGAAGCCAGGAGGCAGAGGCTGCAGTGAGCCGAGATTGCTCCACTGCACTCCAGCCTGGGTGACAGAGCGAGACTCCATGTCAAAAAAAAACAACAACAAAAACATTAAGATGTGCTCTCTGGCCTAGGATGGCCCATGTGGGCATCGGAAGGACAGGACTGCAGGAGAAATTTAGTACTAAGGGTCAGAGCCACTCTGCAGGAGAAGCCTGAATCCTTTATCGTTGCTCATCATGTGTTATTTCGTGTTATGTGCTGTAGTTGGCTAAGCTGCTCCCATTATCAGTGTTGTCTATTTGGGGACGTGAGCTCCCTTGGGAACACAGATGAAGCACCTAGAGCAGCCAGGGCCAGGATATACCATGATCAAAGATTTATTCAACGACTTGATGCGCACGGATAGCATCAGGCTAGCAAAACAGGCAGAGCATGTATACCTGAAATCTGGAGAATGAAGACATTTGACATGCAGCTTACAGATGGATGCCTTTCTTAACTTTTTTTCAGCTCCTGTCACATATAGAGAAACTTCGAACCTCAATGATAGATGATCTAAATGCAAGCAATGTTTTCTATAAGAAAAGGATAGAAGAGCTAGGGCAGAGACTCCAGGAGCAGAATGAGCTGATTATAACTCAGAGACAGCAGGTATGTCTGGCGGCAGTGTGGCACCGTGCTTCTTTAAGCAACGCAGTCTATCTAAGAACATGTGTTTTTACTTTAGAGCATTTGTAAGTGGTATAAGGTGAGGAAGATGGAATATTTTTCCCCTTGTGATTGCTTGTAAAAGTTAGTGCAATAAAATACATTTTTAAAAGGTATTTAAAAGTAATATGTTGAAGATTTATACAGTTAAAGTTCAAAATTAATTTGATTTGAAGGTAAGTAAGAATTTCTTTCAGTAATTACTCTGAGAAGCAGCCAAATACAAATGCAACTTTAAAAAGATTTTTTGTTATTTTATTTTAGATTCAAGGTGTACATGGACAGGTTTTTTACATGAATATATTGTGTGATGGTGAGGTTTGGGTAATAACTTCTGCCTCTATGCTTTTAAAGACCACATGCCCTATGTCCCTGGATAATTTAGTGAAAAGGTTAATTTACTAACAACATTATCTGTCCATTATCCCATGTGTGTGTCCCTATCTAATTTCAAATGTATCACTAGAAGACTGTATTTCTTTGCAGATTAAAGACTTTACCTGTAATCCATTAAACAGTATCAGTGAACCCAAAGGTAAGTGGATGGGATCCCGGTACTGGCGGCAAGGGGAACCTCCCCAATTGCACTGGGCTTCAGAAGAATGTGGGCCCCACTTGTTTATGTGTGCTAAGATGGCATTCTTCTTGTTGTATTGATTTCGTAGATCTGTCCTCTATTATTTTAATTTGAGAGATTTGTTACCACAACCCAGAAAGGTGAAGAATTTAAAAAATCTAAACTATCATGTAGTTGTTTCATTTTTTTAATCAGAGTACTATTAGGCACATAATACCTGCTTAGGAGCCATTTACCTCTTGACTTATACACTGTAAAACAGAGTTATGCATGTAAAAGCACAAGGTCTGTCGACAGACTGGGTTCAACTCCCATCTCTGGCACTTCATAGCTTTGTGAATCTCTGCCTCAGTTTCCTCAGCTTTATAGCAGGAATACGAATAGTGTTTCAGTCTATTTTCTCTGCTATAATAGCATACCACAGACTGGTATTTATAAAGAAACAAGGTTTCTGGAGGCTGGGAAATCCGAGAGCATGGTGCTGACATCTGGTGAGGGTCAACCTATGGTGCAAGGCATCACCTGGCCAGCTAATGCATGAGACAGAGAAAGGAAATTGGGTCAAACGCATCTTTTTAAATCAGAAACTCACTCTCAATAACTAACCCACTCCTGCCACTGTTGCCGTGTAATTGTTACAATGGCAGTTAAATTTCAACTTGCATTTCTGAGGGGACATTCAAGTCATAGCAAATAGTAACTATATCATAGGCTTGTTATGAGGATTAAATGGGATAATATACCTATTAAGCCCTCATTAAGTTTGCCATTATTATTGATATTAAGCTCTTAGTAGGCCAGGCACAGTTGCTCACATTTGTAATGCCCGCATTTTGGGAGGCCAAGGCAGGAAGATCACCTGAGGCCAGGAGTTCGAGACTAGCCTGGGCAACATAGCGAGTCCCCCTTCTCTAAAAATAAAAAATGAGCTGTGCATGGCAGCAGGCACCTGTAGTCACAGCTACTCAGGAGGCTGGGATGGAAGAATCACTCGAGCCCAGAAATTCAAGGCTGCAGTGAGCTATGATTGCACCACTGCACTCAAGCCTGGGTGACAGAGTGAGACCCACATCTCTTAAAAAAAAAAAACCAAAAAACTCTTAATTATTCTAAAGTGCTATAAAGGCTTGCTGCGTTATTCTCAACTGTGGCTGTTTGGGGGTTACAGGTTTGTTCTAAGTTTAATGGGAATATGCACAACCTACTGACTGCGGCAGTGATAGCCTGCCTGTCTCCATATCATTCAAGAACTCTCTGTCTGTCTCTGTCTCTCTCTCTCTGTCTCTCTCTCACACACACACACACACACACACACACACACACACACACACACACACACACACACACTAAACCAGTCAAGACCAGGGCAAGAGCTGACTTTGCAAAAGAAATAAAAAAAGAGACCAGAAGGGAGACTGGGAGCCATAGGTTCAGGGTCTTACTTCTGCCTAGTTTTCTTCCCAGTGATTCCAGTCCTGGTTCCTGCACGTCTCAGGTTGTTGAGGAATCTTTGTCTATTTGAGAGATGCCAACTAGGGGTGGTACTGGGGTGTATGAGCTGGGTTTCCTCCCTCTTGTTTTGAGATAAAGAGTTCGGGAAAGAGGGTTGTTGTTCCCTTTAACTCCTCTTCAAATAACAAGAGCTCAGGTTAGGGAGGAATATTTGCAAAATTAACTAGATATCATAAATATTTGACTGAAAAGTAATTCTGGGGAAAATTTAGCTTCAAAAAGATGTATGTTACACATATTTATTCTCCTGGTGATGTGCTATATATTGGTACATTTCATTTATGTTTTTTATGGGGGCTCAAATTAGTATAAGGGCTACAAAAATTTAATCCATAGCTTGTGATGTTTTTTGTTCATTTATTTTTCTGTCATTTCAGGAAATCCTTTAGCCTGGCAGGCTTTTGAATCTCAGCCAGCTGCTCCAGCTGTGCCTAGTAAGTTCCTATAATAGATGCAGGGCTCCAAAGGTATCTTTAAAATGCTAAACCAAAACATAACTTTTACTTACTATTTTTAGAGGCTTTTCTTTGAAAACCAATGTATTTAGAGATCACATAATGATTTATTTTGATTCTTAGTTTTGACCTAGTTCTAAAACCCAAGACTACAAATATCCACATGATGTTGTGGTGATTTTGATTAGCTATAGCTATTATTTCACAATTTGTCTAAAAAGGGATGACTAAAAATTCCTTGGCATCACCTTAGTTTATACTTGTAGACTTCTCAAAGTGATACACTATGCGACTGTGTGACTGTGTGTGGTGTCACCACACTTTGAAACTGCTGACACTTTTACTGCTGCAGGCTTTGACAGGTGGCCTGTCTGTCCCCACTTGTGGTCAGCCTGGCCATCTGCTCTATCTCCCGGAGCTGTCAAGATTCTGCAGTAAAACAAAAGGACATAATCTTTACAGTTGAGAAACTGAGAGATGGTTGTTTAAAAATACTAGCTAAATAGCTGAGATAGTTTTGCTTCCATTCAGGAAGGAGTAAGGGCAGGTACCTGTGCCATGTGCACAGGGATCTGACTGTGAGAGGAGTATGGGCTGAGGCTGAGCACAGAGAGACAGCACCACGCTCATGGGCCCAGGGATTGCGAGAGCACTGTGTAGTGACCAAAGGACGTTCTTGAGCGTGTTTTGGAATTTGGCACTATTGGCTGGAAAATGCTGATGGTTTTAACCTCTCAGTCTTCTTGGAGGCTTCTTGAAGCTGAAGAAGTTAAGCAGTAGTTAAGGAGAGGAGAGGAGTTTAAGTGCCCAGAGTAGGGTTGAGAGAGGAAGAGATGCTGAACTTACATCTTATGAAATGAAGGAAAAAAACACATTTCAGAGAAGGACAGAAAGGTCAAGTACTAAATTATTCAAACAAACAAACAATCTTCAGCAGCTGACCAAACTCAAATATCTATGCAGGAAAAAAAACCAAAAAAAAAAAAAACCCAAGTCTATATTTAGTTAGGGTGGTTTTCTCCAAATGGAGTATGCAAAATTATCTATTGGAATGTGGGAAAAAATTATTAGAGGTTCTTTTTATATATTAATAAATCTCATCCTTTTAATTTTTTCATTTTTTGTTTTAAAATGTACACATTTGTATTATAGTATATATAAAATTCATTTAAATAAATATGTGTATTTCTGGGGGAACTTTTACTGATTGGGGAATGTGGTCAAAAAAATATGGATGCCACTGGCTCTAGAAAATTCCAAAAATAATTTAAAAAAATAGGCCCATAGCCCCATAGGTAGCGGTCCCTTCCGAGTGAGGCCCTGGCTTGTCCCATTCCTCTTCCCAGCATACAAAAGGATCTAAAAGCCAAGGTTCTAATGATGGCAGGGAAGTTTTCATCACTTAAAAGAAAACATACATTCTAAAGTTTAAGATCAGAAAGTAAATCACAAGGTGAAAGTCAGCTTAGGAGATATGCAATAAATAAATCAGACCTATAGCCAGTAAAATGAAGATTTGTAATGTCTAATATAAAGCAGATATGGTCAAACCTGTTGATTCCACCTGTCTATACCCTTGGTGATTTAGACACTAGTCAGTCATTTACTGATTTACTACCCTTTCATAATAAGGGAATGAATTCTGTAGTTTAGAGAAAAGACCAAATTGTGATCAATTTTAATAGCATCAGATCTTTTGATTCTGTAAGCTGGAAAAATATCTAGATCAGGAATAGTTAGTATTCTGTATTTTTTTTTTTCTTGTAAAAAGTCAGACAGTGATTTACATTAGGCTTCACAGGCTAGATGATCTATTTTGCAACTACTCACCTCTGCCATTGTAGTGCAAAATCAGCCATAGACAACACGTAAGTGAAGGAGCTTGGCTGTATTCCAATAAAAACAGGCAGTGGACTGGGTATGTCTCATGGGCTATAGTTTGCCAAAACTTGATCTAGATTATACAAGTTGCAAATGGGTACAAAGGCAGTATTTCCAGAGTTTGTTAGCAATTTACAAATAGGAATTGAACACTTTCACTAGAAGCCATTGTGAAGATAAAAAATGCATACCTATAGAAGTAGCTGATGGCCGGGTATGGTGGCTCATGCCTGTAATCCTAGCACTTTGGGAGACCAAGGCAGGTGGATCACTTGAGGTCACCAGTTTGAGACCAGCCTAGCCAACATGGTGAAACCCTGTCTCTACTAAAAATACAAAAATTAGCTGAGCATGGTGCCGCATGCCTGTAGTCCCAGTTACTCAGGAGGCTGAGGCAGGAGAGTTGCTTGAGCCCAGGAGGCAAAGGTTGTAGTGAGCTGAGATCATGCCACTGCACTCCACCCTGGGCGACGGGAGTAAAACTGTGTTTTTTAAAAAAAAATAAAATAAAAAAGTAGCTGAGGTTTGTGGCCAGTATTTTTTAGGGTAAGATTAGAATTAAAAGTCTGTCTTGATAAAAGAAAGAAGCGGTAAACTAATAGACCATACTGTTTAGTGAAAACAAACTGGATAAATAAATAGTCCAGAGAGGACTTTCAGATAAGAATTGTCAAATATTGGAAGAAGGCCGTGGAATCTAATTTTCTGTAGAAATTTAAATTAGAGAGGATTGAGTCTTACTTAAGTTAGGTAAACCTCTTTCCACAGGCTGTGCCTAAATTAATACCTTCACATAATGTCTTCCAGCCCAGTGATTAGAGTACTTTTTAAAACTGGTTTATTTTGCATGAATGTTCATTGCAGCATTATTCATAACAGCTAAACAGTGGAAACAACTTATATGTCCATCACCTAATGAAAAGGTAAATAAAATGTGGTCAGTTTATAACACAGAATGTTATTTGCCCATAAAAATACATACTGATATTTATATACATGCTACAGCATGGATGAACCTTGATAACACTGTGCTAAGTGAGCAAAACCAGACGCAAGGGACCACATACTGTATGATTGCATTTACTATATGAAATGTCAAGAATAGGCAAATTCATAGAGATGGATAGTAGATTAATTGTTGTCTGGGGATAGGGAAGGGGCAGAAATGAGGTGTGATGGGTATGGGGCATGGGTATTTTGAGGGAGGTGATGAAGCAAATGTTCGAGAATTAGACAGTGGTTGTGTTTGCACAGCCCTGTGAATATGCTAAAAACCCACTGAATTGTATATTTTTAAAAGGGGAACATATCTCCATAAAGCTGTTATGAATATAAGTTTATGTTAGTTGTGTAATATCTTTGTCACTTGAAATATTTGTTCCTTATGGTCTGTATGTATCTTGACTAGTTTGCGGCATATTTGGCTACCATCATGTTCGGATGCTTATGCTTTAATTATGGAACCTCTGAGTTTTTCCTTTTTATGCTGTTTCAGTGAATGCCCCAGCCCTGCACACTTTGGAAACTAAATCAAGTCTGCCAATGGTGCATGGTAAGTTTCAGTAATAGTCTCAGCGTTTTATGTGCAGTTGCCACCCTGAGTTGGATAACTTATTAACCAAAAGTGATTATGTGGAGGTAATTAATAATAAAACAGGAAACATTTTAGTGATTGCAAAACAGTTATTAAAACTGCAGTCTTCATGTGTAATATTGTTGTAAACTGGACATACCTCCCAAAGTCTTAAAGTATAAAAGGTGTATATAGGTATAAAAGGTTGCCAGACTCACAAGTAGAGATTTTAACTTTGGGTAGTGTCTTGATTATTTATGATTTTTGTGGAAAGTAGTAGGTGTTGGGTAAGAATGAGGGTGACCTGCTACCAGACCAGCCAACCAGCACATGCCACAGGGCGTATGTGGTTGTTTTTATAACTTTCAATGTGGCAGCAAGTCACCTTTTCTAAACAAACAGTTTGAATGACTGGTTGGGAAAATCTAGAAAAGACATGTGATGGAAACTAAAGGAAATAGGTAGGAACCACTGGGTGAAATCATTACCAGGGTTCAGTTCTTGGACCAGATCAAAAGGGTGATAATTGTTATTAACATGATCCAATAGATGGGCTGAATATTTGTAGCCGTATTTCACTTTTTATACAGTTAAAGTGCTTACAGTTTTTATAGTATGTTCTTTAATGTGATGTTTTCCTGTGCTCTGTTGGATATTACAAATGAATTAAGACGGGAGAAGGGCCATCTTTTTCCAGTCTCACATACAGTTGCTCTGGAATCCAAGGATTATTTCACTCTTTCATTTTTGGTCTTTTAAAAAGATTACACTTAAATCCATGATCTAACTGGTCAGTATGGTGGCACTTTTTGTCTTCATAGATATTGTGATCTGTATACCATGAACTTTAGTAATAATCCTTTTTACTCATCACTGACTCTTGAAGTGTTTATTGCACCTTATTTTTTTCCCGAAGATCATTTCAGGTGGGTCAGTTGTCTTGAGTATGTGATCACAATACGTAATGTGTAAATTCTCCACATATTGATCTTCTTATTTACAAGTGTTCAGAGCATGCAGTTTTTTCCTTTAGACCAGTAACAGATAAAAGCACACTGGACATAAATAAATTTGCTTTAATATTGAATATATAAGAAAAGTATCTAGCAATCATTCTGTATTCATATTATTTTATGTCAGGTCTAAAATCTCTCTGTTGCGTCCCTTTGTAAAGCATTGCTGGCCATTTCTCTTTTGTACTTCAACAGTGTATTTTAGTTTCTTTTACTTCCCCACCCCTCCACTTTGTTATTGTTAGCTTTCTGTATGACATCACACAAGGTTCCTAGTTTCTTTGTCATATATTTTTGTTGCTAACTAAAGGACACCCTGGTAGGTACATTAAAGCTGTCTGGGGTTGATTCAAGGGTCCGGACAAATCGATCATTTCTAAAGCATGTGTTCATGGGGACCCTACCCTCACTAGCCCAGAGCTGCATGAATCAGTCATGCCCCCTTCCTGGCATCTGCTGGGATTGAAATGCTAGTTTTAAATGCCAGCCAGACCTGGCACAGGGCCTACAGCCCTTGGATGGGGATCAAAGCTTATTTGTGAGCATCTCAGTGGGCAGGAGCTAGGAAGAGACTTGGCCAGGGCCCGCCAACGTCCCCCACCCCGTCAGGCCAGCTTCCCCAGGGCGGCAGGGGCAGGGCAGGTTAGTCATGGATTGCGTAATGTTTATTCGCCTGTTCACTCTCTGTCCTTTGTTCCATCTCGAAGCTTGATGAGGTTCTTTACCATGAAAAATCTCACAATTTCTTACCATTGTAGGTCGGGTCCCCTGGGAAACAGACTGATGCGGAAGTTTACAGGTGGGAGGTGGGGGTGCCCTTGGACAGCACCTGTGAGAGAAGCAGGGTTGGGCGAAGGGAACGTTGAACCTAGACGCAGCCACAGTGGAGGCCTCAGCCAGCCCTGCTTCAGAGCTGCAGAGCTGGGATGAGTGCTCTGGCTTGTCCTCCACTGAGGCAGGGGTGGGCCATTGCCCCTTGCACTGATTTGTCATCTGATGGGGGCTGCCCCAAAGAGAGGGTGAGCTAAAGCAGCCTGGAAGGGACTCCACTGTGAGCTGCTAGGAGCCAACATTGCCAGCACGTTTGTCCTGGGAGGATCTAGGTAAAATGGGAACCCTGATGGCTCCCTGCTTTCAACTCTGCTACACAAGCTAAACGGTACAGGCAGTAGGTTCTGATCCTAAGGCAGTTGATAGGATGAAACACGGGTTCTGGAGAAGATAAACAATCATGCTTGATTCCCATCCCCAGTATGCATTTTTTTTCTGGACAAACCTCAAATAAATTTTTGTAGTATTTTCACCACTGGAGACCACTTTGCTCTTTGCTCATGGAGTAGTGACTAAATGGTGGTATTAGGATGCCCAGAAAATAAAGTATACTTTGTTGCTGTTAAACTGACCCATACACCAATTGCTTAGGTTGCCTGGGCTGATAATGTGGCCCACTTTTAGAGCGACGAGTGCAGTGAGGATGCAAAATAACCGCTTTTCCCAAAGTCTGTGGGCACCTGCTAGGTTCTATCTACATGTAAAGCCCTCCTTTAATTTGGTCTATAAATTGTGAGGGGCTTATGTATGCATGACTTTAATTGTATATAGCTACAGTGAGGACCACAAAAACTGGAAACTCTTTTTTTTTTTTTTTTTTTTTTTTTTTTTGAGACTGGGCATTTCTCTGTCGCCCAGGCTGGAATGTGGTGATATGATCATAGCTCACTGCAGCCTCAACTTTCTGGGCTCAAGTGATCCTCCCACGTAGTTGAGACTGCAGGGGTGCACCACCATACCTGACTAATTTTTTGATTTATTATATAGACGGCATTTCATTATGTTGCCCAGGCTGGTTTCAAACACCTGGACTCAAATGATCCTCCCACCTCAGCCTTCCAAAGTGCTAGGACCACAGGTGTGAGCCCACCGCTCCCACTTAGAAACATTTTTATTAGACTTTACAATTATTATTATGTTTTGTTCTCAAAGCAAGTATTCTACATCTTGAAATACTGAAAATTAACACAAGCAATAGTTTATTGTCCAATACATGACAGGTGGTATGCTCTAGACTTCTGGTGTATTGTGTCTCTTGATGGAAAGAAAGATGGCTTCCCCCTCTGGACACCACTGGCCCAAATAGTGTTGCAGAAGTGGGATGGGGACTGTTGAAAGGAAGTCTCAGTTCAGTGGGATTCCACCCTCTAAAGGAGAGTGGGCCTGATCCCTGTCAGGTGACCATGCTTATGTGCAGTCACAAGGGGAAATGTTTGGATGTGCCAACAGGATCTCCTGGACATACATCCTGGAAAAGCTCAGGAGAGTCTTCAGTGAACATGTCTTTGACAGGAGTTAACATGCCACATGTAGTTATCTGTTTCTCCAGCGGTGTTCCGCCACTCTTGCCTTCCTTCCTTCACTGACCACTGGGTAATGACAACTGTGGACCACTCCTGCATGACAGAGATATAGAAATGAATCAGAAACGAAGCCTGTCCCCACGGAACTTACAGCTTATAAAGGAGACCACATGCTTATAATTATGGTGCAAGGTGAGAGCCACTGAGAAATGAAATGGGTATCCAGGCAGGGGAGAGATTTCCTCCATTTGGGAGACTCTGGGAAGACTTCCTGGCGTAGCTGACATTTGGCCATTTGAGCCGAGTAGGAGGTGAATATGTCGGGATGGCATCCTAGGCAAAGCAAACAGTAAGAAGGAAAAGGTGGCAGGAAAGCACTAGATGTGAATTAGCAGTTTAGAGTAATTACTTGGCCATGCATAGAGAAGAGGAGATGTGAGGGAAGTGAGGTTGGTTGAGGGCGTTCATGGCAGCTGTTGAGTGCCAGGCTGCAGCTGTCCAGGGTCGTTCTTGGGGCAGTTTGTAGCCGCTGAGTGTTCCTGAGGCTGGGTGTGCAGAATTGGAGAGCTGGGCTATGGGAGGCTTGGCCTGACCAGAGCGTCTCCAAAGCTCCCCATCTGAGATGGGGAGACCAGTTGTGGGTGTGGGTGATCCTACACTTGAGATTCCTCCCCGGGAGTCTGCTTTGTGGTGATGAGACTGGAGAAAGAGTGGACAGACCAGCGGTTTGGTGGAGTTGGCAGAAAGGCTGAGCAGGTGACTGGGGACCAGGGCCAGGACCAAGGAAAGTCAGAGCACAGTGAACTCTGATAATGGGTGGACAGCGGTGGCATTTGGAGAAGTCAGAAAGACAAGCCCAGTGAGTGCCAGTAGGCAGGCATCATCACTTTGTGGACAAGTCCCCAGACTTTGGAAGCAGGCAGTCCGGATTCACAGCCCACCCCTAAGCTGTGGGCTTAGGGGCTTTGCCTGCCAAGTGCAGAGAACAGCTGTGGCTACTGCAGTGGCCTTTGTGATGGTCCAGAAAGGTACAAGCCACTGAGTAAGCTCTGGCCAGTGTTGGCTTCTAAGGTAGGCACGATGAAGTCCAGCCAAAGTCAGCTAGGGGCAAAAGGGCAGGGCTAGTTAGAGGACCAAGATCCTTTCTTCTGGAGACAATGGCAGGAAACTGACAAGGATTTTTTTGAAAGCCTCCCACAAGTTCATGGGAGACTCAGACCTCTGAGTGTTTTGACTGTCACCCTGCATCTCAGCTCAGGACAGGATCTGGGACGTTTGAAGTCTAGACTGGTGGCTTACAAAGCACAAGCAGGGCAGGTCCTTCCCTCCTGATGTGGGACATCAGCCTGCTTGTTTTGGGAGCTGGGGTTTGGCCAGCCTCACTTCCCCAGCCCTTGTTATGGGAGCCACGTTCAGGAGTCTCCCCTTCTACCAGAACTCTTCCTCTGTACACAGAGGGAAACACATCAGAACCTGGCAGTTTATCCTGACTCTAGAGAAATAAGTCATAGGAGTATCCCTGTTATAAAATAATAAATATGTGTGAGATTATTTCATGAAAGTTTTATTAAAAGTTTCCTTGTGACCTTATTTTGATCACAAGTAAATAAAATACAGTGTGACTTTTTAAAATCTGAAATTAGTTATCCTCCTTAAATCTGTTTTCAGCAGTTCAAACTAGTAATATAGCCTATTTGTATAATTTTTAAAAATCTTGATGCTCTATAACAAATTTGAAAAGCATATTTTTGGTGGTCAGCAGTTGTGGTACCTGCTGGACTTAAATGCTTCTTCATGGCTATGTCCACACTTCAGCAGTTAGGTGATTTTACTCAGTCATAGGCTGTATTCCAGAAGTTAACTTGAAAGTAGTTTAAGATGCGTTTCTCCCATACAGCCAATGTTACATACATTGACTAGGTTGCTGGCTAAGCTGTAAGAACCTATTTATATATACCTAAGCCTGTCTGTCTGTCTGTCTGTCTATCTATCTATCTATCTATCTATCTATCTATCTATCTATCATCTATCTATCTATCTCTATCATCTCTCTCTCTCTCTATCATTTGTCTATCTGAAATAGAGTACTAGAAATACTTTAATGAATAAAAAACCAGACCCTTTAAAGTAAGAAGCATTAAATCTGAGATACCACACATGTGGATCCCTGCCCAGCCTCCTGGTGAGCACTCGGTAACTGTTGGCCATTTTTACCCTGGCTCATCACCCACTCCCAGGTCTGGTGGTAGAATGAAATGACCTCCCCCTTGGAGGTAAAAGTGGAGAGCTGGTGGGGGGAAGTGCACTGTATCAGTCTCCAAGATGAAGGTGAGTGAACCATGCACCAACTTTGCTGGTTGCATTTCATCCCATATCTAATGCCTGACCACCATCATTAAACCTTCACCTAAAACCTGACCTTCACCATGAAGGAAATTTCCTTCAGTTGGTAGGATAGGGCTTGGTTTTATACCTGCTGCTGGCAGGCTTCCTTGTGTATGCATATAACATTTCTCTGGGAATAGTCACCCAAAGACCTCATCTCCCCTGAGTGCGGTTGCCATTCTGGGGTGAGATTGGGAAGAGTCCTTCCTCATCTGCCCAGCTGTGGGGCTAGGGCATTCTCCAGCCCCAGAACTAGGTCGTGAAATGCATCCATGCAGGTGTCGAAGAATGGCTCTCATTCTTGCTGCTGACCTCTCGCCTGTCGTTCCCCTTTTATATTCTGGGTCTTACCACTTGAAAACCGTGGGGTTAGCACCCAGAACAAGTGGGAATCCCAGGACCTTGGGAATTTTTAATGTTTTTGTAGTTGAAATATTTTCATTAATTTTCTGTTTAGCCACTTGATTGAAATACTTTATAAGTAATGAAGATCTTTTGCAGTTGTGCCCTTGTGTCTTAAAAGGCTACCGTGTACTAGGTTGATGAATGAGAAACTTTAACTTAATTATTTAAAACTATAATTTCTGTAGAGTGTAGTTAATGGAAAGTACATAGAAATCGAAGATATGATGAAAAGGTGACCATCTATGACTGATTGCCTCAACGTTTTTTCCTCAGTAAATTCTTGCTATTCAGGCATGACTAAAATACCATGGAATGATATCTTTCAAAATCATTTGAAAGGAAACTAATGTAACTTTGCTGTTGTCCTGTTTGTACTGTTCTTATTTTTCCTTGTTAATAGAACAGGCATTCTCGTCGCACATACTGGAACCAATAGAAGAACTTTCAGAGGAAGAAAAAGGTAACAAAGGGCTTGATCAGGTTTACCTGCACAGATTATATTTATATGCCAAAATCTAGGCCTGGAAAATATGAGCCAGTGGTTTTTATTCCACTACATCAAAATTAGGAAAGACATTTAGATTTGGATTTTACTTTCAACCCACATAGAGTATCCTGTTATCCTATTCCCCTAATATTCTGTTCTGTTTTCCCCTGCTTTGTGGTATTCTTATGCAAGCAGATAAAATAAGAAATTTTTTGTGTCAGAGAACTTGAAAAAAAATTTGTCTTTATTTTAATGCAGATTTTTCTGATGAGATGATATATAGACACACACGTGTTGTGTACCAGAAGATCTGAAAATATTTGTATCATAGTGGTGATTTATCATACCCTTAATCTGAAATGAATTGGTGAAGTGCTTATTTCCAAATTATTTTTAATAGCAAGAAAAGCATCATGTCTAAGTTCTGGATGTGGAATATTTATGTGCAAAACAGTATTTTTATGGTGGAATTTGGGAGCTGTTACAGGTGTTGGGAGATAATTATTACTGCTTACTCATTTCATTTGATAGTCCTAAAAATTATTTTCTGTCAATTAGTTTTTAAAGTCTATGAAGAAAGGTTTAATTATGAGGAACATTTTCTAATGCTAGATTTGTAGATTTTGAAAACAATTATATTTGAATCAATCTATCATAATTTTTTCCTATTAATAATAATAATAATTCACCATATATCACTTCTTTAGGAGAAAGCAAATTGTCAATACTTATATGGGTTCTGGTTTTGTCATTTTTGTCAGGAAAAGAAGTCAAATGATATATATCCTAATATATAAATTCAGTATTTATTATAACTCTTCCCTTGTTCTCTAGACATTTACCATTTTATTTTTATTTTTATAAGGCTACAAATTGAGAATTGACTACATCAGGCATATTCATAATACCTATATGATATACACTTTCAAGTCTTATTTTGCTATGCTAATGATCAGTAACTTTTTGATATTTTTATAGGGTTTGTTTATTTTGCTTCCATGTATCTTTGTAATTTGTCTTGATGTTGTATATTTTAGACAGACCATTTAGTTTAGGATTGCATATCTTCCTGTCCCAATAGTTGTTCATGTTTGGCACTGATTTTGAAGAGTTTGGTTTTAGTTGCTTCATTTCCTCCTTATTTCTTTGTAATTGCTGTTCCAATGTTTAGAAACCTGCTTCTTTCAGAAACAAGAGTGACTATAGGTACATTAAATTACATAAAGCCATAAAAACTTGTTGAGGGAAATTTTGGGGTACTCTGATGAGCATAACTTTAAAAGATATTGTTACCTTCTTATGGGGTCCTCAGCCTTGTTCCATTGCTAAACAAATAAATTGCTGGAGGGGTCATTCCCAGACACTTCCAGCACCTTAAAGACCACCACAGCCCAGGCATCAAACGAGATCCTGCAGGCTGAATCGATTCCACAGACGCTGACTTGTTCAAGCTGCACTATTAGCAACTATTGTACAGTAGGTTGCCAATATTTAATTGTAGTGCAATCTCTACACAATTTAATTATCTATCACTAGGTGATAAAGTCCCTTCCAACTCAGAAATTCTGGTTGTTGTTTTTTTAAAATTATTTGCTTTGTGCCACAATACAATACCCTGGAAACCCTGGGCGCATGGTCTACTTAGCAACATTTAGCAGGGCTGAGCCGCCATCACTGGCTATGGAAGCAACCTCCGGTTTGCCATAATCCCCCTCAACTCTTTTGCCCCACATTGCCTTCTTTGCTTTATGTAGGCGTTTAAGCTTCTGAGCCCTATAGGTTGAAGAGAAATAGTGCTTAAAAAATATTGTCTTTAAGTGATTTTCAACCATCCCTATTGGTTTTCCAGAAACGGAAGAACAAATCTTACCCTATTTGAGTTCTGAATAATGACACATCATTTTGCTTGCAAGTAACATGCTTCCGCTCTCCTACATACATATCATTTACTGATGTCCAAGATATAAAATCCCATATTCCTTGAAGAATCTGTGAGACATGTCAGGAGGTTCATAGAAAACGTCGCGTACTTTCAAAATAGAACTTCAGGTCATGTAGTTCACACTCATTTGAAAAACGACTCAGTGAGGGTTCCTATAGGAATCATGATTGTCCACCATCACCCAGAGTGGTCTTGTAACTTCCAGTTCCAGATTTCACTCACTGCATCCCTCTGCCTGTGCTTTTAGAGTTCTTCCAGTCAATGTAAGATGGTAGTTTGGAATCACTGACAGCAAACACCACCATTGGGTGCTGCCACATTTAGGGGGCTGGACTGGAAAAGAAAATAACTCTTGTCATGCTCCATGTGTTCAGCTCTGATGGTAGACAGGAGAGTGCTGAGGACCATAGAAAACACCCCAGGGTCCACGTGCACCACTGCAGAAACCAGTGACTGCCTCCTTCCAGCACCTCTGTGGAGTTAACATACTGGCAGCAGATTAATTGCCATCAATAAATTCCTCAGCTTGTGCTAACATTTTGCAGATAAGTGCCTGAGAAGCTCAATTTTGGCAGTGGTTTGCAAAAACACTGTGGCTTTTACTAAGAAGTAATTCATGCATATTTCTGTGTACCTGCTTTTTGAGCAAAGGCATAGTTGATCTTGCAGTTTTATAGATGCTAGAATGTGAGGGCCAGAAGGGATCTTAGAGGGCATTTTATTTTCCAGAAAGAAAACATAGGGGGATTAAGAGCCTGCTTCAGGTTGTTGAGTTTAATTAGTGACAACATCCAGGTTTTCTACTGTCCATAGTTTAGTGCAGAGAGCAAATGGAGAAAGGGAAGCTGATGTGGCCTCTACAGGACCATCTGGATGGCCTTTGGGGAAGTTACTGCTGTTTCTAGTATACTCATGTCAAAAATCTATCATTACTAGGTGGTAGATAAATTCCCTTCCAACTCAGAAATTCAAGGATTTTTAAAAATCATTTGCTTCCTGCTACAATTATTTGTTTACCATAAATGGGATGTTGTATGTCTGATAAAACTGATCCCATGTATGGACTGTTGTGCATTAGCCTGGGCGTCTGCTTGTTTGTGTTTGAAAATTTGTATTTGAAGGAAATGCTAGTCTTTAGAAAGTTTTGTCTTGGTCTTGGTGAGCAATATGTGCTTTAACTAAAATCCTCAGCTGTGATTGATTTTCAAGTGATTAATTCCACTTCTACATAAAAACTTTATTTTTCCCTGCTTACTCTACATTCTTTCTCTTGCTTCCATTGGCCAGCCCCACCCTTGTAAGAATCTTTACCAAGGGTGCTCTAATTATTCATAAATGGTTTCCCAAAGCAAGCACCAGTATATAAGGTGAATTTGAGGACAGGGGGAAATGCGTAATCTGCAGTAGTTTGGGGAACTCAGTCATCAAAATGAACCTGTCATCAGAGCTGAGGATGATCACAGACACATCAGCAAATGAATTCAACAACTAACGGCAAAGGCTTTACAGCTCTTCTAACTGCAACCAAGTCATTCCAGGCATCGCTTGCCCCTGTATGTGGCCCCAAGTCCCAGAGAAAACAGGGCCCAGAGCCTCTTTTTAGGCAACGCTTCTGTGTACGTCCTTCATTATCTGAGATATTGGCCAAAAGAGTCTTCACATAATTGGGGTAGGGGGTATGTCTATTTCAATGGTAGCACCAAGACTTCCAGGCTCTCTCGGTGCCTCTTTTTATTTTTGGCCCTAGACAGTTGCACACTTGATGGCCACCTAGAAGCCAAAGCCAGTGACATAGTGGCTGCAGCTATGATTTTGATGGATTGTTCATAGAAGTGCTTTTTTTGGTGGTTTCAGAATATTTGTAAACATTGGTGGTTAAACAGCAGCATGATTGCTGATAATATAAGATTTAAGATTAGTTCTGACTTTTAATATATAATTATATGCAGTTTTATCACTTCAGCTTAGCAAGCTGCAATAGCAAAACATAGAATAGTATTTTTGTGCAGGATTTTGTTCTTCTATTTAATGTACACAAAAGTAATTTGACTAATTTTGCTTTCAATAAAACCATCTATTTATTTAATAGAAATATTTTTTAATGTGGGAATTGAACTGGTGTTTAGAAAACATCTTAAACAAAAAGGCATTTTGTTCAAGATCTCCTGCAAATCCAAGTAGTATGGGTATTAAGAATCCTGTCTGCTGAGATGGGTGAGGCAGCAGCAGAAGGGAGAGTCTCTCGGGTGGCCTGGAGCCCTACACCTAGGAAATGGCATTTGATGCCACCCTTTGGTGGGCAAAATGCCCCTGTTAGGAGATTAGACTCCAAAATGGTAGTATAGTTGTCACATTTCTCCCAGATCAGGCTTTTGACAGTCAGTAAGGGTCTGAACTGCCAAACGTCGCATCTCTTTAATGAAGTCTTCTGTTCCTTTGTACATAAGGACTCAGATTTTTAAAGGTTATGCCATCATTCTTCTCCAAACTGTCTTGAACTTGACTTTTTTTTTTTAAGTGGGGAATAAAAAAGGGATAGGGATGGAAGTGAGGAGAATATGTCCTATTGTTTTTGGTTTCTTTGTTTTTAATTATAGGTTGTTTTAAACAAAATACACTTTTGCTAAGACTTTTGTTATCCTTTTTCATTTTGGTAAATATTTTGAAGGGGATAATGATTTTCACATCTTGAAATTTTATATGTACTTAGCTTCTAGTAACTAAAAAACTTTGAAAAAAAATTTTTATATTTAAAATAAATTGAAATGGGATCTCGCTATGTTGTTCAGGCTAATCTCAAACTCCTGGGTCCAAGTGATCCACTCACCTTAACCTCCGAAAGTGCTGGGATTACAGGTGTGAGCCACTGAGCCTGGCCAAAAAGTTTTAATTATTTAAAGTAAATTGGGCTTTTTCTTCATAAGATGATACATAAATTCTAACTGAGTGAGCTTGGAGATGAATTTTTCAGGAAATAGTGATATAATTCTAGTGATAAAACATTAAACTCCTAAATAAATTTTTTTTCCATCATGCTTCTATAGATACATATATATCTATAGTTGTCATCTGATTAAGTGATCCAGTCTTTGAAAATACTGAAGTTTTGAAGCCGACATAAAATAGTTTTAAAAGCTGCATAACTTAAGCATTCTGTATTGTGCTGAGTGACTAAAATATCCAAAAACTTTAAAACATCACAAATACTTACTTGCTGCTTAAAAGCTGTGGTTTGCCATTTTCTGCTTAGAGATTTTTGATGTATTTGCTTAATTCTTTTTTTAACACATTTTTAAAACCTTATTTCAGGAAGGGAAAATGAACAGAAATTAAATAACAACAAAATGCATTTAAGGAAAGCTTTGAAGAGTAACTCCTCCCTCACTAAGGGACTAAGAACAATGGTGGAGCAGAACTTGATGGAGAAACTGGAAACCTTGGGGATTAATGCAGTATGTTCATTCATTTTTGGAATATTTGTTAGTTTTGCTGTGTTTTGTTTTCTAAATTAGAAATGATCATGGAAGAGAAGAAAGCACATCAATTCTGTCCATGTTTGGAGAACAGAGGCTAATGTGACCTACTTTATTTATCAAACACTTGAATAGCATTCACTGTGTGCCTGGCACATTTCTACGACCTTAACAAATATTAACTCATTTAAACATAGAAACAAATCTCTGAAATAAATGACATTAGTATCTTGACAGTTTACAGAAAAGGTAAGTAACTTGATTAATGTCTCACAGCTAGTAATGAAGGAGCCAGGGTTTGTATCTAGGCAGTCACAGTGCTGCTTACATTCTGATATTAACCTCAAATCATTGCCTATTACAAAACCAGCACTTCATTAATACATGTTGAATGAATGGATGAATGGATTGGATTTCATATTGTTGCCAGATTGAATAATTTTGGTATATCATATATAGATTCTTTTTGCTTTTTATAGTTTTATTGACATACATAAAAGACACAAATCTTAATTGAACTTCATTAGTTTATATGTTTATAAAAAAGTGCATCTACATATGCATATATACACATATATGCAAAGCTTGTGAGCACATATGCATGCATGGGCACACACGTGGATGTGTATAGTGTGTATGTGTGCATGTAGCTATGTATATATACATGTATGTATCCATGTGTGTATGCAGATATCTGTGTATGTGTATACACATTTGTGTATATGATATGTGTATACACATTTATGTATATGTATGTATATAGATGATTGTGTATGTTTTCAGAAGTATGTGTGTATGTGGCTATATTTGTGGGTATACATGTTTGCATAATTTTATCTATATAGATGGATTTGTATGTACATGGATGTGTGTGTATGATCTATAACCAGCACCCAAATGATGAGATTGAACATTTCCAACACTCTGGAAGACTCTCTTTTACTTTCTGCTAGTCAGTATCACCCCCTACTTCCCAATCGGAGGGAAAGGGTATTCTGACTTAGTTTTGCTTGTTCTTGAACCTCATAAAAGTGGAGTCATACACTGTGTAATATTTTATATCTTCTTTTGCTTAATGATTTTATCTATATGATTCATACCTGTTGTTTCATGTAGCAGTAGTTTGTTCTTATTTATTACCTTATAGCATTCTATTGTGTGAATATACTACAGTTTATCTCTTCCCTGCTGATGGACATTTGTGTGTCTATTTTGGGGCTCTTCTTGGCTATTAATTCTTGTACATGTCTTTTGGTGAACATGGGCATTTCTTTTTCTTGAATATATATCTAGGGATGAAATTGCTGAGTCAAAGGGTAGGCATATGTTTAGTACAGTAGCTGTTGCCAAATAGTTTTCCAAAGTCCTTGTACCAACTCACACTGTCCCTAACGGTGTTTGAGAGTTCAGTTGCTCCACATCTTTCATCAACTCAGTCAGTCTTTTTAAATTTCCACATAGACCCTTTTTAGGTGGGTTTTGACCACCCTTTGGGCAGTGGAAATCAAAGACATTCATGGAATGTGTGTGGTTCCTGTGCAGATTGTTTCTTAAAATTGTAGTTTTCCATATTGGTTGTTTGCAAGTGGTTTTTTGAGTTTTAATTTTAATTGGGACATTTTCATTTATCCTAAGATTATTAAAACATTCTTTTTTTTCTCTAATGCTTGGAGAGGTTTTCCTAGTTTTTTGTTTGTTGTTTTGCTTATTTTGTTTTTGTCTATCTGGGCTTTAAGAGTTAGGTTTTGAAACAGTGATTTGGAGAGCTAACTTAATTTCCAGTTGGATCAGGTGTCCCAATATCATTTGTTGAATAATCCATAGTTTCTCCATTTATTTAAAAGGACATTTTTGTCATATAAGAAATCCCTATATACATTTGGATTTGTTTTTGGACTTTCAACTGTTTTACCTTGTTTTTTTGTGTGTTCCTTTTCCCATACCATACTAATTTAATTGTAGTAGCTTTGTCCTGTGTTTTAATATCTTTTATAGGCCATGCCTTCTTCATTAGTCTTATTTCAAAAATTTATTGGTAATTCTTCCATGTTTTGTTTTCCAATGAACTTTAGGAATAACTTTTCAACTTCCAGAATAACCCTTGTTGGGATTCTGATTGAAATTGTTTTAAATTTTGTATATTAAGTAGGAAGGATTGACATTTGTACAGTATTAGGTCTTATCCTCCAGCTACATGGTATAGGAAGACAGGCATGAAACAAATGATTTCCCAGACAAATGGGAGCTCTCTAATTTAGATTATATGAGGTGAAATAAAGGAAAAGTAGAGGAGGGGGTTGATTGAATAACTGAGGTCAGAGAAAACTTCTTCTTGGAGGTGGTACTTAATTTGATGATGGAGATTTCTGTCCTGGGCAACTGGGTGGGTGGTATGGCCACTCCCTGGGACTGGGAAGGCTGAGGGAAGCAAGGGGGATGGGAACAAAGATGGGAGGTAGCTGTGTGTGTGAGACACTGTTATTCAACAAATATCCCTTTAACTAGTTTTCTTCTGTCTAGATTCTCATCAAATCTAGATGACTTTTCTCAAATTGTCTCTTTAATTATGCTATTTTCATAGTTAAATGTCACCTCTAGCTGGGCACGGTGGCTCATGCCTGTAATCCCAGCACTTTGGGAGGCCAAGGCAGGTGGATCACGAGGTCAGGAGTTCGAGACTAGCCTGGCCAACACGGTGAAACCCCATCTCTACTAAAAATACAAAAATTAGCTGGGCGTGGTGGCGGGTGCCTGTAATCCCAGCTACTCGGAAGGCTGAGGCAAGAGAATCATTTGAACCTGGGAGGTGGAGGTTGCAGTGAACTGAGATTGCGCCATTGCACTCCAGCCTGGGCAACAGGGCGAGACTCTGTCTCAGGAAAAAAAAAAAAAAAAAAAAAGAAGTCACCTCTGATGCTCTGATGACCTATTGTTCCTTGTAGAATAACCTTTCAGCCTTTTGGGTTGGCATTTAGTCTCTTCTGCTGGTTTCATCACCCAGGTCTTTTTAAGCATTAGCCTGTGGGACGTGCCTTACCTGTTTCTGCCTCGACAGCTTCCTTTCTCACAGGTGTCCCTATCTCATGCCTACCCATCTGGAAATTTCTCCTTGTTTTTACTTGTTTGACTCCACCTGTCCTTCAGGCCACAGCTCAGCCTCCCCTTTCAGCCTTCTCTGGCCACTGGGGCCTTCGATGGCCTCCCTCCCTGGAATTCTTCTAGCCTTTGTAGACTCATTGGGTCCTTATGACACACAGCCTCGTCGGTCAGCCAGTCATAAACATATGCATGCCTTATGTGCCCAACTGAACACATGGCCCCTTTGGGGACAGTGTGTTACTTGTTGGGGCACCCTTACCCTCTACACACAACTGGAGCCCTGTAAGGATGGATTGAAATGTTGGCACAGTTAATGCTGATATATGCCCATGAAATGAAACCTCCCAGGATAACTGGCCAACTTAACATCTTATTCTTTCAGGATATACGTGGCATTTCAAGTGATCAGTTGCATAGAGTACTAAAAAGTGTGGAATCAGAAAGACATAAGCAAGAAAGAGAAATACCTAACTTTCATCAAATTCGAGAATTCCTTGAACATCAAGTCAGCTGTAAAATTGAGGAGAAAGCACTACTCTCTTCAGGTAAGCTTGTTACCCACTGCAAATGGGAGCTTAATTTAACAACTTTTTCTTTTTTTCTTCTTTTTTCACCACAAGATATCATTAAACAAATTATTATAATTTTAAATGGTTAACAAACTTCGCCACTTCACTGGCAACTCTTTTACTGTTTGTACTATTAAATGCTGGGTCTTGGATTTTGTTTTTACAGTAAAAACAAAACAACAACCCTAGAGTCTGGCTTTAAACCCTAGAGATGGGATTGTTCATTGCCACAGCAGCATAGGGGGTATTATACCGTTTACCTTTGCTTTTCACTTACTGATCATAAAGGTAATGGAGACTCATGAATGACACTATATTCCAGATCAGTGCAGTGTTTCTCAAATGGATACCCTTTCAACTGGAGAAGTACCCAAAATGATACAACTTCCTTCCAAAAACAGACAACTGATTAGACAAAAAGCTGTTTCTACTGATAGGACATCTGTTCCAAAGTGAGTATTTCAGCCCTCAGATTTATTTTATCAGTGTTTGTCTTAGCTCAGGCTGCTTTAACAAAATACCATAGACTGGGTGGCTTCACAGAAATTTATTTTCTCCCCATTTTGGAGGCTGAAAGTCCAAGATCAGGATGCCAGTATAGTCAGGTTCCGGTGAAGGCTGTCTGCCTTGCAGACGACTGCCTTCTTGCCATGCCTCCAGATGGTGGAGATACCTCTGAAGGAGATACATCGCTTCCTCTTCTTATAAGGCACCAATCCCATCATGGGGGCCCCCATCCACATGACCTCATCTAAACTTAATCACCTCCCAAAGGCCCCCCAGATGCCATCATACTGTGGGTCAGGTCTTTAGCATATGTATTTGGGGCAGAGGGGACACAGACATTGAGTCCATAACAGTGTTTGGTCCAACTGAGAATCACACTTGTAATTCCTACCAGTCTCTAACTGACGCTGGGTGACTTTTGTTGCTGCTCTTCCTCGTTAGTGTATGTCAAAAGCAAAAATCACCAGTTCCATAGAAATGTATGTGAAATTATATTATTAACTTATGCAATTTAAAAATATTTTTCTGTTGTTTTTTTAGAATTAAGAAAAATGTCATGGAAGATCCTTTTCCCAGAAAGTCTTCAACTATTACGTGAGTATTGACAGGGATGGGAGGGTCATTTAAAAAATTATTTTCACTGAACATTCCTTTCATTTTAAAGTAGCGTGCTCATTATGGTTGAATGAAGCCGTAATTATTTAATATCATAATTTGTCATTCCTTTGTGATATGTTATTTGTGACATGTCTTTGTTTCTTTATCAGTTATTACATAAGTCAATAGCCCTTAACCACATGTGGACTCCATTAAGAAGCAAGACACCTGAGTCATTCTTATGTCCATCCCCCTACAATGTTGAGTAATTTCTCAATAAGTACATTTAACTTAAATGGCTGATGTTGAGTTTTTATGGCTAGGCTCATGACAGTGTAAGTTTGTTTTAAATGTAATAATTTAGTGTTTCCAGTTTTTTGTGGAAGTTAATACTGACCCTAGTAGATATTCCTGTCTTAGGTTCTCTTAGGATACTAAAAACCCTAGCCCAGTTGTTCATCACCTGTGTGCTACTGATTTAGTTGATTACTGTTTTAAGCCTGTTTTCTTATCTGTAGTATGGGATGTTTTAAGTCTCAATTTCCTTATCTGTAATATGGAATAATGCTGCCTTTTTCACGAGATAGTTCTACAAATTAAATGGGAATGTATGAAGAGGGCTTGGCTCAGTGCTTGGCACTTGTGGGTACTCAATAAATTGTAGGTATATTGTTACTAATTATGAGTAAGACTAATTTTATCATGAATAATTTAATCATCATTGCCTTATTCTGGAGATATTGATGACATAAATATCTTTTCATTGAGGCACTGTGTATTAGAGACAATAAACAATGATTCACCCTTCAAAAGCACTTTTCTTATACGTAATCTCATAGGAAGAGCATTATTTCTTGGGATGTGGTGTGAATGAATCAACATGTACAAGACTGACACGTTGTCTGGAATTTAGGTGCCCAATAAATATTATTTAAATGAACGAACACTGCTTTGAACTTCTATTTCACCTTAAAATGGGGGTAATAATTCATGTGATAATACAAATGAGATTGTGTATGTAAAAGCTCTTTGCAAGAAGGTGCAGTATAAAGAAGCTGTAAGTAATGACACAATTTTAAAACATGGAGTGGTTTTACTGAGGAAATGTTTTTCTTAGGTGTGTGAAAACCAAAATTATTAAGAATATATACACATTTGGGTTTAGAGGAGACAGGCCCCGGCTTCAGCCCATTTTGATAAACATGCCCCGTGGCTGGCAGAGATCTGGGCGTGGGAGGATGCTACAGCCGTGGGTATAACCTCTGGCCTCGCCGCCATCTTGGCCATAGCCCCAAAGGCACTTGTGCCCACTGAGAATTACCTGAGAAAGGTGCCACCACTTTAAGAGGCACATCTCTTAATATTATAAATCCTAAAGCGTTACGAAAACAGCGCCCCTATCTCGGTGTTGATTTGTGTAGGACCCCTCCTTTTAGTTCAGAGGAGGAGCAGGAGGACGACGACCTCATCCGGGCATACGCATCCCCAGGCCCACTTCCTGTGCCGCCACCACAAAACAAGGGCAGCTTCGGGAAGAACACAGTGAAAAGTGACGCGGACGGGACCGAGGGAAGCGAAATCGAGGACACTGATGATTCTCCCAAGCCCGCAGGTGAGCTGTTACCTTGGAAAACTCTCTGGAAACTGTATTTAGGACAGTTGTCCTCACCCGTGTGTACCGAGCACTGGGAGTCTGAGCTGGGAGGGTGTGCAAGGAACAGATGCAGCGGATCCCAAAGGCACCCACGGAAAATGGGCAGGGTTTAGCACATTCCAGTTGAAGGAGAGGAAGGAGTTGGGAATGATACCTGGTGTATTAGTTTGCTAGGGCTGCTATAACAGTACCATAAACTGGGTGGCTTAAGGAACACAACCTTCTTGCCTCACAGTTCTGGAGGCTGGAAGTACAAGATCAAGGTGTTGGCGCTGTTGGTTCCTGTGAGGGCTGCCAGGGAGGGTCTGTTCCGCGCCTCTGTCCTTGACTTGTCTTCTTGTGCATCCTCACATCATCTTCCCTCTGTGTGCATCTCTGTCCAGATGTCTCGTTTGTATAAGGACATTGGATTAGGGCCCACCCTAATGACCTCACTTTACCTTGATTTCCTTTGCAAAGACTGTGCCTCCAAATAAGGTCACATTCTAAGCAATGGGGTTTAGAAATTCAACATGTGAATTTAGAGGGACACAAGTCAACCCAGGACACTGGGTGACTATGAGAATGGCTGTTCTAATACACTGTGCTGCCTCTTGGAGCTGGAGTAATACTAAAGGAAGACAAGATCTTAGCCTGTCACTGCAAATATTTGCTGACGAGAAGTAGAGCTGATGGGTCATTATTTTTTTAAAAAATTCAGCTTAATGCAATTTTAAAATTATATATTTTAAACATATCAGGTGTAATTTATTATATTTAATATATTGTGTGTAATTTATTATATTTAATATATTGTTGGATGTAATTTATATTGTATATAATGGGTATATACTATGTATTTATATAATTAGATAAAATATAATTCATTTAAAAATTCATATTGTTTTTGTAAATACCCATATGAATATTCCACTCATGCAGGTTATCTCACTGAAATTAATTTCTGACCACACACTTGAATGAGATCCTCTTTCTTTGATTTAAAATGTAAACTTTAGGCCAGGCACAGTCGCTCTCACCTGTAATCCCAGCACTTTGGGAGGATGAGGCAGGAGGATTGCTTGAGCCCGGGAGTTCAAGACCAGCCTAGGCAGCATAGCAAGACCTCGTCTCTATTTTTTTTAATTAACTAAATAAAATGAAAATGTTATATAGCTCATAGTCTGAAGGATTATGATTTTTTTAAGGATTGTGTGTTAAATTTTCTAACCCCAAAGTACATCAACTGATTTTATTTTAATAATACATAATTACTTCCAAAGCTTAGACTCTTTCAAAGTTTCCTGTAAGGTTATTTTGGAACTAAAGATAGATTAAATTTTTAAATACTTAACTTGCCTAATTTTTATTGATCTTATAGGAGTCGCCGTTAAAACACCTACTGAAAAAGTTGAAAAGATGTTTCCACATCGCAAAAATGTGAACAAACCAGTCGGTGGAACTAATGTCCCTGAGATGTTTATCAAAAAAGAAGAATTACAAGAACTAAAGGTGAAATCACTTTTACTTGCTAGATATACATAAATTTGTCTTTGGACAGCACCTTAATGGTCACACTTTTTGTAGTGAAATATAAAACAGATAGTTAGCTGGTAGAGTAGAGGTTGAGATTTTCACCTTTCTTGTTCTCAGTATTGCATTTCTTTCCATTCCATAGACAAAGATATTGGAGTGATAACTGTAACAATACA
This sequence comes from Homo sapiens, assembly GCF_000001405.40. Taxonomy (NCBI): domain Eukaryota; kingdom Metazoa; phylum Chordata; class Mammalia; order Primates; family Hominidae; genus Homo; species Homo sapiens. The sequence continues at coordinate 95,585,805 of NC_000013.11, read as the reverse complement.
TAATAAGCATGACACTTTACAGGTTTTCAAGATCCTGTCACATGTATTATCTGATACTTGCAGATATCAAATGGTTTGTACAAAGAAATTTGTGACTGGCCAGAATTGGGGCCCTTCAGATCTTCTTCACTACCCTGGCATGAGACCTTAGGTACTTTTGAGGGTTTAGCTCCACTTGGGAGCCGAAGTGAGGGTGGAGGCCAAGCTCCTCTGTCTGCATTAGAGAAGAAGCCCAAACATTTTCCCAGTGGTTCTAACAGCCAGGACGCCAGAGGTGTTTCTGTGGATGGAGCTCTATCATTGTATTTCTGGGCACAGCTCATCTGTGTTGACTGGTCCTCCAGTCCAGGGCATTTTGTCAAATTACTTTTATTAGTTAATACTATTTGTGTTACACAAGCCAAAAATGACAGAAAGTCCTATGACATTCAAGAGAGAGCAAAAGCATCTTTCTTTAGGAAGGGCATGGTAGAACTGTGTGCACCTTTCAGTTGGGGGCTATTCGGTTGGTCTGATGTACCCACAGTTAGATGTCATTATTATCACAGAGGTAAGAAGCAAGAGCAAGCCTCACTCCTACTCTGGAGCACCCTGACTTTTAGAGTTTCATACCGCTACAGTGTAGTATTTCTGGAATTTTCTACATTCATGATTGGTAGAGTAGGAAACATATATTTCCATGGCAGAAACGAAAAAGAGATGATTCAGATTTCAAAATACCAACTTCCAAATCTATTTCATTGCCCTGCAGAAATGACTAGATTTGGAAGTATTAATAGTTCCCCACTTCTTTCCTTATGGTTCAGTGTTAGATGCTCAGTCTAACCAATAAAATGATTGAGGGACACCATTTTTTTCTAAGCAACATTAATTATTCTCCATGCCTTTCTTTTAGTGTGCGGATGTGGAGGATGAAGACTGGGACATATCATCCCTAGAGGAAGAGATATCTTTGGGAAAAAAATCTGGGAAAGAACAGAAGGAACCTCCACCTGCGAAAAATGAACCACATTTTGCTCATGTGCTAAATGCCTGGGGCGCATTTAATCCTAAGGGGCCAAAGGGAGAAGGTTTGCTGCTTTCCCCTCTAATACAAGCTCGATCCATTTTCTTATTAGTTGTGTTTCATCTTTATAAATATCTAATTAACTTATGCTGGTATATCATCAGACAAAAAAGCTGTCAGTGCTTTCTTTATGTTATTTAAATAAGGATTGGATATGCATAACTCACTGATTCATATATATTTACTTGTTATTTTTATTTAATTATAGGACTAATCTTTAGTCTTTAAATTTTTAATTTATTTTTATTTTTATTTTTTGTTTTTGAAACGGTGTTATTGTCACCCAGGCCATCATGGCTCACTGCAACCTTAACCTTCTAGGCTCAAACAGCCCTCCCACCTCAGCCTCCCCAGTAACTGAGGCAGTCCTCCCACTTCGGCCTCCCAGAGTGCTGGGATTACAGGCATGGGCCACCGCTCGTGGCCCCCAAATTGTTTGTATTCTTTTATTTTTTTTTTTTTTTTGGCCAGGCGCAGTGGCTCACGCCTGTAATCCCAGCACTTTGGGAGGCCAAGGCGGGCAGATCACGAGGTCAAGAGATTGAGACCATCCTGGCCAACATGGTGAAACGCTGTCTCTGCTAAAAATACAAAAATTAGTTGGGCATGGTGGTGCGCGCCTGTAGTCCTAGCTACTTGGGAGGCTAAGGCAGGAGAATTGCTTGAACCTGGGAAGTGGAGGTTGCAGTGAGCTGAGATCACGCCACTGCACTCCAGCCTGGCAAAAGAGTGAGACTCTGTCTCAAAAAAAATTTATTATTATTATTTTTTTATTTTTTTTAGGATATGGGGTCTCACTATGTTGCCTAGGCTGGATTCAAACTCCTGGGCTCAAGCAATCCTTCTGCCTCAGTCTCCTGAGTAGCTGTGACTACAGATGTGCACCACCATGCCCAGCTTTTATATTATTTTTAAAAATGTCTATACACGTATTCTCTTCATGAAGATGCCTTTTAGGAATTAAAATTTCTGATCATATACCTGAATGAGACCACTCTTCTGGCAGTCTCTCTGTATTAGTCTGTTTCCCTATTAAATATTTTTCTTCATTTTCTCCCAAGGGAGGTTTCTCTTGTAGCCGTGTAGTCAGTGGGATGAAATACTATGAGATAATTACTTGAAATGATTTTCATATCCCCCAATCTAGAGCCTAGATAAGCCCAATAACTTAGTAATTTTTTTTTAAATTAGAAAATTGTAATTTTTTTGTCAAAGTAATTCTTGCACATGTTGAAAGCTGAGTTGTTCAGAAGGCTTCTCTATGCCATCGCACCACCTTCATTAGTGGTAGCTCTGTGCCTCTCAGTAATGGCCTTAAACCACTCTTTGTTGATTCATTGACTTTAGATATTAACTGTTGATGTCCTGCAAAGACAGATGGGGACTTGGCTCATTTTCACCACCCACCGCACCTCTCACGCCTTCTTCACTGTTTTTGTACTCCTACTTATAATTTTATTACTTTTTTTTTTTTTTTAAGAGATGGGGTCTCACCAGCTTGCCCAGGCTGGTGTCAAACTCCTGGGCTCAAATGATCCTCCCACCCCAGCCTCCCAAACTGTTGGGATTACAGGTGTCAGCCACTGCACCCAGACTGTAATTTTAAGTTAATACCTGCATGTCTCCACCCTTGCTCTTTCCATTTTCAGCAGCCTCTCGCCCCTTTGTAAGATAAGATGTTGCTGCCTGTCTCCTTCACGCTACCTTTTCTCTCACATTGTCCAGTTATAACATAGCTGTTGCATAACTGGCATCAGTTATCTGTGCTAAGCATCAACTCTAATTATTGAAAACCAGGAGACCTGTTGGCATTAGAGTGACTCTTTACAGGGCCAAGAGGATGCCCTAAGGACATCTCCTGTCTCTTTCCTCCAACATCATAAACCTGTGCCCCTGGAGGAACACATTTCTAGAGTCAAACTTGAGTGGAATTCTCTGCACTCTATTTCACTGGCTCAAAATCATGGCATTTTAAAATTGACTTCGTTGTTAATCCTATCTACCTAGAAAATATGTTTTTAACACTTTACTTGGCTTGCTAATTTCATCCTTCTTTCTTTACCATCTATTCACTCAGAGTCAGTAACTACAACACAAATGTACTGAGCACCTTCAACATCCAGGCCCTGAGCTGAATGCTGGGGAAGGAGTGGGAAGCAGGATGTGGTCCCTGCTGTTTGTAGGCTGCAGGGCAGAAGCTTGCATCCAAGGGTCCTGAGTGTATCCTAGAGATGCGACCAGTTCACAGTTGGATTTTAAAGTGGCGTCCTATACATAGCTCATGAGGGTTGGGAGATGAGGATTCATGAACAGATTTAGACACTGAGTGATTAATGACAATATGAAATTATGGATTTTTATAGACTTGACAATGTGCTTGTTTAACCATTGAGGCCTTCTCTTCTGCCTCTACCCACCACTTACAGGACTTCAAGAAAATGAATCAAGCACATTAAAAAGCAGCTTAGTAACTGTGACTGATTGGAGCGACACTTCAGATGTCTAATTCCACATGTCAGAAGATTATTCCAGAAGCCAGCAGTATTTCAGTATCACAGTGTTTCAGTAATTTGCCTCCATGATTCTAGTGCTTCTGCCTTACCGTGTTTCCCACAGCAACACAGAGACTGATTCAAAGAACAATGGTCTCTTTAATGGCACCCAATACAGTATTGAAAATCAGATCATCAACAGTATTTCGAAGCATGTAAAGGTGTTTAAGACTTCCGCTGCTGCTTAAAAATAACATGTCATTGAAGTCATAAAAAGTTTTTTCTTCAGAAAGGTACTCTAGTGTTAAGTGTATTTTTTTCAACTAATTTTTTAGTGAATTTTTTTTAAACTTACAGCATGTTTTGGTTTGAATTACTAAAACTTTAAAAAATATTTTTCTTATGTATGCTGTCGTATCGTAGGCGTTTATATTATAAAATTCTGTTAGTAGTCTTAAAATTGAATTGGTGGAACCACTAATCCTTAAAAGTTAGTCTGGTTATTTTTCATATAGAAGTAAGTTTAATCCGAGTGTGGTGGTGTTCACCTTTAATCCCAGCTACTTGGGAGGCTGAGGTGGGAGGATAACTTGAGCACAGGAGTTCAAGACCAGCGTGGGCAATATAGCAAGACTCCACCCCTCCACACCCCAAAAAAGTAAGTTTAGGATTAGAATATAGCTAGGTCCAATGTTAAATACATTTTCCTGGAGTACATTTGTCACATTCAGCTTTGAGCCACTGTAAGCATGTTACTATTAAATGGTTGGTTATTTTATATAGCATATTCTTTATCTTGGATATTTTATGAATAAAGTATAGTTATTTTAAGTGCCAATTAATTTATCAGACTAAATAGAAAATATTTGAGCCATTACTGAATTCACATATGTATGTTTTTTTTTACTATTTAAAATACCCAACATGTATTATGAAATACCTCAAAAGTAATTTAGTTACATTCTTAAACAATGACATTGTCGAAAGAAAGTTCTTATAAGCTGTTTTTTGCATTTTTATAACTTGGTTATACTATATTCTGTTTCCAAGTAACCTTTTAACTAAAAGATTTGTTGGGTTTTAGATCTCTTTTCATTTGTCAACCTTTTCAGTAAAGCCCTCTGTTACATCACTGTGACTGTGGCTGTGTTATTAGAGATGAATTCTGAGTTAAATTTGTACTTATTAGGGGTCTTACAGAGGGAGAATCTGGCCTTGATTGCTATGCCATATGACATTCTGTCCTAATGGTTAGAACAAATCTTTATCTGTTTCCACCCACCCTGGGATCCTTTTTACTTGTAGCCCATTCCTGCCCTCTAAAAGAATCCTTCCAACTTCCTATAGGGGCCATTTCATGCAGATATACTCACTTTATATGTATGTTTCTAAAAGCTTTAGTGAAGGCTGAATCCAAGTTTCATGTAGTAGGACAGAGAACAGAAGGCCGAATCCAAGTTTCATGTGGTAGGACAGAGAACGGCAATCTACAAAACTACACCAAGCCTAAGATGGCCCATGTGCCACTTTGTTCATTCATTTATTTATTCAGCAGATATTTATTGAACCACTTGGTCTGGTTTGGTTTTGAACACGCACTAATTCATTTAATTACAACAACTTTGCGATGTAGTTATTGTTATAATCCTCATCCTAAAGGTGTGAGAAACAGAGTTATTAAGTAAGTTGCCAGAAGCCATACAAGTACAAAGTGTCAAGGGGAGACTTTAAGCCAGGTCTCTATTCCATGTTTTGTGTCTGCCATGTTTTCATTCCTGAGCAGAAGAGCTTGGGGAAATGAACTTTTGCTAAGTAAACCCAGTATTTAAATTAAGTCACTATATCTGTGTCTTTTAAGAGCCCCTCCTTTAGCTTACATGGTTAGTTGTATCTTTTTTTTTTTTTTTTTTTGAGACAGAGTCTCACTATGTTGCCCAGGCTTGAGCGCAGTGGCACCATCTCGGCTCACTACAACCTCCGCCTCCCAGATTCAAGCGATTTTCCTGCCTCAGCCTCCCAAGTAGCTGGGATTACAGGTGCCCACCACCATGCCTGGCTTAATTTTTTGTATTTTTAGTAGAGATGAGGTTTCACCATGTTGGCCAGACTGGTCTCGAACTCCTGACCTCAAATGATCCGCTGTCTTGTCCTCCCAAAGTGCTGGGATTATAGGCGTGAGCCATCGCGCCCTGCTGCATTTCATTTTTTTGTATAAAATTTGGTTTGTTCGTTTTTGAGGGGAACCATTCCTTTATGTTGCCCCTTACTGATGCCCAACTAATGTGTTTCTGGTTACTAACAGACCTTCATCCCCCACCCTCCCTAAATTCTTCGGTGTAATCTAAGCGTTATCTGCACCACTTCTGAATAATAAATGTGTTTGAAATGCACACCTACACAACCCTGTCCCACACTGGCCTGTAGGACCTAATCTACCTTCATGTCTTTCAGTTGATTTGTATTTCTGCAAAAGATATTTCAAGGATTATCAAGGTATGGAATTTTTTTTATTTTTTATCTTTTAACAAACTTGTTCATTTCCTTTTCTTTCCATTGAGCACCTCTGAACAATGTGATTCTTTTTTTTAAGTCTTTCACACTTCAGGAAAATACTACATTCACCCACGTTGTGATTCATATCGGACAGTTTCTTACTCAAAGATAACACAAATACCAATTCTTATTCATACTTTGAAACTATATTTTACCCTAGACTGCCTTGGTTCAAAGGCCTAGTTTCGACATTACTGTGGCAAATTATTTAAGCTCTCTGTTTTCATTTCTTTTTCTGTAAATGCAGGATGAAAACAATATGTATCTCCTAGGATGGCTGTGAGGAGTGAGTGAGACAGGACATGAAAGGTGTGTATGAACTGTGATAACTGTTGCCCTTGTGGGCATGTTATATAGGGCTGGCTCTAGGAAGAAGCCTGTGTCTTTTTTCAGAAATCCCTGGAGCAACTTAAATGTCTTTAGAAATGACAAGTCTCTCAGTTATCCAGTTAGCCGTAAACAGGTTCTGGAAGACACACCTAGATAGAACTCGGCCCGTCAGTTCTGAGTGAGGCACGTACCACTTGGGCTTGGGATGTCCTTAACCCATTTATGCCTGAGGTTGCAATTTTTTGAATTTTTCCAATCACACCTTGGCGATGACCTTGAGCAGTAGGATATAAATAACTCCCACATGCTTAGTGTTCCAATAATGGAACACTAGGCATAAACAGGTTTTAATTGGCTCCTCAGTCAACCATGACCAATATCTCTATCTCAGCTTCTGCTGATGCCCTAGCTCAGGGCTCTGCATTCCGTGCCAGGGACGCCTCAGCCCCTTAACATGGATGTGCCACATGACAGGCAATAATATATTGGCCCCATTAGCCCTTCCTGGAGCAGTCATAATGAATTACAGTCATGACAGGCACATGTAAGAAACCAAAATTTGCTAAATATGTACATGAGTCTTCATCACAGCATCGTTTATGAAAACAACTAAATATTCACTAATGGTGCCAGTGGAATAAATCAGAGAACATCCCCTGCTACGTAACTCTCTGCATACATCAAAGAGAATGGTGTGGCTTTGCTTTTTCAACAATCTACTGAGTGGCCATGGGCATGTGGATATGGCCATGAATGAGCAAGATCCTCTCTGATCCTGTAGAAGTTAAGTTCTACCAGATAACTTGCTGCTTCAACAAAAAGATTTACCTTTTTAAATAAATGTTGTAGAATACTTAAAAAAAACAAACTAGAATTTGCCTGTGTGCAGCCAGTAACATGTCTATTTAACCTGGACACCTTTTGAGGAATATTCTCAGATTGCCCCCATGCTGTTTATAAGACATTGTTCCTTATACACCTGTTTATGAATGAAAAGAAACATAAGGAGTGGGTACAAAGACTTCTATCTATGAATGATTAAAAAGGCTAGAGTACGAATACTTCTTGAACCTTTGGTACTAAATGCTTTTCATGTTCTATATAAATGTAGAAAACATTTTACAAATCCTGTAAATAAACTGTTTATTTTTTATAGAAAGCCACAACAGAAAATGATTAGTATATAACTAACTATGTAAGAACACTTACATCCATACAATCAACAGATGCTTCAAATGCATATTTTAAAAATAGTTTTGAGTGTTAATTATGGGAGGGCCTTGATGGGATCATTTTGTGAACAGTTCGCTTTTATAACAAACTCAAGAGGCAGCTTGCCAGCGAGCTCTTTTAGACATAAGCATTTTTATCAAACTGTTTTGAAGGGTTTGTTGTTTTAAAATCTTCTCCACCATGATACTTTGTCCGAGAAGACATGACAGATGTGGCCCCGTTGTATGTGTATCTGAAAGGTAAAACATAGTTTGGTAGATTCTATTCTACACATAGGGCAAACAAAAATGGGAAGAAACTGTTTCGGCCTGTCTCTGCCAATATCTAAATGTAAATCTTCCTCTTTCTTAGATAGCTTTCTTCTCTCCTCTTGCCCCAAGAAGTATTTTCAGTGTCATTTCTGAGTGGGATGGAGAATCTCTGCAGAAGAAACTCATGACTTGGTCATTTGTTCAGTTATCCTCTTACAAAACCATGTTTTAAAACTCACCCTCCTGGAAGCTAGGAGACTTAGTAGAGGCCATCAACATTCCTGCCTACCTAGAGGAAAATTATGATGAGGCCAACGTGAAGAACATGTCCTCATATTCAGACCCTTATTTCTACGTTAGAATTTTCTTTGGAATATAGTAATGGTAAAACTTTAAAAAATTAACTGTACTGCTAACCTTTTCCAATTCCGGATTTTGGAAGTTTCTAAGAATCATATGAACTATCTGTAATTTGTTCCACATGTAATGATTTATGATAGCATTCTACTTTTTAACAGGTCATTTTTGTCTCTTTTTCATACCTGGGTGTTTTGTTGTTGTCAGATATTGAAAAGCAAAATATGACACCACCAATTATGCACAGTGAGGCTCCTGCCCATCCAATAAACAGAGCGGCTCCTAATTCATACCTGTGAGAAAGCATTACACAAGTATTACAGCTCACTTATTTGGAGAGTAAACAGTATTTAACACTGATAGTCAACATTTACTAAATGCTTATTATGTTTTTTTGCTATTGAAAATTGTAAAGGAAATAATAACACCTTGTGTCTGTAAAATGCTGTAAACTCTTCCCAAAGTGTTTTTATAGCCATTAGACCATCCCAACATCCTGAAAGGAGATGAGGGCATCCACGGGGGCAAAGTCAAAGCAAAAGTAGTCACAGCCAGGGTCTCCTGACTCAGCCAGCACCTTTCCTCTGCACGCTGCCTTAACCTTGCCAAGCTTTCCATCTATTTGTTCTGTTCTGCAGCGCAAATCATTTAGGCAGACTGTAGTTAGTTAGAAAACAAAAGGTTGCTTTTGCTTTCATGTTAGTTCAATTTAGTAAATGTTTATTAAGCACGTGCTATGTGCAAATCGTCACTAATCGCTGCAGTCTAGTGGGGAAATGAATCAATAGCTATCATTTAGTGATAAATTACTATTAAGGATCTCCCATATGGCAGGTGACAGTGCTCTGCCGATGACCGCAGCAGGAGCAGATGCAAAGATAAACAAGACAGTACTTCCCCTGGGAAGGCCACGAAACAAAGGTATGAACAGTGCTACTGAGGACAAAAAACAAGATCACTTGCAGTAGCGGACTAGAGGAAATCCTTTCAGGGGAGATATATTCACCCAGAGAACAAGGAATGAGAAAAGTACACCAAAATTTCAGGGACTATGTGTGTTCTCATGTTTGTTTAGCTTTCTCCAGAAGAATAGGTTGATTTTAGGTTTTTGTTTGTTTGTTTTTATAAAGAGTAACTCTTATTTGGGGCCCATAAACTTCCATTGCAAGGCAAAAGAAATCTTGGTGCTTTTCAGTGTAAAATAAAGCCAGGGTCGGAGGGTCTGTTTTGATTGCACAGAATCCATAGGGGAGATGAGGCAAGAAAGTAAGAGGTCCAGGAGAAGGCAAGACAGGGCCCAGGGTTAGTTCCTTCCTCAGGGTGCAGGGGAGCCAAGTTCAAGAGCTGAGGCCAGGCTTCGGTATCAGATCAAGGCCACCCAGTGCTGCCTGGGTTCGTCCTGAGCCTTGCTGCACCCCTGCCTACTTGAAGTGTCACTATCTCTGAACTCTGGCTCTGCACATGGGCAGGCTTTCTGGTGTGGTCTGAGTCGCAGGCAGGGTGGTGTAATAGGGTGGGCCCATCACTAGCCAGGGGAGCAGGAAGCAGGGCGTGCTTTTAATCAAGCATGCATGGTACCTGGCACTGGCATCCTATTTTAGTGAACCTCAGTATTTTAAGACACATATCACATTGATCAGGGACACGGGGCCCACTTGTGCATTTTCATTTGGGATGGAGTTACGTGCACAAGAAATGCTGCTCTGTGACCCTTTCTTTACTCACTCTTGTGTTGCCTTTCCTGGGACATCAGGGTGACTGATGGGGCAAGGAACAGCTGCAACAGAATAACTAGGGGGAAGCCCCTCCTGCCCTGGAGCACTAACTGTGCTTTGGCATCTGAGAAACTTCAGCGGGTTCCCTTAAGGGGCAATGGCAGAGACAGAGGGTTTGTATAAGCGAGGAAAAACACCCTCAGTCTACACACACACACGAACTGAGCAGCGAAGTCCACAGGTGAAAAAAGAGCTGGCTAAATCAGGAGTGCTGACCGGGAGTTTCAGAAAAGATACTTTCATTAAATATTGTGTTACACACCTGAAAAAGATGCCCCGGATTTCTGCAATCAGCCCTGCTTTTATGTTGTTTTAATGAGATTATGCACAGACAACAAGCAGCATGCCTGCCAAACTGGAGGTGCATGTCATTTGGCCCCTGAAACACCTGGAAATCCTAGAAGATGGCATCAGATCTGTCTGTTGGCACCCTTTTTACTGCAGACAACTAAAGGAATGAGCATAACTGAAAAATTCTGCATGAAGTACATTATTATAGGATGACTATAATTGTATAACGCTTTCTATTTTTCTCTGTTTTTTTCCCAGTACAGGTTAGGCTATCTTCTCTCCTGAAACTATACCTTAATATTACTCTTAGTGTAAATATGCCCTGAAAACATGGTCTGAGATTTTTCTGAAAATATTGAGCTTCACTAAAATAGAATGCCAGTGCCAGATACCATGGTTGATTACAAATAAATAAATATCTAATTATTAATAGTGGCCAGTTGGGGGATGAAGATGATAGAAATCATAAGCATAGCTTGGCACAATGAGTTCACTGAAAGGAGCATTACAAACACAGACACAGTATTGCTACAAATCACAGGATAAATTACCCAGGCGGATGAGGAATTGGGTCTATGTTAAGCCATATTGAAACTTTCTGGAGAAATTTAGGAATCATGAGTTTGGCTTATATTAATATTTAATATCTTTTTAAATATATCCTTTTTTATGTATCTTTTTCTTTTTTGAGATGGAATCTCACTGTGTCACCCAGGCTGGAGTGCAGTGGTGCAATCTTAGCTCACTGCAACCTCCACCTCCCGAGTTCAAGCGATTCTCCTGCCTCAGCCTCCCGAGTAGCTGGGATTACAGGTGTGTGCCACCATGCCCAGCTAATTTTTGTATTTTCAGTAGAGACAGGGTTTCCCCATGTTGGCCAAGCTGGTCTCGCACTCCTGACCTCAGGTGATCCACCCACCTCAGCCTCCTAAAGGGCTGAGATTACAGGTGTGAACCACCACACGTGGCCCTTTTTGAAAAATATCTAAGTCACTACATATTCACTCTATTCCAAGGAAAAAATCATTTCCATTTGCATTTCAGTGTGAATTATGTTGGAGACAAACATTTAATAGACAGTATCCATTTGGAGATGATTTCAGAAACCATACATCTACCCCATTTTTTTTTTAACAATTTGGATGTGAGGGCTCTTGTTTGTTCTTTCAGAGACTTTTCCTTCTTTCTATTGAAAGACACATATCACAGACTTACTCAACAGTGACTTTAATTCACACCTCTCCGTGTGTATCTGGCAAAAATTGACATGTGTTCATATGTTTATTGCGGCACTATTCACAATAGCAAAGACTTGGAACCAACCCAAATGTCCATCAATGATGGACTGGATTAAGAAAATGTGGCACATATACACCATGGAATACTATACAGCCATAAAAAAGTATGAATTTATGTCCTTTGCAGGGATATGGATGAAGCTGGAAAACATTATTCTCAGCAAACTATCACAAGGACAGAAAACCAAACACCACATGTTCTCACTCACAAGTGGGAATTAAACAATGAGATCACTTGGACACAGGGTGGGGAACATCACACACGGGGGCCTGTTGTGGGGGGAGGAGGGAGGGATAGCATTAGGAGAAATACCTAATGTAAATGACGAGTTGATGGGTACAGCAAACCAACATGGCACATGTAAACCTGTGTATCAAACCTGCATGTTGTGCACATGTACCCTAGAACTTAGAGGTACACACACACACACACACACACACAAATAAAAATAAAAATAAATTTAAAAATATCAAAAAAAACTGACGTGTGTTATTGAAAGACAGGGTTGAGAAAGAGATGAACATAATATCCACTCCAGTTTGTTCCCAAGGCACATATTCTTTCACATTGATTAGGAGACTTATTTAGTCTCTGTCTGGAAATCTTTCTTCCTTTTCGGTAACACTAAGAAGCTGATTTCAACACCTTGGTAAGATTATCCAAATTTCAGATTCTCTGTTGCAGGTCTTTTGTGAACAATATCCTCCTGGCCCTCGGCCAGCCTTCCTGCTCAGAGTGTGCCCTCTTTATGACTAATACCAAAGTTTCTTCATTATTCTGAAAGGTTGCAAATCTACATGACACTGGACCAATCCATATCCATGACTTTCAGGTTGAGGACAGAACTTCATTTATGGAGGAAAACATTGTTTTTAGAGGATCTTGGTGATGGACTAATCAAAAGCTGCGCGTATAACTTCAATACACATTAATAAAGTCACTGAGTGGCTTTAGAAACAAGGAATGTGGAACAAATTTACTTCTAACAGAAATTAAAACACAGATAACCACTTATTATTTTCTCAAAGAAGAAACCATAAAGATCTAAGGTGAAGTCACTCTCCACCCAGCTGTATGTGGTGCTGTAGGCTGTTGCCCATGGCTCTCATTTCATGTTGAGCTGGCCAGGGCTACACCAACCTGGAGACCTTGATTCTGATGCATTTCATACTTCAACTTGTAGTTTAGCCATTTAGAGTAATCCTAAGGAAATGGAATGCTGAACAACTTACTTTCACCTCCTGCTTTTGTCTTCCTGGCACCCAAATCCCTATTCTGAGTTAGGTTTGCCATCCATGGGGAGCTGGTGTAACCTCCTCTGGTTACCTACACAGAAATGACATGCCAGGTATTGTGCTAATCAGGTGTTCAGGGCAGATAAGAGGGACATGGCCCTGGCTCACAGATCCAGATTGTATAGTCTAGTGGGGATAGTCAGACATTAAACTGATAATTACAGTAAAGTGTGATCAAACAATAAAAAGAGCATGTTTTTGCAAAGTAAACATTACCGTGGTTCTCCCAAACACGCTCAGATGTGGTTCAAGTCAATGTCCATAGTAGCTAACAATAGCTACTATTACTGTCAGCTCATTGTACTAGGACTTTTCGGTGTGTGCTAAGATTTTTTCACAAATATTACCATATTCAATCTTCATCACAAGCCTGGGAGATAGGTATTACTATCCTCATTTTACAAATGAGGAAACTAAGGCTCTGGGAGATTAAATTACTTGTTCCTTCATGTCTCAGCCAAGTAAATGGTAGACCCAGGATTTAAAACCCATAACTGTGATTGCAAACCGAAGCTCTTAATTGTCATGCCATCATCCTTTTATGTACACTTTAAGTAAAAGATTTTATAACTATAAAAAACCCAATCAATGCAACATATTTTTAGTTGTCATTTCAGAAAGATCGGAGTTGTCTCTCTCCCTGGCTCATTAAGTTCTCAGTGGCTCAAGAGCTTCAGGGCACAGGATTTTTTTCTGAATGCCCTCGGGCTGCCTTTTCTTCCGGCACAAAAAGAGGTGAGGATACCAATTAAAATCAGGGCATGTTGGAGCTGAAAAAGGAAAGAGCAGCCACTCCCAAAACAAAGCAAGATCGGTTTTAACAAACGAAAGCACCTCATCCTTTTAAGATCCCCAGAGAAGTGAAGCGACCTTGCTGAAGGTCACAGAGCTAGGAGCCAGGTCTTTTGTCATCCTTCAATATTGTGTCTTTTTCAAACATATTGTCCTGCTCCTCATTTTAATCAAGAGTAGTAACAGCCAAAATGCATTTTCCAATTACCTTAAAATAACTACATAGGTTTTTTTACAAAGTTTAAAATCCAGAAAGTACACTCATATATTATCAAAGTTAACATTTCAAAATTGAATTCTATTGGTCTAACATAAAACTTTTTCTTCAGTGCATTGTCTTATATTAAATATAATCTATAATCTAAGATCTATATAACTGCATGAATTGATTTTATTTTTATATAAGTATTCTACAGCAATTATCAGCATTTCCCCAAAATACGCCTCATTCTTTTGGGGCCCCAGTTATGTGGGGTGCCCGCTGATCCTGCGTATCTCTCTGAGGCTGCCATGGTCCAGTCTCTCTTATGAGACGCTCAGCCTCCCCCTCTGCTGGGTTCTCTCCCACTGCCTGGCAGATGCCAAAGGACTTCCTACCCAAGGCATCCAACAAGACTTGCAAAATAGTGACAGGTGCCTCCCAAATGGTGGCTAAAGTAGGATGGAAAAATTTAAGTTATAAGTGTCTACTTATATATGGAAACTTCATAGAGAATTCTTACATTTAGGAAACCTAAAATAAAGACATTTGGGAGGGGGTACCTAAACAAAAAAACTGCTTTTCTGTGGCTAGATTATAACAGACATATGCCCATTATCCTTCCATGCACTGTGATTTTCATTAGGGTAGTTCAGAATTCTATAAATTGTATATATTAATAACAGGTAACATTGATTGATTACCTACCATGTGTCACTGTGGTGGATGCTTTCTAGACGTTTTCTTTGTATTTTCTAAAATGAACATGTTTCAAGGATTTTATTTAGCTCATTAACTAATTAGGGAAGCAGATATATTAGGTCTGTGCAAAAGTAATTGCAGTTTTTGCTATTAAAAGCAATGACAAAAACGCAATTACTTTTGCACCAACATAATATGTTACAAATTGTCCAAAGGTAAATTCAGGAAACATATTTAGGCAATCAGGAATGCTGAAATGAATTTATAAATAGTTATAAAACTGGTCTATATATATATATATATATATATATACACACGTATATGTGTGTGTGTGTGTGTGTATATATATATACATTTTTAAATTATGTATATATTTTATTCCTCCTATCTAACTGAAATTTCATATCTTTGGGCCAATATCTCCCCAATATGTTATCTTCTCTAATCCTCTTAACATTCAGAACAGGAAATATTGCCTCTGTTATCCAGTCAAGACAACTGCAATCTACCTAATATAACAGTAGAGTAAGGGCCAGGACTCTGGCCCGGGCCAGGATCTGAGCTGAGTCAAACTCCAAAACCTCACCCTTCTCCTCTCCACCACCTGCCTCTCTAATAGTGTGTAAAGTGATCAGTGAGTGTCTACACAGAAGTACTAATTCTTGAAAATTATTCACAGAAATTTAAAAACCATCCACAGTAGGACTAAATCTAATGTTGGCTAATCTTTGTTAGCCAAAGTAAACTGTAATGTAAAAGGAACATCTCATGTTCCAAAAGTCACATAGTTCAATTCAAAACCAAATCAGTTGCTTAGCACCATCCATGCCATTGATCTCCATTCGTGTGTGGATAATTGGGGGGTTTGCTTGGCCGTAAGTGAGAAATGAGGCACCGAGTCATAATAGTTACAGTAGGCACAATAACAGGTTTACATGCAGACTTTGAAGTCTGAATAAACTGACATCACAGAGAAGGCTGTGCTTCAAGATGGGAAATTCCTAAAATAACAAATACTGTCCTGAGCTGCCTTAGGGCATGGCCAGTATTGGTAAGCATGGGTCAAGAATCCGTGTGTGGATGTGGGTGTACGTGGCTTTGTGTTGAGGTAAAAATATACAGATGGACTTGCAGCAAAAGAAGCTTGGGTCAATCAAAAGTGAATCTGACATTAGGAGATCGAGACCATCCTGGCTAACACGGTGAAACCCCGTCTCTACTAAAAATATAAAAAATTAGCCGGGCGCGGTGGCGGGCGCCTGTAGTCCCAGCTACTTGGGAGACTGAGGCAGGAGAATGGCGTGAACCCAGGAGGCGGTGCTTGCAGTGAGCCGAGATCTCACCACTGCACTCCAGCCTGGGCGACAGAGCAAGACTCCGTCTCAAAAAAAAGGCGTATCTGACATTTTATTCAGTCTTCAAGTAACCTACCTGAGCACATTTTAGAATTGAACCAAGAGTATCCAGTTGACAACTTTAAATTATTACTTATCTCTAACTCAATGCTATGACAGAGGTGACCAACAATTTTTAAATTACACAAGCCTTATTTATTTTATTTTATATCTATTTATTTATTTTTTGAGGCAGAGTCTCACTCCCTCTGTTGCCCAGGCTGGAGTGCAGTGGTGCGATCTCAGCTCACTGCAACCTCCACCCCCCAGGTTCAAGTGATTCTCCTGCCTCAGCCTCTTGAGTAGCTGGGACTACAAGCACCTGCCACCACACCCAGCTCATTTTTGTATTTTTCATAGAGTCAGGGTTTCACCTTGTTGGCCAGTCTGGCCTTGAACTCCTGACCTCAAATGATCCACCCACGTTGGCCTCCCAAAGTGCTGGGATTACAGGCATGAGCCACTGCACCCAGCCAAGCCTTATAGTTTCATGCTAGGTCCCCTTCAAACGTGCCTTCTACTTGAGAGCCAAGTGTCTTAAAACAATTGTCTCTTCTACTAGGTCTCCAACATTTCAACATACATTTCTCTGTGGCTAACCTTAATAGATTACATAAGGTAATATACTATACATTAATATACTGTGCATTAGGGTCAGTATCCCTAAAAATAGTAGCTAGCATTTAGTAAGTGTTTACTATGAACTAGCATGATTCTAAACAGTTGAAGTATACTATCTCATTTAATCCTGACAACAGCCTCCTAGTATGTATTATCCTCATTCTACGGATGAAGGGCACTGGGCACAGAAAGGGTAAGTAACTTCTTCAAAGTTACACAGCTAGAAAGTGGCAGAGCGAGGGTTTACTCTCAGGCAGCCTGGATCCAGAGTCCTTATTCTTGAACAGTGTGCCATGCTGCCTCTCCCTGTTCCTTTAAGCGATCACCACAAGCACACTCCGTCTTACCATTCTAGGAGATATGCAGACAGACAGACAGTCCTACACCACTGCAGATTTACCATCCTTGCTGTAAGGATCATGGAGCATGGGTCCTCTACAAGAGATTCCAAAGTGAGTAACACATGGTTTCGACTTCTAGATGCTTGTGGTCTTGTTTAGGAGAACAACCAATAAATAAGCAGGTGCAAACCACCCAGTAGGGTTAGGATGGAAGCACGAGGTAGAAAGGGAGCACCCAAAACAGGGACACCCCACCCAAAATGCAGGTTCTGAAGGCTGATCAGAGGTTAGCCAGGATGTGAAAAGGAGAGGAGCAATGGGGGTAAGAGCTGAATTACCAGAAAGCAGGGCACGCTGGCAGAAATCATGATGTCATGCACTGGTCAGCAAAAACAAAAGAGAGCGCCAAATATTTAGTTCCCAAGCAGATTTTTAGGTCATGCTAGCATAACAAAAGCATCTAAGTAATTCTGGTGATCTGAGGTGGCCTGCACTATTTCTGAACAAACTGAAACCACTGAGTAACACTTTCTTAATATTTAACAGTTGAACTCTATTTTGTTCTTACCACTTGGCACTTATCTGGAATCTCCTATCTGAGAATATGTGAGATCACTACCAACATTAGTTCATCCTCCAAATAACTCATGAATGGAGTAAACTTAAATAAACAAACATCCATAATGTATTAAATTATAATAAGTATAGAAGAGAGAAATTAAACATCTTGACAAGGTCACCTGATGAGGTCAATATTCTTTTCAACCTCACCCAGGAAAATCTGTATAGCCTAGAAATTTACTTCTTACATTGTCTAGTGTCCATTCAACTTGACAACAAGAATGAGATAATTTGACTGAAAGTAGGTAGTTGTTCACATGCAAATCAATAAACGTAATCCATCACATAAACAGAACCAACGACAAAAACCACATGATTATCCCAATAGATGCAAAAAAGGCCTTCGACAAAATTCAACAGCCCTTCATGCTAAAAACTCTCAATAAACTACGTATTGATGGAACACATCTCAAAATAATAAGAGCTACTTATGACAAACCCACAGCCAATATCATACAGAATGGGCAAACCTGGAAGCATTCCCTTTGAAAACTGGCACAAGACAAGGATGCCCTCTCTCACCACTCCTATTCAACATAGTGTTGGAAGTTCTGGCCAGGGCAATCAGGCAAGAGAAAGAAATAAAGGGTATTCAATTAGGAAAAGAGGAAGTCAAATTGTCCCTGTTTGCAGATGACATGATTGTATATTCAGAAAACTCCATCGTCTTAGCCCCAAATCTCCTTAAGCTGATAAGCAACTTCAGCCAAGTTTCAGGATACAAAATCAATGTGCAAAAATCACAAGCATTCCTATACATCAATAACAGACAAACAGAGAGCCAAATCATGAGTGAACTCCCATTCACAATTGCTTCAAAGAGAATACAATATCTAGGAATCCAACTTACAAGGGATGTGAAGGACCTCTTCAAGGAGAACTACAAACCACTGCTCAACAAAATAAAAGAGGACATGAACAAATGGAAGAACACTCCATGCTCATGGATAGGAAGAATCAATATCGTGAAAATGGCCATACTGCCCAAGGTAATTTATAGATTCAGTGCCATCCCCATCAAGCTACCATTGACTTTCTTCACAATATTGGAAAAAACTACTCTAAAATTCATATGAAACCAAAAGAGAGCCCACATAGCCAAGACAATCCTAAGCAAAAAGAACAAAGCTGGAGGCATCACGCTACCTGACTTCAAACTATACTACAAGGCTACAGTAACCAAAACAGCAGGGTACTAATAACAAAACAGATATATAGACCAATGGAACAGAACAGAGGCCTCAGAAATAACACCACACATCTACAACCATCTGATCTTTAACAAACCTGACAAAAACAAGAAATGGGGAATGAATTCCCTATTTAATAAATGATGCTGGGAAAACTGGCTAGCCATATGTAAAAGCTGAAACTGGATCCCTTCCTTACACCTTATACAAAAATTAACTCAAGATGGATTAAAGAATTAAATGTAAGACATAAAACCATAAAAGCCCTAGAAGAAAACCTAGGCAATACCATTCAGGACATAGGCATGGGCAAAGACTTCCTGACTAAAACACCAAAAGCAATGGCAACAAAAGCCAAAATAGACAAATGAGATCTAATTAAACTAAAGAGCTTCTGCACAGCAAAAGAAACTGCCATCAGAGTGAACAAGCAACCTACAGAATGGGAGAAAATTTTTGCAATCTACCCATCTGACAAAGGGCTAATATCCAGAATCTACAATGAACTCAAACAAATTTACAAGAAAAAAACAACCCCATCAAAAAGTGGGCAAAGGATATGAACAGACACTTCTCAAAAGAAGACATTTATGCAGCCAACAGACACATGAAAAAATGCTCATCATCACTGCTCATCAGAGAAATGCAAATCAAAACCACAATGAGATACCATCCATGCCAGTTAGAATGGCGATCATTAAAAAGACAGGAAACAACAGATTCTGGGGAGGATGTGGAGAAATAGGAATGCTTTTACACTGTTGGTGGGAGTGTAAATTAGTTCAAACATTGTGGAAGACAGTGTAGCAATTCCTCAAGGATCTACAACTAGAAATAGCATTTGACTGAGTGATCCCATTACTGGGTATATACCCAAAGGATTATAAATCATGCTACTATAAAGACACATGCACATGTATGTTTATTGCGGCACTATTCACAATAGCAAAGAGTTGGAACAAACCCAAATGTCCATCAATGATGGACTGGATTAAGAAAATGTGGCACATATACACCATGGAATACTATGCAGCCATAAAAAAGGATGAGTTCATGTCCTTGGCAGGGATATGGATGAAGCTGGAAACCATCATTCTCAGCAAACTATCACAAGGACAGAAAACCAAACACCACATGTTCTCACTCATAGGTGGGAACTGAACAATGAGAACACATGGACACAAGGTGGGGAACATCACACACTGGGGCCTGTCAGGGGGTGGGGGGCTGGGGGAGGGATAGCATTAGGAGAAATACCTAATGTAAATGATGAGTTGATGGGTACAGCCAGCCAACATGGCACATGTATACCTATGTAACAAACCTGCATGTGGGGCACATGTACCCTAGAACTTAAATAATAATAATAAAAAAAGAAAGTAGGTAGTTGTTTATTTCTAACTACTAAATAGCCACAATGGTGAAAATATTTTATTATATAAAGCTTAAATCCTAAAGTAGAAACCAAATACATGCCAGGAATGAGAAGTGCGACATGATTTTGAAAAGTCTGGAAATAAGCCTAGAGGATGATAAGACCCCAACACAAAAATAGCTGGGCCAAAATATTAACGGTAAATGTCATATACAAAAAAAGAATAAGTCTAAGACAACAATTCTGTTCTACTTCCTCAACCAGAGCAATCAGTTAAGTCGTATAACTTTGCATGATTTGAAAAGAAGTTTCTTAATGTTGATCAATTCTTACTTGCAATGGTTTATCTAAGAAAACAAAGCTGGACATTCAGAAAGTTAGTGGTTTGGATAACAAAACAATGGTGGGAATAACGTAATTAAATTTCAACATCCTGGTATGGTGAATCATGCTAAGGAGTACCCATTACTAGAAGCTTGCAGGAGATTTTTTTTTTTTCAGATTTGTTAGTTTTTGTTTTAATAAAAAGGAGGAAGTTAGTTTGACACAGCCTAAAGGGAAAAGTTGAAAAACAGTTTTCAAGGCTCTGCAAGAGCTCATGCTGGAGTCATCAAACATAGTCATAGCTCGAATGAAAAAAAGCAAAACAAAAGGGAAAAATAGAGAAATAGCAGAACACGATGAAACTCTTTACAGATTGCAGTTCTGTCAAATGATTGTAGCTCGGAAGAAAAATCTTCCCAGATACGTGGTGGGAAAGGAAGGACTTTTAGAGGAACTAGCCACTGAACATAAAGTGCAATACTGCCTGCCATGTGCCTGCTGCAATCTTTACTCCAAGTCCATGCTAGAAGCCACTCATTTTTTCCTCATCAACAAAGCTCCTGTTGAGTTCCTTGCATATAGCAGGAATGTATAGGGAACTTGGTTCATGAGCTTAGTTGTGTTTTCCTAACTTGGGCAACCAAGATGTGCCTTATGTAGAGTTGTCCTGGAAATCTACAAAGAAGATCCAATTAACACGGCATACAAATCTGAAGGAAAAACAAGAGCAGCAGCAAAGCAAGAACAACAAAACCATGCTCTGAGGTCTAAACTCTTTTCCTTAGGGGTTGGGTATTGGAGAGCAAGTATTTGCTCACCAGAAATTTAAACTAGAACATGTGACAAGTCGCTGTCTCTCACTGCGCTTCCTAAGGGCCCAAACACACATGCTCCTGCAGGGAGAGATGGTATTTAGTGGCAGCTAGTTTTTGTAAGATTAATGTAAGATAATAATGGGAAGAAGAGAGCTTTCTTGCTCCATCCTCTGGGAGGCTCCCTCTATCCACTGAGACAACAATTTTCTTTGCTAATTCTGAAAGGACTAGGTCTACACATAAGAATTTCACTTCTAGGTACTGTGCTAGGGAAAGAAGATACAGTTGCATAGACGTTTTCTGACCTCAAGGAACTTAATTCTTATGCCAGCTGATTAAGACACCAAAGACATAGAACATTCCTATAGTGGCATCTTCCACATCCCAGCCTATCTAGGACTGGCCCTGCCACAAGCTTTGATTCTACAACGTATTCCTCTCTAAGTTCATGTACAAACAAAACCAGAAGCATCAATTATCAAATTCCAGCAAATGCTAGCCAGAGAAGTGCTATCCCTAGAATAAGCCAAAATAAAATATTGCTTTAAAGATGACATTTGAGAGCTAGGAAATCAGTTCATTTTGTGCTGATAGCCAATTTATAGCTTATTCATCTTCCCAGTTTTTATCCCCTCTACTAGAAGGTGTTGATAAACGGAAACCAAGTGAAGTCATATTAGTTAATTTATTAGTTTTTATACAAGTGTGTTTTGTTTAAATGAGGTCTGAGTTCTTGTGGGTGTCATGTCATTTTTATGCCCCTTTTCTATCATTGTGGGTAATTAGAATCTGATGGTATCTACAATTCTCAGGCCTTGATAATTCCTTGATCCAACTGGATTTTGTTGAAATCATGGAGGACCTTTCTTTGTGAAAGGCACTGCAGGGAAAACAGAGATGAAGGAGAGAAAGTCCTAATCTCAAGAAGTCAACTCATTCTCAATATCAGGTTTTTTATAGTCTATATTTTCTATAGACCTTGATGCAAAGGGCCTGTTATTTGTAAATATTACCAATGGATAAGCACTGCTGTTTTTCATGACCCCTGGTTCTTGTGCTTTTAATTACATTAGGTAAATTGGTGAATTGTAGGTGTTATATTTTTAAGCCACTGCAGAAAAGAGCTAATAAAGGCATCTATAAAGATAAGCCACATCTTACATACTATACAGAATTAAAAAGCAATCTTAATAATAATTAATATAACACAATAAGAGCTAATACAAGGTGTTTGCTCTGTGCCAATCACATCTATCTCTCTCTCTCTCTCTCTCTCTCTCCTCTCTTAACTCTCACAGCAATTCTGTGAGAGGTATGCTATTATTATCTTTGTTTTACAGATGAGAATACAGACAGAGAGAGAGAGAGAGAGAGAGAGAGAGAGAGAGAGAGAGTGGGTAGGCAGAGACAGAAAGAGAAATTCCAAGAAGCTAATGAGAATGGAATAGCCAATGTAGCACCAAGAGGTTGAAAAAGAGGAAAGCCTCTCATAGCACCTAATTACTGAACTGAGTTTAATCAAAATCTGAAAAGAGAATAAGAAATTCCAATGGCACTACACTGAATTAGGTGACTGAGCTATAGTAAGGACAGAAAACAGTCACGCAAAGATAGGTTTAAGTTATTGTTTGTACACAAATTAGCCTTGACCATTTGAGGAAAGAGTCCAATGATTTTTAAGATATAGACAAAGATATCCTTAATAATTGTCAGGAAAATAAAACCAGTAATATAGAAAAGATAATGCGGAAGAGTGAGAAATGTGTTTAATAAAATAAACCATGAGAAGTACAGGTTTGCTGCATATTTATGATATCAAACCCTAAAATAAAAATGTATCATTTAAATACAATATTTCTTTTAAATATCATTAAAATATTTCTAAGCTTCAGAAATACAGCCTTGGTTTTTATTTCAATGTTTCCTGCCATGTACATCTGTGCAAATCTCATTTGAAAGATAAGTAGGAGAAAATTAATAAATTAGGACATGTTTTTGTATTATAGGCAGGGGATAAAAAAGTTATATTGAGGTCTAAAACCCATTTAATAAAATTTGTTTTTCTTTCCCATTTAATAACATTTCTGAATAAAAACTATTTTTAAATGTATAGAAAAGGCTGGGCATGGTGGCTTATGCCTGTAATCCCAGTGCTTTGGGAGGCTGAGGGAGGAGGATCATTGAAGATCAGGAGCTGGAGACAACTCTGGGCAACATAGCAAGACCTGTCTCCGTTAAAAAATGTAAAAATTATCCGGGGCCGGGCGCAGTGGCTCACACCTGTAATCCCAGCACTTCGGGAGGCTGAGGCGGGTGGATCACCTGAGGTCAGGAGTTCGAGACCAGCCTGGCCAAAATGGTGAAGCCCTGTCCCTACTAAAAATACAAAAAAATTAGCTGGGCATGGTGGTGCGTGCCTGTAATCCCAGCTACTAAGGAGGCTGAGGCAAGAGAATCACTTGACCCTGGGAGATGGAGGTTGCAGTGAGTCGAGATCGCACCACTGCACTCCAGCTTGGGCAACAAGAGCGAAAACTCCATCTCAAAAAAAAAAAAAAAATTATCTGGTTGTGGTGGCACATATATGTCCCAGCTACTCGGGGGGCTGAGGTGGGAGGATCACTTGAGTGCAGAAGCGCAAGGCTGCAGTCAACTAAGATCACACCACCACACTCCAGCCTGAGTGACAGAAAGAGGCCCTAACTCTTAAAAAAAAAAAAAAAAAGGACGAAAGAAACCTCTTGATGAACAGTACATGTAGCATATTGTCACAAAAATTACAAAATAGTGGAATATTAGAAATCATGCTTTTTAAGAGCCAGTGTTCTGAAGTTCAACTGCCTGGTTTGAATCCCAGTTCAATCAGCCTACTAGTTTGGTCCAAGTTCCCTTGAACACATCACTTGGCCTCTTTCCTCAATTTAAAAAAAGAGTACCAAGAGGACCTACTTTATAAGGTTGTTTGTAAGAATAAAATAAAATAACACAATAAAATAATATTTGCAGTGCTCTGCTTGGCTCCTGGTGGGGACTCAACATGCGCTAGCTATTATTTTCATTTTATTTCATGATATAAGCATTTACTGTTTATGCGTAAGGTACACTTAAGCCAGAACTAGAAAATCAATTTCCTGAAGATTCCTAAAACCACCAGAAAAAAAGTAAAGCCCAGCTGACCAGCTATTTCAGTAATATACTTCTTAAAAATTCTATAAAATTTGACCTGAAGTCTAAAATAAAATTACCAGCCTCATTGATAGCAATACACACACACGTACGTGAGGCTTCCTAAAGAGGGATGTAGATACATTCTTAGGTAAGACAAAATATTTAATATATTAATTCTGATTTGGTATCCCTGGGGTTTTCCCAATCCAAAGAAATAAGCCTAGGGAAACTATAAAAAGCAACAGCCCATAGTTTAAAAACAACACCAACAAGCAAACTGATCTGTTAATTCCAAAGCATTCATCTGCAAGACTGACCAGCCACATTTGGGTAAAGGTGCCGTGCTCCTACAGCATTTTTCAAAAACCTTGCATCGTATACAGTTTCTTTATAAAGGTTTATTAGGAGGAGCTTGTTAAGACAGTAGTTAATACAGCAAATTTAAAAGACCCAGAAACTAGCATCTGGCAAATATCATTTTGAGTGGGCAACAATCAAGGCAAGGTTTTAATTTTCTATTCGCACACCGCATCATTCTTTCCTCTCCGTCTGACACCTTTCACGTTTCCTCTACTTGACCTCAGTTTCATGATGTACAGCAAACGATGAAGTTTATAGTTCTAAATTTGATGCCTTGAACTGTTTCGAGACAAGACACTGCAACACTAGCAAACTAATTAAATGCATATTTTGCGTATGTGGCATATGACACATTTAATCTTGAATGATGTCATCAGTTACCATTTATCAGTATGTCTTACTTTCAAAAGTCATATAGGAAATTCATGTCTCTTGGTTGAGAATATTAATTTATATACACTTCCTGTGAGCTGGAAACAGACTGAGAAGAGTACTTACTTTTGCTCAACAAAGAGAGGATCAAAGAATTCCGTTGTGATTTTGTTTGCATATAGGGAACATCCAGTCATTGAGCACAGCCCTAACAAATATTAGAGGGAAAGCACTATGGTTAGTGTGATTTCATTAACATCATCAAGTACCTTGTTTGGAAGAAAGTTACTATTTACCTGACAGTATGAATACAATCCCAGCCAAACAAGCAATTTTAGCTTTGGCTTTATCGGAGCCTCCGACTTTGGTACACTTCATTCCAAAGAGCGCAAATATGGAACCAAAGAAGCCCAGGCTGACAGCAGCGATCATAAGTCCTCTACATGCCTGTATATAACCTGCAATTAGAGTAGGTCATTTACGTTACATAAAGCATGTGGCTGTCCAGGGAGAAATCCTCATTTTACGTTGTCATTCTGGATGTTTGTTTTCCAAAAAGATAACTGTGATGGTGAAAACATGTGGCAAGACAAGCAAGAAAGGAAAGCAAGTTAATCTACAGGGAGTGCCTATTCTAGGTCACACACTGTGAAGTGCGGTTTATGGGGAATCCTCAGGATAGATCTGAGTGTTATTTCCATATTCACCAGTGAGGAAACTGAGGCACACAAAGGTTATGTGACTTACCAGAGGTGAGTTAGAAAGTGGCAGACATGGATTCCATCCCAAATCAGACTACGAATTCCATATAGTGAAATTCCACAGTGAAAGGTGCCTTTCACTGTGAAAAAACATCATCTGCCACCATCACAACTCTGTAGCTCCTCCGCTCATTGGACTTTAAAAGGGTGTTTTAATGGTTTTGACATTATCAAATGATAAGATTTATAACTGGGTGGCAGAAAGAGATCCAAAGGGTCAAACCTTCCAATATTAGTGGACGCTTATTAATAGCAGACTAACTGGAATATCATCATGAACCATGGGGGGTCTAAGGGAATACTTTAGTGAAGTACTATTGTTTTCAGGGTGTATATAATAAAACTGGGTTTTAAAAAGCACTATTTTGTAGAAGAGTAATTTATAGTGATTAAGTCAACTGTTCTTTTATAAATGAATGCCTTTAAAGTACCCTAACGAGTATGTTCTGTCAGTTCGTTTGTTCATCCTTCCTGTGCTATTCATGTTCTTAGTCATGTATTTTTATTTGCACAGCCAGGGTACACGGTAAACTTCAGTGTGGCTTTTGTCCAGGTTTTTACATTAACAGGGTTTAAACTAATAAGCTTTTACCACATAAGCCATTTTCATTTCAGCCTGAAACAATGCCATATTTCGATCTAAAATAGTGATAGTAGCACATACCGGGTGTAAGTAAGTATCTGCTAAGCAAATAAACATATATACCTACATCAGGTTTACGTTTGGAATTAAACTTTTTAACTGGAAAAAACCTCTTATGTGTCAATATATGATAAGTCATTTATTATTGGTGTTCAAGCAGAGCCATGATAAATAATAATTCCGAGACCATGATAATCATGAATTTAGGGAGTACATACTAGTGGCCTCCAGTTCAGTTTCTTTTTTTCTTTTCTTTTTTTAACACAGGATCTCACTTTTGCCACCCAGGCTGGAGGGAAGTGGCATAATCATAGCTCACTGCAGCCTCAAATTCCTGGGTTCAAGAGATCCTCCTGCCTTAGCCTTCTGAGTAGCTGAAACCATAGGCGCTTGCCCCCACCTATGGCTAATTTTTAAATTTTTATAGAGACAGTGTCTCGCTGTAATGCCCAGATTAGTCTCGAATTCCTGGCCTCAAGCGATCCTCTTGCCTTGGCCTCCCAAAATGCTGGGCTTAAAGGCATGAGCCACTGCACCTGGCCCCAGTCTGTGTTTCTTTGGAAAAGAATGAAATTGAAGTTTTAATCCTATTCCTTGGACCCATTTTTGAAGAGCAAACAGGAGCTGCTCTACTTAATTGTAAACACTTTAGACTCCCACAAATGCAGACTGCAAGGACAGTGACCTTCCATTGTGTAGTGTGAAATATTTCCATACAGAAAACAATTTCACTAACACCGTGGCTATCAAAAACAGCAAAACAAACTTATTTTTAGCAAAACAGGATAATGAAGGCTTCTTTCATAGCAATCATTGTGCTGCAGGGCTATCTGGGTCTCCGCTGCCAAATGCTGAACCAGCTGTATTTTAAACTTCAGTCCTCGAGCTCCCCAGCCAGAGCCCAGACAGCAGGTAGAGGCAAGACAGAGAGGGGAAGCCTGTCAGTCCCTTGCAAGTTTGAAGAGAGCCTGTGAGGATAACCCAAACTGGTTCATCACTTGCCACCAGGGCTACTCGGACAGTGTGGTTTCGCTCTTTTTGTGAAATTCATTTTAATCTATGGTTTTGAGGTTTTATAGCTGACTCTGACTGCAGTCATTAAATAAACAAAAAAATGGGGGACTCATCCATTTATATATACTCCCAGAAAACATTAGCATGTACCCTAATTTGCATTGCCTTTAGTTACTTCCATGCTTTGTTAACAGAAAGTGCAAGTTGTCGGGAATTTACCAAAGGTTAAATTCTACAATCTGGTCATTTAGAACGCGGAATGCATTTCCCAGATGATAAACAGTGGGTAGAATCCCAGGCCAACCCATTCGATTCTTAATACAACAGGGAAAATAACAGTAGTCTTTGAACTTTATGTAATCACCACTGATAACATTTTTCCCGAGTTTCTCACTCTGAGATGCCCCGTCCCAGCCCTGGTATTGGCAGCAGGACCCACTTTGGTCTCTTGACACAAGCATGAGAGGAGAAGTGGGCAGGGCAGATTCTGATCTGGTCAGGTCCTTCTTTTGTGCCAACCAGAACCCGGATTTGGAAAATGAGGTACCTTTCTCCAGCATGAACAGCAGCCATAACTTGTTAATTTTGCGCATGCACAAAGAAGGCAATTTACAAGGACGATCATTGGCCAGATTTTCTGAAATGGAGAGCAAAGAGCAGGGGATAAACTCCCCTGCCAGCCATAAATGTAATGGAGTTGCTCGTAAGCCTGAGATTTGTAAATTCTCAGTGTTCTAAGGCTACCAGTCCTTACAACACCCACAGATTGGAGCCAAGATGATTCCAACAAACCCTTTCAGAGTTCATCTTTTGCAAAGCAGACCTCTACAGCCTTGCTTTCTAACAGTTCCTGAGGGCAAAACTTACAAGTAACACCACCAGGAGAAGTGTTAGTAAAAACCTAGTCAAGGAGGCCATTATTTTTGACAGGTCTAATTTACTGACACTGTTAATAGCTAATTAACACATTAAGGTGCTGAGGCATGAACATATTTATTTAGAAGTTCTCTGAAGTATAATTTATAGTTAGTTCTCCTGGGAGAAATGGCAAGCATTCCCACTAGCAAAAATAGATGGCATACACTAAAAACAAGCTGGCTGAAAATCATACTCAGCTGAAGTTCAAGTGGTACTTTGAAAGGAGTATGGGTTAACAATAAACAGAAATCACAAGCTCATTCAGCTGTGAAATTTTCAAATAGTAAAATACAGTGACTTTAAATTAATGAACTCTGTTGGAGGAAAGCTTCAAGGTGTTCCTTAAAAGTTAAGTGTTTTCCAAATTATGTGTACTTTATTTTCAATTGCAAATCAGCAAAAAACGAAAACATCCACTTGGTGGAGACAATTCGCTAATAGCACCTGTGCTAGTTGATGGATTTAGGGGGGAAAAAAGAATGTGCTTTTCTTTTCCTGGTAGCTTTGTGTA
Source organism: Homo sapiens (assembly GCF_000001405.40). Taxonomy (NCBI): domain Eukaryota; kingdom Metazoa; phylum Chordata; class Mammalia; order Primates; family Hominidae; genus Homo; species Homo sapiens. The sequence goes on along the minus strand of NC_000013.11, from coordinate 95,556,742 downwards.
CTTCTGCAAATCCTTTGAGAGAACAGTGGTATGGGGAGGGCAGGAACTCTGAGTTTCACCTCTGGTGCTTCTATTTACCCAAGGTATGTACTTGGTTATAGGACCTAATCTCTTTGAGGCTCAGTTCTCTCATCTGTAAAACAGGGATGGCAGCACCTCCTTCACAGGATGAATAATATGGATGTCTGCTGAGCAGTAAGAAAGTCATCAAAGCATCCCGTCATATTATAATACTACAATGGATTCTAAGCAGAAATTAGAGCTGGGTTCTTAATATGGCATAACGTTAAATCTAGACATATAGCTTTGCTAGGCCTCATTTTTCTTATAAGGAAAACAAGTGGCAATGATACCCCTAGGGGAGGGGAATCAGAGATTTCTTTATATAAGAAATTTAGGGCTGGGCGCATGGCTCATGCCTGTAATCCCAGCACTTTGAGAGGCAGAGGCGGGCAGATCACTTGAGGTCAGGAGTTCAAGACCAGCCTGGCCAACATGGTGAAACCCTGTCTCTACTAAAAATACAAAAATCAGCCAGGTGTGGCAGTGGGTGCCTGTAATCCCAGCTACTCAGGAGGCTGAGGCAGGAGAATTGCTTGAACCCGGGAGGTGGAAGTTGCAGTGAGCAGAGATCATGCCATGGCACTCTGTCCTGGGGGACAGAGTGAAACTTTGTCTCAAAAAAAAAAAGAAAAGAAATTCAGAATAATGACCTCGTCGTTTGACTCCAAGAGTTCTTCTACCTAACACAAGATAGGCAAGAGTCACGAGCCTTCTCTCTCCCTTCCTGGATTCTCTTCCCAATCTAGAGCTCATACCTGGGTTTAAGGGGAGGGCTGTTCCACTCAGGCCACCATGGCCACTTTCTCCAAAGGCAATGTCAGGACCAGCACCCACCAGATGTGGCTGACCTGGGAATGCAAGGTAGAGGACAAACAGAGGGCCCCTACCCTGGAAGCTTCCACTTGCAGGTGGGGGAATCAACTCCCCTCCACAGGAAAACACAGTTGCATGATTTAACCCTCCAAGATGTTATTCTGAGAGATACAGAAAAGTAAGTTTGTTTTGCGGTAAGAAATGCCATCTTAAGCCACAGAAGGAAAGTCATCAAAAAAACAGGCTGATAAATATGATTCTATTACAAATTTCAAAGTCCTGTGTGAGAAAAGGCATCATAAATTTAAAAGATGAACAATGGTGTGAGATTGCAACCTACATAACAAATCAAGGACTGACAAATCATCGAAACCACAAAGAAACAACAGAACCATGGGCCTAAGATATGGATGCCAATTCACAAAAGAGAAAAAAAAACGGTCAGTGAGTTTTGACCATTTTTATAACCAGTGATTTTGACCACGGCAATAAGGGAAATGCCAACTAAAATGATAAGATGGCTGGGCGCGGTGGCGCACACCTGTAATCCCGGCACTTTGGGAGGCCGAGGAGGGTGGATGACCTGAGTTCAGGAGTTCGCGATCAGCCTAACATGGTGAAACCCTGTCTCTACTAAATGCAAAAAAAATTAGCCGGGCATGGTGGCACATGCCTGTAATCCCAGCTACTTGGGAGGCTGAGACAGGAGAATCACTTGTACCTGGGAGGCGGAGGTTGCAGTCGGCTGAGATTGTGCCACTGCACTCCAGCCTAGGCAACAAGAGCAAAACTCCGTCTCAAAAAAAAAAAAAAAAAAAACTGGATTAACACAGAGTGGTGAGAATGTGGAGAAGCAGGTATTCTCATACACTGTCAGTGGAAAGTAATTTGACAGTATGAACTGAATATTAAAATGCACGTGTATTCTACTGCTCTTACGATACCATTTCTCAGTGGAATGGAGTCTACAGAAATACACACACATACAAAGAGGTGAATATAAGATTTTCAGTAAAGCACCACCAACAAAGAAAAGCTGGAAAAGGTCCAATGTCCACAATGGATCTATGGTTAACTAAGCCATTTTATGCAGTCTAATGAATATACCATGCAGCAGTTACACAGAGTCAAGTCACTTCTATTAAGTACTGACTTGGAAAAATACATTGATTTTAAAGTGTTGTACAACAGTAGGTAGTGTCATGCCATTTATGTTTTTAAAAGTCATTTTTTAGTCACATGAGCACACAGGAAGGCCATTTTGCAAGCTGGATGGCATAAAAATGTCACTCCTCTCTGTTCTCCTCCCAGCTAACCAGGACAACTATTCCTACTTCCTCTTCACTCCCGGCCCGATCTGCCCCCAAACAGGTATGGTACCACCTCCACTCTCACTGCAGACATGTAGGAGAAAACTTTATTATTCTGCACTTAATAATATTCATAGAGCATTCATTTCCTTCTCTCCCTTGTCCCCCAACTGTCCTACAGAAGGAAGCGTACCTATCTGGCACACTATCTCAGAGAACAATAGAGTTACAACAGAAGAGTGTTCAGAGGACAGTAACACATTGCTGACTATAAATCACAGGAACAAGAGAATGCCTGTTCATCTACCTGGATGCGTGCTCTACAAACCACAGGAAATTCAACGGTAATGCTGGGGAATAAACACTGTTCCGGCTGCTTATTTTACCGAACAGGACACGGACCCGGGCGCCACCCTTCTAAAACTAGATGCGTATTCCTTATACGGAGGTTCCATCAAATACCACGTTGAGCAACAGTTTGCTCTTCGTGGCAAACCCCATCTTAGAGGAATCAACTATTTTCTTTCATTTACCCAGCTATGTAAACAAAACCTGCAAGTGCGGTAATAAAAGAAAAAAACACCTCAAATCTAGAAATATGTAATGTAAATAACTCCTCTTAAGTTTCTGCCAGGATTCGTTTGCTGTAAAATCCTGGAAGCAACGGGCCTAGAACTTGAGCAATCAATGGGACCGGGCTGACATCGGCTGTTGTCTTGAAACTCAACAGAGCCAGAGTTCTGTGTGAATATCCACCAGCTGCTACCAGCATAAGGCCTGACTAACCAGAGCAACGCAGGTGAACCTCCACAAAGGAACAACCCAGGACAGCAGCAGGCACCGGGGACTCGGATGCAGAACTGGTCAGCTCCCGGCGCCACGCTCTCACGGCCCAAGATTCCCTACCCTCTGCGGACTCATCGCGGCACCGCAAGGGCTATTATTTTCCTAAAACTCGGAGGAAGTGTTTGTAGTGTTGCCTAGGCAGACAAGTTTGTAGAAGCTCTTTAAAGGGAAACAATAACAACAACAAATTCTGCAATATGTTTTCCCGCTTCCAACCTCTCAACCCCCACCCCCGCCTACTTTTAAAAGAACCAACGAAATGGCTCAAGGGAGGTCAGGACAAACGGATTTGGCTTGCAATGACACCATTTTTATCAGAACCCAGCCTTCGGGGAACGTAGGGGAGGGAGGTGGAGGAGACAAGCCCCTGCAGCATGAACTCTGGGTCCCAGCGGTCCCCAAGATATGGGGGGTGGGGGAGGGCAGCCGCTTCCTTGACTCTCAGGACCGCAAAGCTTCCCCATCCCCCGACGCCTGGGAGTCACCAACCCGGGCCTGTCTGCGTGTCCCCCCTCCCGGGGTCCCAGGCTCGAACAGGCGCCCCGCGAGACAGCCATCAGGAGAGGGCGGGCACCAGGAGCGTCCCTGGCTCCCTAAGGCCCTGTTGGGAGAGACGGGTCGGGCCTCAGAGGAGTCCAGTCTAGGGGTCCCGCTGGGGGTATTGGGGGCGAGAGGGCGCCTAGCGGGCTGGCCATCAAGGAAGGAGGGCTGAGGGCGGGGGCCGCGGGGATGCAGACCGTCCAGCGCCAGCATGGAGGGGAAGTCCTTGCAGTTGGAGACGCCCGTGGAGTCGGTAACGCACGCCTTCCACAGGTTGGCCCAATAGGTGGCGGTTGTGATGACCGTGCCGTCGATGGTAGACACCTTCCAGTAGTCGGTGGGCAGCGTGGAGGACACCAGTACCCAGCCTGAGATGGAGACCATGAAGGCGATGATCTCCGAAGCCGTGCTAGCCATGCCGCCGGCTGCAGCCGCGCTCGCTCTCCGGCTCCCACTCTGCGCCGCGACCCCCGCACTCCCAACCCCGGGGCTCCGCCTCCCGCCTCCGCCTCCGCCCACCGTCCCCGCCCACCACCCCGCCCAGCGGACCCGGCGCCAGGGGGCGCACGCGACCCCTCACACCCATGCCCTGTCCCTTGAGGGGCCTCAGAGGGCTCGCGGTCGCCCCCCGGGTTCTCCATCTGCAGCTGGCCCGCGCCCGCGTGCGGGAGGAAGGCCGGCCTGCGCTCCCCTGAGCCAAAGGGCCGCGGAGAAGGGCTCGCTTGTTGGAGCGGCTCAGGTTCAGACTGGCAACCGGGTGTGGACAACCTGCTGCGCCCCCACCTCACCACCCCCACCCAGCCCTACCCAAGGCAAATAGCTTGGCTTCCTGACTACCTTGTAGAAGCAGAGCAGGAAAAGCCTTTTGCATGCCCTGAAAGGACACGGTTTGGTAACTCAGCCCTCGGTTTGCTGAACTCTAAAGGTTTGCGTGCCACGCTTGTTTGGGTGACTCTGTTTGACTTGTCAAGGAGGGATCATTGCAGATTCTGGGCTGGAAACCGGCCTTGCCCTCAAAACTCTGCAGTTCTTTTTGGCCTGGTGCTATGCGGAAAGTCATGGCAAAACGGTGCGTGGCACAGGCCTAAAGTCAAGATAGCAGCAGATGGGGCATCCTGACGATCTTGATCTTGCTGGTGTACTCATACTAATGCACTACGCAGAGGGCATTTGTTCAACACATTTTCCCTGTAGGTCCCTTCCAGCTTCCAGGTCTAGAGGCTATTCTATGAAAGGATGCTGTTATCCCAGTCAAAACTGCTATCTTGTCTTTTATTTTTTTTTAAACCACCTCCATCTCTCACGCCTAATTGAAATATAAACTCATTCATTCCTTCATCCCTTCATTGCTGTCTCAAGGTAAACATAAAGATCAAGGTGTACTTCTGGCTCCTGAGGCCACAAATCTGGGCATAAATGAGAGAACAAGGACACGGGTTATTATTTGTCCACTTAAAGGTTCTTGCAGTTTTGTTATGAGCTTCCAGGTTTCACTTGTTGCCAAAAGTAAGGAAAGGTCTAAAACCTATCAATCAGTCTGCTGTGATAAATCTCGTGCTAACCCTCTGTGTCACTATCTTTAGGCAGAAACACTCTGGTTCAATGTGAAGAATTTCTTAATTTCCCTTTGTCACTTTTTTTTTTTAACCAAATGGGTGCCCAGTGAAATTAGAGGCGACAAGGTGACTGGAGAAGAGAGGAAGCTGGACATAGAATCATCAAAACTTAGATTGGAAGAATCACTGTAGACCAGCAGGACACGCTCCACACTCAAAACAATGTTCCTGTCTATTTCTAGAGATAATGTTTAGCCCATGCTCCACCCTTCAGGACCAGCAGTTCAGTGCATGGCAACGTATCTATTCTGTTTTTCTTCATGTTGTTTTGACAGCCCTTTAAAAAAGCTTTTCTTCCTATTGAGCCCCAAATCTGTCTCTCTTCAATGTCTACCCGAATGTTGTAATCTGTGCTCTGAGAACACGAAGTAAGTCCTACTCTTGTTGCAGCCGTGCAGCGGCTGGCAGGTAGTGGGCTTCTCTGTGCTTAATGGTCCCATGGCTTTCGTGAATGGGTACAAGGGTGACAATGCAGACATGGTTACCCTACTGTTCTGCTCTGAACCCCAGCTTGTCCTGATGTATCATGTTAGGTTCACTGGTAAACTAAACTTAAAAACTGAGTTTAAGAAGTATCTCCCTGGCTGGGCGCAGTGGCTCACACCTGTAATCCCAGCACTTTGGGAGGCCGAGGCGGGCGGATCATGAAGTCAGGAGATCGAGACTATCCTGGCTAACACGGTGAAATCCCGTCTCTACTAAAAATACAAAAAAAAAAAAAAAAAAAAAAAAAAGTATCTTCCTAACCTCTTCCTTCTCATTCTCCTTGCTATGCAAATCAGTCACCTTTGAGCAATGACTACAAAGCATCCTCTATTCTTTTGTATGGCTTGCCTTTTTAAAGTGTTTTATCATCTGTTTTTTTGCCCTCCAGCATATTTCCACTATTATTTCTATGCCATATTCCTTCCTGAATAATCTGCCTATTTCTGATCCAATTACTATTTGAAAAACACAAAACCCACTAACCATAACATTTCTTACTGATTTTTCTAAAATTACAAATTACACAAATTTAATACTTTATTTCCTGGCCTTGTTCGATAGTCCCTTTGTTTACCGTGGCTCGCCTATGGTAGATACTCACTAAATTGATTATTTCTTTGTTTTTACTAGACAAAACCCTGACTTACTTTTGCCACAAAACAAGTGTAGTGCTGTGACCTTTAAGACTCAAGCACTTCCTAATTTATCACCTAGTTGCTATGAAGTCCACTGTTTGGATCCAAAGGCACATTGTTTGTTTTAAAGAAAGAACTTTGAAGAATGGTTTGGTGTTTTAAACCAGTCTGCAAAGTTTATTTAACACATAATGTAGCTCTACCCATTATACTTCAAAAATCCATAAGCCCAGATTACCGTTGCAACATAGCATCCGGAAGAAACAAATTCTGAATTCCTGCTTGGAACACTCTTCTCTCTGCCGCATCGCCACACCAGTGAAGCCAGAATCTCTGGGGGTGGCCTTGGTAGCAGTATTTCCAAAACTTCTAATGTGGACTCAGGCTGAGAACCACAGCTCTGACCAGTTGAGCTCTGTGTATGTGTGTATAAACAGTTAATTTAGCATAACGGATGGTGGTATGCATCACAGGAAGAAAGAATATTAAACTCATTGTTGAATACTTTGAAAAAAGAAATATTCTATTACTGTAGAGATTGCAACACACAATTTCAACTTAAAAGGGATGGGAAACACCACAAACAATCCATAAATTAAAACTTAAATGGCAGCATTATTAGTTCCTTTGGCAGCTAAAACAGACTAGGGTCGTCATGCCTGTGGACTTGGTTAATTTTCCTTTCTCCTTTCTATGAGGTTGGACAACCCTAAACTCTTTTCTTTATCTTCCCTAGGATGTACTACATAGTTACTGTGGAAAGCTGTATGTTGGAGGCCATGAGTTCCTGACCAAAGAATGAAAAATGTTAACTTTCTTTAATACCTAGATAATATTATGTAATGAATCAAACATTTTTATTTTAGAATGTCTTATATCTTATGCTTCTCAAGCTAGTTTTGTCAGGAGAATTCTAAAGATATTATGGAGTAGCATATAATCTAAAAAAAGAATGTCCAGAAAATAAAAATGGACCAAATAGAGATTTTTGAAAAGAAGTAATGGATAAATGTCTTGTTTTGCTTTAAGATTATACAGTTCCCAAATAACCTTTGCAGTTAATCTGCAAGCCGATTTACAGAGTACTTTCGACTGATAAATGCTTCCTTATTTTCTTTAGGATTCAGTTCACTGAAATTTCATAAGAGACTATTCTTAATTTAAATATAAAAGTGAATACATCAAAAAAGGTTGCCTCCTCTAAATTATTCAAAGTAACATCTTAGTTAACAATAGTTTAGTCTTTACAAAAAGCTATAGATCTTTTCCAATATGAAAACTACTAACTGATCTATAAATTTGACCCGAAGACATACAATGCCCTCAAACATATTCTGAGCCTTTCTACTTTTGAGGTCTAAGTCACTGGAATTAGCATTGAAAATTATTTCTTTGGCTTATTATGGTTATTAAAGAGAAATAGAGGATCCCCCCCACCCTGGGGTTGTTCAATAGGAGTGAAAACCAGTTTAGCCAACTAAACAGGAGATTTGCAGAAATTCCTTACTTGAGATTCAGTACACCTACCAAGCAACGCAGGTGTGCCTTTCAATAGCTCAAGGATTTTCTAAGCATCAGATTTGGTTTCAGTATACATTAGCTCCTTCCTAGATTCCAGTGAGGTGGCGTGCTGCTAATCAGGTGGGAAGAAACTGAATTCCTGATGATACGGTATTAACTAAAAAAAACAACTGCCCAGGAGCCAAGTATTGTTACATCACATTAAAGAAGACATTAATGCCGGTACCAAGATATTAAAAGAGCATATCTGTGTTCTTTTTCCTTCCATTTTCCCTAACATTTCATTTATCTTAATGCTTATGCAAATCCAATGATATTTGTAATCTACTTAGCATGAAAGCTACAGAGTGATAGGAATAGTTACAGAATGAACAGTTATTCTCACCATTGCATCACCATTCATATATAAATATATATCTATAATTTTTTTTGCAAATTATAACTATAAAAACAGTTGCCTTATTCTGTCATTTGGCAACCTGTGAAGTTGTACTCCATCAGAATATTTCTATGGGCCTATTACAAGTCAGTGCCATATACCTTGTGGATTTGTTTTTCATGCATTCATTTGAAACACACTCATTCCCAATTCTAAATTATCTTAGTAGACTCCTCTTGAGCCCCTGAAGGGGAGGGGTAAGGTTTGGGCCCCAGCAGGAATACCCTTCGAGCCTGGAATTACTCTCACTCTGTGATGCTAGAACATTCCAGGGCTTGTAGACAGGTTGGGTACATTTTGTTTGTCCATAAGCACTTGATGAATATCAATATAACCTCCCACCCAGGTCGGGGCAGTATGTTAATTTATATGTTTTGGGCAAGTGATTTTATGTCTCTGAGTTACAGCTCCCTCATTTGTAAAACAGAGGAGTTATTCTGGATATCTTCCGAGACCACTTTCAACTCCAAAAACCCCTGAGTCTAGGATTCCTAATGAACTTAGTCATTCACAGATAACATCAAGGAGAGGAGAGTAGCAGTTTTCCTTTGGTGTCTTTACTGTTTTATTCCCACTTTCTGCCTCCCTCCTTTGTTAAATTTAAAGGTGGCGTCTGTATAGATGTGTATGTGAGAGGCAGTGCATGGAGAAAATCTAAAATCTCTACATGTAGACTTATTGTCACTTATTCCTTCTGTTTAGGAGAAATGTGATAAGGCATGGTACTTTCATTCACTTAAGAGTCAGGGAGATATAGCGGACAGAGGGTAGATGATGTAATCAGAAAGATGTGAGATAAAATTCTACCTCTGAATGACCTTGGACAGGTCACCTAATCTCACTCAGCATCACTTCTTCAAGTATAACGTGGGACTAAATGACAGCTTCTTTCAAAGGCGTTGTGAAGAATAGAGACAATGTATATGAAGGACAGGAATGTAGTGGATGCTTAGTAAATAATGAATATTATTCAGTTCATTCATGCCTCTCATTTCCTTGTGTCTCTTTAAAGAGATACAATTACATTTTTTCATAAAAATGGTATTAATCGGTTAGGCTAACAGCAGTAAGTGAATAAGGCTGAAGTGTATTGCAAATCTCAAAGTAGGAAAGCAGAAAGTGTGGAGTCGAATGCCAACATGGAAGGGGCTGGTGCCCAGAGTGAGGGCAGAGGGAGGGAAACCAGGAAGTCAGAGCAGAGGATAGTCCCGGGGAGCAAAAGTGGTTGGGAGTGAGGCGCTTGCAAAGGAAAGTGAGAAATAAAACTGGAGGACAGTTAAATTTAAAAGGGTGAACAGCTGGGTGCCTGTAATCTCTCCCAGCCCCTCCAGAGGCTGAGGCAGCAAGATCACTTGAGCCTAGGAGTTCCAGACCAGCCTGAGTAACATAGGGAGAGTCCCCATCTCTTAAAAAAAAAAAAAAAAAAAGTTAGCCAGCCGCCTGTAGTCCCAGCTCTTTGGGAGCATGAGCTAGGAGTTCAAGACCAGCCTGCCTGTCTCTAAAAAAGTAAAAATAAATGAAAGAAGTGACCAATGATAAGGCAGAGAGAGTAAGGGGAACAGAAACTGCAAAGAGAAAAGCAAGGGGCAAGAAATAAAGATAAAGAAGAGAAGAAGTGGGAAATCAAGGGGAGACAGCACTGGGACGAGAAGCTGAGCAGAGGACACTGAGGACAGGGTGAATGATTTCCATAGCCCTCAGTTTTCTCAATGACTAGGTGTAAGGAGTGGGAAGCAATACAGTCTAGTGTCTGTTACCAAATGCAGATACTTGCTCCTCTCTCTAGTCCTCACAATACAGCAGGTGCAAAGTTTATTCCAAACTACTCAGAAGTCCCAAGTTACCACGTGGCTCACATTGTGGGGAAAATCAGAGGAAGTTTAAAATGAATTATTTCAGGGTTAAAAATGCATGTTCTTACAAAAACATACCTATAAGCTAGTGCTTCATTTTGAGAGTTTTTTTTCTTCAAAATGTAGGCATTCTCTTATTTCTATCTAATAAACACTGATCTTGGTACCTTTTAACAATTCCATGCAATAGATACTATTTAATAAAAACTCCATGCAATGGGGTACTATTTTCATTCCCATTGTACAGAAGAGGAAACTGAACCACAGAGAGATTAAGTCACTTGCTCTGGAAGGTGGTGGAGGTGAGGTTTCAATGTGCCAGCTCAGTTCTAGAGTCTCCACTCCTTGTGAGAAGTTGCTTCCCACCAAGACAACTCTTTGTGTACAGAGTACAGTCAATATCTACAGCGTGTGAACAAACATGCACAAAATGCATTAAGACAGTTCTGAATAACTTGATTTAACTTTATTTTCAGGAAAATTGCTTTTATAATCAGAATTATTTGAACAGGGTACCTAGTTTCCTTACTTCATTTCTGTATATGTCTAGATCTTGCAGTAAGTGAATTGAAGTTCAATAATATGCTGTTTAATGGTATCCTGAGCAAGGCTCACTCACTGTGTTAGTTTGGGTCTGGAATATTTTTCTTTGAGTCCACACACACAGTAAGAAGACTTCATTAGAGAATTCTTAAATCTGTCTTCTGCGTGCTTTGAGCTCTGGCCCGTGCTCTCAGCCAAACGGAGCTAGCCCAGTGACTTGAATGGGAACGTTCTGCCAGTGAGCACCCACCCTTCTTCCCTGCCATCCTGAGTTGGGGACGTTCTGCAGTGAGTATCATTTACTGTGCTGTGGACGCTCCTTCTCATGTTTATTTCATTTTCTGGTGAAAATATTTAAAAACCAATGGTTTTTAAATAGCCATAAAAAATATTGTTATTTTAAAGGACATCAAACTAAGGTATATATTTTTATTTCTAGAATGCTGAAGTTAGAAAGGACCTTAAAAAAGTTACCTAATTCAATTTTTCAAATGAGGAAACTGGGACCCAAAAGTGACTACTTTTTTTCTTTTATGTTTTGAGATGGAGTTTTGCTCTTGTTGCCCAGCCTGGAGTGCAAAGGCGCGATCTCGGCTCACCGCAACCTCCACCTTCCGGGTTCAAGCGATTCTCCTGCCTCCCAAGTAGCTGGGATACCAGGCATGTGCCACCATGCCTGGGTAATTTTGTATTTTTAGTGGAGACAGGGTTTCTCCATGTTGGTCAGGCTGGTTTCGAACTCTTTAACTCAGGTGATCTGCCTGCCTTGGCCTCCCAAAGTGCTGGGATTACAGGTGTGAGCCACCGTGCCTGGACTCAAAAGTGACTTCTTAATGCACATTAGGTCATAAAGTATATGCTGAAGTAGTATATCAATTGGAATAACATTTTGCATGTTATCAATATTTTTCAAAAATGTATAAATCTGAAAAATTATCTGAGTTTGATGCTGAAGAAAAATCTGAATTAGAAGCAAGATTTGAATAATATTTAAAAGTTGAGCCAGGCACAGTGGCTCACACCTGCAACCCTAGCCCTTTGGGAGGCTGAGGCAGGTGGATCACCTGAGGTCAGGAGTTTGAGACCAGCTTGGCCAACACGGTGAAACCTTGTTTTCACTAAAAATACAAAAAACTAGCTGGGTGTGGTGGCACACACCTGTAATCCCAGCTACTCGGGAGGCTGAGGCAGGAGAATTGCTTGAACCGGGGAGATGGAGGTTGCAGTGAGCTGAGATCGCACCACTGCACTCCAGCTTGGGCAGAAGAGCAAGAGTCCATCTCAAAAAAAAAAAAAGTTGAAAACTACCCTATTTCATCTAGGTTCTCCTCAAAGATATATTTATGCTCCCCAGTAAAATATTTACAAGTGTATTACTAGGAGGCTTCGTGATTCAGGTTCATGCAGTCATCTCTATACATGACTTCTGAATAGTAACATAAAAAGAAAGGAAATCACAGTGGAATTGTATGCTGATAATATGGCAGACTGATAACAGACACACCTCTCTTTGTGGTTCAAAGCAATAGCTGTTTCTATGATTTAGGGTTTGTAAAGAATGAATAAAAACATCTAAAGAACAAAGTTGATGTCATGTTTTGCCTGTATTATCATAACTGCCACACCTCTAGGATTTCTGGCATAAATCTTTCTGACAAACAAACATGCCCTATGTCAGCTGCCTCCCACCGTACAATTCATCCATATATGTAATCCTATAGAGTTAAGCCATGTTTTATTTCCAATCAAAACACCATGTGAAAGATTATATTGTAATTTTTTGACATGCTAAATAAAGCAGCCAATGAAATTTGGTTAAGCAACCTGAATGATACTCTGTTTATTCTTGACTTTCTAGAGTTCATATACTGTAGAGGAGAAAAGCAAATAATACAATTTTATTATTTCATATTAATTTCCAGATGTGATTGAGAGGATCCAACAAATTAAATAATAGATATTATAGAACTGGGTATACTATAGGCATTTGCTAAATGTTGTTGAATTTAATTTTATTAGTCAAAAAAGGATATATGATTAAGATTGGTAGAATGTTAAGCATGAACTCTCAAAAACAGACTGTAAATGTCTAATTTGTATTTGCTCTTTTGAGTATAATCTTCTTACATGAAGAAGGAATGTCATATCCTTTCAAATTAAAATCTTATGAATATAAGGCTTTGTCAGTTTATATTTTAAACAATTAAATTAATCCTCAAATAATTGCTTTTTTGTCTTTTACAATCGATTGCATATATGTATATAAATGTTTATCACTATACAATTTTTCTACAGATAGTTTGGAATCACACAATATTAATATGAAAGGAATAGAAAAATATATGAACTAATAGAAAATATGAGCTAATAGAAAAACATGCTGCATTTTCCTAAATATGAATTTTAGAAATGAAATTTATGAATTTTCCTAATTCATAAACAAACTAATAGAAAAAATAAACTAATAGAAAAACATACTGCATTTTCCTAAATTCATAAACTTTATGAATTTGGGAAATTTTATGAATTTTGGAAAATGCAGTATTTTTTTCTTTTAGTTTGTTTTGCTACCTGGAATAGGTATATGGTAACTTCACTCACAGATTAGACTCACCAGTTTCTTTTACTCTTTTTCCTAACAGCCAATTACTTCTGACTTTCAAGACTCTTGTATTTCACTGGCTTAGGGAAAATCAAGCTAAGCCCTAAGTGGTATGTACCTCCACACTTCCACCTATTTTAAATGGCACCATTCTTTGTTACTTAGCACCTGAAAAGCTCTGGCTGACTCTCAGTCTCAGGGCAGAAGACTTCTCAAAAGGGTGGATTTTATTTATTTATTTTTTGAGACAGAGTCTCGCTCTGTCGCCCAGGCTGAAGTGCAAGGGTGCGATTTCGACTCACCGTAACCTCTGCCTCCCAGGTTCAAGCAATTCTCATGCCTCAACCTCCCGAGTAGCTGGGGTTACAGGCATGTGACACTATGCTTGGCTAATTTTTATATTTTTAGTAGAGACAGGGTTTCAACACATTGGCCAGGCTGGTCTCAAACTCCTGACCTCAGGTGATCCACCTGCCTTGGCCTCCCAAAGTGCTGGGATTACAGGCATGAGCCATCATGCCCAGCCTAAAGGGTGGATTTTACATCTCCATATATACTGGTGTTTGCTTTACCTCTCACTGGACAAATGTGAGTGTGAGTTTTTACCATTATTTGTTTGCTATGGTCATAACTATGTCTTTATTATTGTTATTATTATTCCTATTATTTTAGACAGAGTCTAGCTCTGTTGCCCAGGCTGGAATGCAGTGGCACCATCTTGGCTCACTGCAATTTCTGCCTCCTGGGTTCAAGAGATTCTCCTGCCTCAGCCCCCCGAGTAGCTGCAACTACAGGCGTGCGCCACCATGCCCAGCTAATTTTTGTATTTTTAGTACAGATGGGGTTTCATCATGTTGGCCAGGCTGGTCTTGAACTCCTGACCTCAAGTGATTCACCCGCTTTGGCATCTATGTTCATAACTATGATTATGACCTTTAACTCTCATTTTAAAATTATTTAGTGAATGTAGCATACATATTTCCAGTGCAGTATTTTATTTCTGGCCAAACTGGGCCAAAGATGAACCGTACTTGTGGATATACTTCAAAATCATGTTGAATTTCGAAGTACATACATTCATACTCTACATCAAATAATTCCATGTACATGAAATAATGGTGTTTAAATGCTGTCACATCCTCCACCTGCCCTAACTCCTGTGGTTGCTGATAAGGTTTGGATCTGTCTGCACCACATCTCATGTAGAATTGTAATTCCCGGTATTGGAGGTGGGGCCTGATGGGAGGTGACTGGATCATGGGGGTAGATTTCTCACGAATGGTTCAGCACCATCCCCTTGGGGCTGTTCCCGTGATAGTGAATGAGTTCTCGTGAGATCTGGTCATTTAAAAATGTGTAGCACTTCCCACCTCGCTCTCTTGCTCTTGCTCTGGCCATGTGACCATGTGACATGCAAGCTTCCACTTCATCTTCCGCAATGATTGTGAGTTTCCTGAGGCCTCCCCAGAAGCCAAGTAGATGCCAGCATCATGTTCCTGTACAGCCTGCAAAACCTAGCAATTAAACCTTTTCTCTTTATAAATTACCCAGTCTCAGATATTTATAGCTATGTGAGAATGGACTAACATAGTTGTGAGGTAACAAACATAGAATACATTTTTACATATGAAAAATATAAGGTCAGTTCAGCCTTGGGAGTGTTATTGTTTGTTCTTAATCATTAAACTTGGGTGCAATGTATGGAAATAGCACTGGACTGGCATTTAAATGACCTGCCATCTATTCTAGCTGTCACTACCTTGCTGTTCATTTACATTTGATTGGGCCCATTTTTCCCGTCTAAAAAGTGAGTGTGGAAAAAAAGTGAGTGTGTCAAAACAAGTCTCAAAAGCTCTGCCTAGATCTAGTGATAGAGGAAGTAATAAAAAATGCAATGGGAGAATATTGTCTCCTCCTCCCCTTCAGACAGTGCAAACAAAGGAAAAACAAGAAGGAACAGGGGAAACAGAAAAAAACTAGAAAGAGAGGGAGGCTCAGACGCAGAGTGTGATGGGGTCATTGTACACATATGCAGCTAGCAAGAGAGGGAACCAGGGAGAAATCTCTTTCTCACTACTCCAGAGATTTGCCCTTTAGTTTTCAAAGTTGGCTTAAGTTTTGCCCATACTTGCCCCAGCTGCCCCAGTTTCTCCTAATTATGCTCACTTGCGTATAGTTGCCTCTTAATTAGAAGCAAAGAACAGTAACTTGCAGCCTGGTCATTCTGAATTCCTCCCTGCCTCCAACAAGTGTTAGAAAGGAAAGGCAGACGAGTTCCGTTTATTTTCTGCACAAGGCCTGATTTCCTTTACAACTATTCTCAAGCATCGGTGCCTATGTTTGCTTTCATGGTTGGAATTAAGCATTTGTAGAAGGTCCCTCGGCAGGTTAATGACAGAGCCAGATTTAGCATGCACAGCTGCTGCATTCTCAGTGTGGGCCCTGGGCCACTGGGCCACGTGGCCATTCCACCCAGTGTTCCAAGTCACATACTTGTCAACTGCAAGCCACTTCCTAAGCCAGTAGTTGTGAACAAGCTTTATTAAACATGACACGTCCACAAGAGCAGAACACCCAAACCTCAAAACTTGAAAAATACTACTTATCTCTTCTAGTTCAAGCAAAAAGTGTCACATAGTAGTAAACTGGTATCGTCAGTGTCAGTGGAAAAAAGCAATGTCTCTCCCCAACCCCCAAAAAAACTTCACTCCCTATATCAATTACTCAAGCTATTAAGTTAGACTAACAGGCTTGATCATATTTTACAGGTGACAAAAGTAGCCAACGTTAAGAATTAACATCACTTCTCATTTCCCAGTCCGAGCCACTAACTAGCATGCAATTTTGTTTAGTTATTTGTCTGATATTTTCAAAGAATGCATATATGCCAAGTATTTGTTACCTAATGCATATTAACAACTAAAAAGTGGTCTTTTGTAATTAATGTAAGCAGTTCTTAAAAGTAAGCTTTTTTTTTGAGACAGAGTCTGTCTCTGCTCTGCTGCCCAGGCTGGTGTGCAGTGGTGCTATCTTGGCTCACTGCAACCTCCACCTCCCAGGCTCAAGCGATTCTCTTGCCTCAGCCCCCACCAAGCAGCTGAGATTACAGGCGCATGCCACCATGCCAGGCTAATATTTATTTATTTATTTATTTATTTATTTATTTATTTATTTTTGAGACAGAGTCTCCCTCTGTTGCCCAGGCTGGAGTGCAGTGGCGTGATCTTAGCTCACTGTAACCTCCATCTCCCGGGTCCAAGCGATTCTTCTGCCTCAGCCTCCCAAGTAGCTGGGACTACAGGCATGCACCACCATGCCCGGCTAATTTTTGTATTTTTAGTAGAGACGGGATTTCATCATATTGGCCAGGCTGGTCTTGAACTCCTGACCTCAGGTGATCCACCCACCTCGGCCTCCCAAAGTGCTGGAATTACAGGCGTGAGCCACCGCGCCTGGCCACGTCAGGCTAATTTTTATATTTTTGGCAGAGAAGGGGCTTCACCATGTTGCCCAGGCTGGTCTTGAACTCCTGACTTTAGGTGATCTGCCCACCTCGACCTCCCAAAGTGCTGATATTACAGGCGTGAGCCACCTTGCCCAGCCAAAAGTAAACATGTGTTAAAGGGTCAAGATTATCTTTTGAAAGCTGAATAAAATACTGTACTCTATGGGATGTTGCAAATTTCTATAGAAACAGAATTATAACTATGGGAGCTGAAAATAATGAGTGCCTTCTTCATTCCACAGTTTTTCTAAAAAAAAGGAATATGTAAGTGTTCTCAGGACAATATTCTGGAAAGGTAGAAAATACAGTTTCAATAAGAAATAAAGCCATCTTGTAATTAACTTTTTATTACTAACTTACCTTTGTATATTATTCAAGCCCTTAAATAATGCAACAACTTTCTTCCAGCTGCTCTTTTCTAATTGACTCCTTTAAAATTTTTATTATAAAGTCAGATTCATCTTCTAAGCAAATTAATTCAGAACGTGAATGTTACTCCAATGAATATAGCAAACCTCTTAGTCATGTACCAACTAAAAAATGATCATTTGAGAGAAGGCATATTGAAACAATACTGTATTCCCACATGTCTCAATATAAATACTGAAGGTGAAAACAGATTCACAATCCAATTGTAATGCCAGCATCCTCACTTTTTCTTCTGTGTTGTTTTAAGAGTCCAGTGACTTTGGTTCCTTTGTACCCTCTACTTTTACATTGCTATCCTCAAACATTTGATCTGGTTTCTATTCTTGGAGAGCAATAAAATGTTTTAGAAATGTAACAAAGTTCAGCTGGGCACGGTGGCTCACGCCTGTAATCCCAGCACTTTGGGAGGCCAAGGTGGGTGGATCACCTGAGGTCGGGAGTTCAAGGGCAGCCTGGCCAACATGGTGAAACCCCATCTCTACAAAAATACAAAAATTAGCCAGGTATGATGGCGGGTGCCTGTAAACCCAGCTACTCGGGAGGCTGAGGCCAGAGAATCACTTGAACCCAGGAGGCGGTGGTTGCAGTGAGCCGAGATTGTGCCACTGCACTCCAGCCTGAGCGACAGAGCGAGACTCCATCTCAAAAAAAGAGAGAAATGTTACAAAGTTCAGCATTATCAAACAACTTGAGTACTTAAAAATCGCCTTCTCTGTGGAGTCTACAGGAATGGAATCTAAGGCATTAGGGTTGTTGCCATAAGCGGGTACAGCAGGACAACGGTGTTGGCTATAGCAATAGGCAGAGGAAGAGGAGGAGTCATGGCCTCAGAAATTCAGAAAAGAAAATGTGATCCAGGCTCTACCCTATAGAAGAAGAGATCAGATCTTATGGTCAGGAAAGGAGGAAGCTGGCCAAGATGCAGCGTGAGGATTTCAGAGCGAACACACACATTGACCTTGCAGCTGCATGGGGTGCGTGATGAAGGCAGGTTTGGCCACTGACAAGAGGAAATCAATATGATGAATCAATTGATATCACTCTATCATCACATATGGAGAGGAGGTATGAATGCTTGTTGGTAATTCATAGAAACAGTTTGTTGGCTGGGTGTGGTGGCTCATGCCTGTAATCTCAGCACTTTGGGAGTCCAAGGTGGGTGGATCATGAGGTCAGGGGTTCAAGACCAGCCTGGCCAATATAGTGAAACCCTGTCTCTACAAAAAATACAAAAAAACTAGCCAGGCGTGGTGGTGGGCGCCTGTAAGGTGCCAGCTACTCTGGAGGCTGAGGCAGGAGAATCGCCTCAACCCAGGAAGCAGAGGTTGCAGTGAGCCAAGATTGTGCCATTGCATGTCTCAAAAAAAAAAAAAAAAAAAAAAAAAAAAGAAATAAACAGTTTGTCAATGGGTCACAGATTTGTAATCAAATGAAAGCTGGAAATAATGCTTGGCTCTTGTTGTCATGTTGGTTCTCTACCAAAAATTTCTGCAGATCTTCTTGGCAACGTTGTTTTAGACTGGTGCATAAAAAGGGCTATGAATTTAGCTCTGCATTTGCCCTCATTTAGTGCTGTTTGTATGTTGCCACTGAAGGATGTAGTTTTGGGTTCTAGTTGATAGCCACCAGTGCTTATCAATTGGCAGATAAAGTTTCAGGGATTCTCTACTTATAATTGGTTTCACTTTTAGGGGCTGGAAGCCAATCCAAATTACCCCGGTGAGTGTTTGTTACTCGTGGGTGAGTGTTCATGGCTACCGCACCCCAGCAAATTACCAGGCAGGTAGTTATGATGGAAAACCTGGAATTTGGAATTCAAGCCAGTTACAGAAGCAAGAATAAGCACAGGACTTCAAATTTGGAAATGCCATTCTGTGGAGTGAAGTGGTACCCTAATTTATATATTTCAAGTAAAGAATTTGGTTAAATGAATTTCTGTTAAGTAAGGGAAACTTGTGGTATATTACTACCATTGAAAAAATGGTTTCGTCTTTGCACTTCCTTCCATTTGCATAGTTCATATTTATGACACCCAATTCTACTTCAGCACCTTTTTGGCATATCATCCCCATCAGAAAACGTACACAAATTATGGTGGGACTCAAGCTACAGTAATAGCTGAGACCAGAATTCACTTGATCCCCTCTGTTCGCAATTCATACTGCCTCCTGTACGCAAGAAGAGCCGTGCATACTGGGTATTCATTGAATTATGAATGTTTCCAGCTCTGGCAACAAAACAAATAACCAACAACCCCCCCAAAACTGATTAGCTATTAACCAACCCCACACAAAGTCTGAACTATATTAACTTCATTAGGCATTCTTTAATCTGTGGTAGAATGGAAATACATCCTAAAATTAGAAGATTGTAAACAGAGAGGTTTTCTTTTCCCCCACTTAATGTTTAATTTTAAAATATTCTATCTTAATTTGATATGGCTACCCAGAATAGAAAAAATGTTAGCTTCAACTTACTTCTTTACTTCAGCAAGCCTTAGCTCTGCTCTGAAACTCTTCTAAAGAAGCAAAAGGCTCTTAATTAGCACACACACAACAGGACAGGATTCACATGCACATGCTGCAGGAATAGTGTTTCTGCATTAACTTACAGCAGCTGTGAAATTTAAATACCACTAGCAGCAAAGACATTTTGTAAAATACCGCACTATATTTCATGAGAAATTTGCGCCCTCTTTTGGATAAAGATTGTTAAGACATTTCAATATGAACTTTTTTTTAAAAAGGCATGCAGTTTTTAAAAAATAAACAGTTTTATTGTAAGGACCGTGGGAAAGGACGAGAAAGAACAGGTGTGAGGACATTGCAAAGCCAGTATTAACAGAACTAGAAGGTGAAGATTTTGTAACTGCAACGCATAGATGGCACTATGAAGCGCCTTGAATTAGGAATCTATCGTTTTCTTTTAATCAAGATGTGTTGAGAAATTGTGACAATCATTACAAAGTAATGATTTTTAGGACCAATTTTCTCTAGAAAACAGTAGCCAAAGCTCATCTTCCTCTTGAGGCTGTAAGTTTTGTATGGTTAAGGATAAATTGTCCCTTGGATGATTTTTCTTTTTTCTTTTTTTGAGACAGAGTCTTGCTCTGTCGCCTGGGCTGGAGTGCAGTGGCGTGATCTCGGCTTACTGCAACCTCCACCTCCTGGGTTCAAGCGATTCTCTTGCCTCAGCCTCCAGAGGAGCTGGGATTGCAGGTGTATGTCACCATGCTAGCTAATTTTTGTATTTTTAGTAGAGATGGAGTTTCACCATGTGACTAGGTTGGTCTTGAACTCCTGACCTCAGGTGATCTTTCTGCTTAGATGAAGCAGATATTAAGGACTTTTTTTTTTTTCAAATTTAGGAAAATACACAAATGTATTTAAAGATATCTTGAGAGACATTTAAAACATATTCTTCATTTTTCTTCTTTAACTGACCATCTCAATAGACTTGTCTATTACAGTATCACAGTCTCTCTGTCCACCACCCATCTACTTCTCCATCCACTGCCATCTTTCCTACCTTTCCCTTTCCACTGAAACACCATAGGCAAAAGTGACAAGTGGTTTTGTGCTACCTGACTTAGTGAACAGTCCCCATTCTTTATCTTGTTTGTTTTCTCTGCACCTTTTTCATAGTTGCTCAGTTCCTTCTTTGTGAAATACTTTATTCTTTCGGCTTCCATAGCCCCATTCTTGCCTAGATTTCTCTGCCTGTTCCACGATTCGTCTCCATGTCTCCTCATGGGCTGGTATCTCCAGCATTCTGTACTTGGCACTTACCCCTTTTCACATCACAGTCTTTCCCTGAACCAACTGGTGGCTCCATAATGGGATTCCCTGACCCAGAATCAGTTCTTCTGATGTCCCATGTGCCTATGGGACATCTTCTCCTTTCTCCTGGTGGCTCGCAGGTATGGAGACCTCAATTATGTCTACAACTAAACCTCTCACCCCCACCTCCCCCGCAGCTCCCTTCTGTATTTTCTCCACTGAACCATGAACCATATTTGTTTGTCTACCCACTCAGTCTGCCAAGCAAGTTATGAGTGTTCCTGAGTCATCTTGGATGGCGCTCTTCCCTCTGTACTCCTCATCACTCAATCTTGTTGACACTCTTTCTGAACTGCCATGAGTCATTCTCACCTCTCCAGGCCCACACTACTCTTCCCAGTTTAGACCCTCATCACCTCTTCCATCCACTAGCCTGACTGGTCTTCCTGCCCCAGGGCTCACCCCTTCTAATATGACTCCCCAGCTGATTTTCCTAAAAGATAAGCCTGATTGTTTCTTTACCCCTTTAAAACCCTTCACGGGCTCCTCATTACTTGCAGAATGAAATCTGTGTATCTTATCATGACACAAAAGGTATCCTAGGATCTTCAGCCCATCACCTGCCATGCTGCACCTTGGAATACTCTGCTGGATCATAGCAAGCATGCATGGCAGTGTTCTTCCACCCAGGATGCCTTTTTTGCTTAATTAGCCTGGAGAATTCCTTTTAATTACTTTTTAAAAAAACTCTTTCCTCCCCCAATAGACCAGGCCTGAGAGTCACTCTCTCATTCTTGGTGGCGTGCTTCCATTGTTGCATTTACTGCGCAGAATTGGAGTTTGTATCCATGTCCCTGCTGAGCTGTGAGCGCTTTGAGAATAAACACAGATTCTTATTCATCCTCACTGTTGTTGTTATATTATAACCATGATTGGCTACCGTTTATTGAATGCCAGGAGAAAAAAAACCCTGAAGTTTGGAGATATTAGGAAAATTGCTCAAAGATGTATTGCCATTTAGAGGCAGAGTTATAATTTAATCCCCTTTTTTTAAATGATCCAAAACACATGTTCTTATCAAAATGATGCACTACAACTTAGAGGTTTCCTGGTAATACTCCTACTAGTAGTAGTTATTATAACTATCACTGTGAATCATGCATTATACTAAATTCTTTATATAACAATCAGTTTCTGAAGATGGAGAATTGATTTTTTTTTGAATTTTTAACGGTTTGATATAAAAAGTTATTTTTAAAAATGTAAAATAACAAAAGATATTTACTAAAGATATTCATACATTTGACAGGAGTATAGTTAAGCTTAGGTGGACCAGATGACCCACAATATCCCTTACCACATAAGATTTTATAATTCTACAAATATTTTTCCTCTTTTGATTTTAACAAATCTTTTCTTAAATTTATTTTATTAACATATCGTCCTGGCAGTAGCTTCATATGGTTATAACCATGTTTTCTTCTTCTTTTTCTTTCCTATTTGAAGGAAAAAAAAGACACCCAATGCTTTCTGTGTGTTTTCATATGTAACCTTCTACATAGCAGATGCTGCTAAATTGCTGGGGATATAATGAGAATTAAAAAGGAAATACAATTCTTTTTCTCATGGAGCTGAAAATCTAGTAGGGGAGACACACATTACCCAAACGATCCCTCAGTGACCATGTAATTATAAACTGAATCAAATGCTCTCTAATAAAGGACTACTGTACTCTGAAACTGTATAACAAAGAACGTGATCTCTGCTCTGGGTCAGGGAGCATGTCCCTGAGGAAATGGGCGGGGGCTGAGGCTTGGTGAGTGAGGCGGAATACTCAAGCCTGGTGCCGGGGAGGAGAGCCTGGCAGACAGAGCTCTGGGTAGAGTCTGGGTAGAGGGACCTGTGGTGGGAGAAAGAGAGAAGATCAGAGTGGAGGGGAGAAGCAGGGTTGGGGCCTTGAAGGTACTGCTGAGCATGTGGGTCCTTATCCTTACCCTGCATTGCCCGCAGGCCTGACCTTTGCTTCATTCTTCATGGCTGCCAAGTGAGAGTGTGGCCCCTGCAGGTAAGATCTAACTAAGTCTTGGATGTCTCTGTATCTCACCGGGTAGGCAGATAGTAAAAGCTCAATAAATACTTCCTAATTTATTTGACCTACAGGTTTTCCCCTCCACCTTCTTATACCTGTACAATTACTAGAAGAGACTCAAGATACCAGCGTGATTTATTTTTTAATGGATTGAACAAATTAGTTATTTATTATCAAATAGTCCCATTGGAAAACAATTCTGTGAAATGTATTAGGGGAGTGTTATATCTAAAGATTATTGAAAACTGGTTCTTTCTTCTAAAAATCTACTTTTGTTTTCCCCAACATTTTCTCATAAAACTTTATAAAATATATAGCAATGTTGAATTTTACAGTAAACACCCCATATATCATACCCAACACCTACATTCTACCATAAACATTTTATTTGCTTTGCTCTCTCGCTCTGTCTCTCTTCTTCCCCCTCTCCCTCCCTCTATCAATCTTTTTTTTTTTTTTGGAATATTTAAAAATAAATTGCAGGCCTCAGTACAATTTCTCCTAAATCCTTCAGCAAGCATATCACTAGCTAGATATTAATATTTAGTTTTTCTTTTGATGTAAAAATTACATACAATGAAATTTATAAATCTTAAGTGTACATTCACTAACTTTTGACAAATGCATACATCTGTGTAAATGAAACAAACACTATCTTTCTAGAAAGTTCTCTCATACTCCTTCCCAGTCGATCCCACTCCCCCCGTTTTTCTTGTGTTTTCCACAGTAGACTAGTTTTATCTATTCTAGAACTTTATCTAGATACAATCAAACAGCATGTACTCTTTTGTATAAGGCTTCTTTCAGTATGTTTTAAGACTCATCTATGTTGTTGCACATATAAGCAGTTCATGTCTTCTTTTTTTTTTTTTTTTTTTTTTGCTGAATTGAGTTCCAGTATCTGAAGCTATCACAGTTTGTTTATCCATTTTTCTGCAGATTAACATGTGAGCTATTCCCAGTTTTGGGCAAATAAAGCTGCTATGAACATTCTTGTACAAGTTTTTTTGTGAACATGTTATCATGGGTAAATATCTAGGATCAGAATTACTGGGTGGGAGGGTAAGTGTATGTTTAGTTTTATAAGAAATTACCTCACCATTTTTCAAAGTGTACTATTTTATATTCCCACTAACCATGTGTGAAACTTGCAGGTACTCTACATTCTTGCCAACGTTAGATGTTATCAGTCTCTTGTTTTAGCCATTCTTGTAGGTATTCAATGATATCTTATTGTGATTTTAATTTTTATTTCCCTGATAACTTCATGATGCTGAGCACTTTTTCATGTGCTTATTGCCCATTCAAATACCTTCTTTTGTGAAGTGCCTGTCCAAATTTTTTGCTCCTTTTCTATTGAGTTGTTTCTTTGTTTTTGTAAGAGCTGTTTCTATACCAGGCTGTTATCAGATACATTCTTAGTGAATATGTTCTCTCAGTGTATGGCTTGCCTATTTTCTCAAAGGCATCTTTTGATGAGCAGAAGTTTTAAATGTTGATGATGTCTAATGTATATAAATTTTTTTCTCTTATGGTTATTGCTTTTTTATGACCTATCTTATGAAACCTTTGCCTACCCCCAAGTCATGATGATATTCTCCTATATTTTCATTTTAAACCCTTTGCTTTTAGCTGTTTTTTATGTGGCCTATGATCCATCTCTAATTATTGTTTGTTTGGTATGAATCAGAGGTTAGATTCATTTTTCCATATGGCTCTCTGGCTACTTTAGCACCATTTGTTTAAATTCCTGTTGGACTGTTTTGGTGCCTTTGTGGAAAATCAAACACATGTGTAAGCGCAGATCTATTCCTTTATCTTTTTAAAAATGTAAATACTAGCCGGGAGCGGTGGCTTATGCCTGTAATCCCAGCACTTTGGGAGGCTGAGATGGGTGGAGATCAGGAGTTCGAGAGCAGCCTGGCCAACATAGTGAAACCCCGTCTCCACTAAAAATATCAAAAAAAAAAAAAAAAATTAGCCAGGCGTGGTGGTGGGCGCCTGTAGTCTCAGTTACTTGAGAGGGGAGGTAGAAGAATCGCTTGAACCCAGGAGGTGGAGGTTGCAATGAGCCAAGATTGCACCACTGCACTTCAGTCTGGGTGACAGAGTGAGACCCTGTCTCAAAAAAAAAGGTAATACTGAGCAATCAACATCCAAAAGTTTCCTTCTTTTAATTTAAATTTTACATCCTGTAATCTGGATAAGAGTTTAATAATGAGGATATAATGACTTTTGACCGCCTACTAGAAAAATTGATGCCCTATGGCTTCTTTAAAATATGAATCAATTTGTTTCTCTTTCAGGGATATAACTTTCATATTGCTAATCAAATGCATTGGAATCTTTACTTGAAAATTAAGTTGGCCTTGAAAATGCAAAATAAAAAATTATGTTACTGCCATTATATGCTAATTTAAAGTCTACCATATTTTGTTATTTAAGAAAGATGATCATCCAGGTGTGGTGGCTCACGCCTGGTAATCCCAGCACTATGGGAGGCTGAGGCGGGCAGATCATGAGGTCATGAGATCGAGACCATCCTGGCTAACATGGTGAAACCCCGTCTTTACTAAAAATACAAAAAATAAGCCGGGTGTGGTGGCACACGCCTGTAGTCCCAGCTACTCGGGAGACTGAGGCAGGAGAATCGCTTGAACCCGGGAGGCTGAGTGAGCCAAGATTGTGCCGCTGCACTCAGCCTGGGTGACAGAGTGAGACTCCATCTCAAAAAAAAAAAAAAAGGAAAGATGATCAGTTTCTTCTCATTGGAGTCTAATATGGTTGAAGGGCTAGAGGTGTTTCTAGGAAGGATCTTAGTATATGAACTTAGGTAAGTGAGTTTCATGTTTTATTTTTTATTTGTAAAGAAAGAAAATAATTCTTTGACTGTTCCTATTATAATAAGGTATTGTAAAGATCAGTGAATTTCAGGGCCATACTTTAGGAAAACATATGGATAAAACAATAAAAAATATAAGCACAAGGTAGTTGATAAACACAAGATGTTTTCCTTGAGTGTCTATGTAGCAGGTATTTTTCTTTGTGTAAAAGCTTGTAACCATAGCATTAACATTCTCCTTTATGAAATTTGGGATTTGATCTCTTTGCCCTAATGAAGATAGACACACAGGGTCCTTTCGATGAGTATACTCAGGCAGGGAAGGGCGAAGAGTGGTTCTAAGTCCTTCTTGGCAGCCTTTCCTGGGCTTGCCACCCCAGATGGATTTGCCTGCTCTTGAGTCCAGTAATTCAATAGCCTGTTTCCTTCCGGTAGGGGTTGCCCAACCGCTTACAACCTGCCATGAGTCTTCGTCTCATGCCACTCACAAATGTTGTGGTTTAAACACAAAGAATTTTAACATCTCTCACATCCCAAAGTAAACAGCAGTTCTGGAAATGTCACAGGGCTTTCAGTGCATGGGAAATGGATTCTGTGAGATGGATTTAAATAACTCATGGTCCACTGTGGAAACTTTTTGAAGCTGCTCCCCCTCCCCATTTCCCCCCTGTCAAAGTGATTAGGTGAATCAAGAGGAAACAAATAAAGGTGCTTGAAAAAGTGAACCTAATCACACACTTTCTGGTTGGTGTTTGTGGGCACTAAAAAGCATTATATGCATGTGGTTTGAGGTTTTAATATGTGAAATTTATTCACCTTTAATATCTTTTTTGATTTAAATATAATCAACTCAATGTTTTAAATAGTGAAAGTGACCTTCTATAATAATTATATCACATTTGACTCTAGGATAATTTACAATGTTTTCCTCACCAGAATTATTAAAAAGCAGTACCAACTGTTCACATCTAATAAGCTAGTTTCAAGGGAGAGCTATGTCCTGATAACCCAAGAAATAACAATCTTAAACCCTAAATTATTTGGGAAAAAAAAGCGAAACTGGAATATTAACTGTAACCTACTTATTTGTATAAAAATCCTGGATATGACCAGAGATTTTTGCACACTTCATGTAGACAAGTAGGGAAAGAAAAGAGATTATCAGTGTCCTACAAAAGACTTTTGGGGAATGGAAAAGGACCACTTCTGTATGAATACTACCTCATGAAGCCAAAAATAATAAGAGTTACAGGAAAGCCAGGTGACTAAATTATTCCAGCCTAGAGGCACGCTCACCTAGAAGCTAAGAATTCTACTGCAAAGGACTGAAGTTCCCAATGCCCTTGGCAGCACCAAAAAAATAACATATTAATAAGGCGAATGGTTCTTAACAATTCCTTTCAAGCCCTGTTTTCTATGTAACAGGGTACATTATTTTGAAAAAAAATGTGTTTATTCACTTTAATTAGTTAGAAATCTTACTCCTAACTAGAAGTATCCCAGAAGATCTGATGAAACACCTGCCAATCAAAGGAAAAGAAAGCACCACTAACTTACTGATTGAAGAAATAAATGGATCAACAGAGCAAAAAGAGATCTCAATAGTATCTGTTGAATTTTCTTCTGATTATTTTGAGGATTCCTTTTAAATTTAGAAATTATAGGTAAATTTATAGGTAACAGCATGCCTCCATATGATATTAAGACAAAAATTAAAAAAAAAATACTAGACATGGGCAGCAATATCTTACTGACCCCACCAGTTCTACATTAAAAACAACAACAACAACAACAAGAAAAACATTGTTCCCAGCTTTGTTTCAGAAAGAAACAAAACACCCTTGATTGGCCATCACTCAGTTATGTGTCTTGGCACCTTTTCTAACTCTCTGTAGACAACCAATTCATACTATGTTCAAGCTCTAAATATTAGTGACTGTGGTGTCTTAATGACCTACTTAACTTCTCTCTTTAACTTGGTGTTGCCAACTTATTGAATAAACTTTTTTTCTTGCCAACTACCCATTTAATAAAATGGCTCATTAATGCAGTCAGATCTCCTTCAGTGGCTTTGCCGTGGTGTCTGTACTTTTTTCTGCTGCCATGAGCTCCACACATGACATTCTCCCTTTCCTTAGCTTTACTCAATATGGCTATCAGTCTTTCAGGAGAAGGAATCATCTTGTTTATTTCTGTTTGATCTTACTTGTTGCTGATACCTTATTTGAATTTATCTTTTGGCAGATGGTTGGATCATCCATCCAGTTCTTTGCTTCCTCTAGCTGATATCCTTCTTTGCTGTACTATATGGGAAAAGCAAGAAATATTTGACACCAAAATGTATGATTCACTTATGCATTAGTCCGTTTTCACACTGCTGATAAAGACATACTCGAGACTGGGTAATTTATAAAGAAAAAGAGGTTTAATGGATTCTCAGTTCCACATGGCTGGGGAGGCCTCTCATTCATGGTGGAAGGCAAAAGGCACATCATACATGGAGGCAGGCAAGAGAGAATGAGAACCAAGTGAAAGGGGAAACCCCTTATAAAACCATCAAATCTCATGAGACTTATTCACTACCACAAGAACAGTATAGGGGAAGCCACCCCTATGATTCAATTATCTCCCACTGTGTCCCTCCCACAACACGTGGGCATTATGGGAGCCAAAATTCAAGATGAGAATTGGGTGAGGACACAGCCAAACCATATCAACTTGTATATGGTGGCATTATAGAGACAGATACAGCCAGTCACACAGGGAAAGGAAAAAGATTTGAACAAAGCCTAGAAACAACTACTTGATGTAGCCAGAAAACATGCTGTCAGATCACAGCACAGATCCTAGAATCAGGAAATCTCCAGGTTGCCACAAATCCTAGTGGTCAATGGTTCAGCATACATCCAATTCAATGATAGCAGTCGAATAGCAAAAAACTTTTCCCTACAAATGTCACACTCCTGTTAGAATGAATGGCTATAGCTGACACACTCTGCCTTTGGATGCATAGAATATTTCACCATAAGATGATATACACTCGCCACAGAGTTTTTTAATTTTGTTTATTTATTTATTTTTGTTGTTGTTGTTTTCGAGACTGAGCCTTGCTCTGTTGCTTAGGCTGGAGTGCAATGGTGCAATCTCAGCTCACTGCAGCCTCCAGCTCCCTGATTCAAGTGATTCTCCTGCCTCAGCCTCCTGAGTAGCTGGGATTACAGGCACCCACCATCATGCCCAGCTAATTTTTGTATTTTTTTTTTTTGTAGACTTGAGGTTCCACCATGTTTCCCAGGCTGGTCTTGAACTCCTGACCTCAGGTGATCCACCCGCCTCAGTCTCCCAAAGTGCTGGGATTACAGGCGTGAGCCACTGTGCCTGGCCTGTTTTTGTTTTTTCTATATCAGAATTTTAAAGAGAGAAGAAGGTGGACTTCTGGTTAAGGATGGGAGACACACACATTTGTATTTGTTTCCTCATGAAATTTTATTAAAAAGACAGTAAATGAATTTCTTAAAAATTATTGTTGAAAACCATCAAGAATAAAGAGGAAGCAAACAAGAACATAACATTCCTTTTATGAAAGTTGAAAATAGCATTCATGAACAGTAAGCTGCCTAACAGAACTGAGAGGTTTGGTCCTAAATTGGCAATAAGGAAAACCAAGAAACAACCCAAATTATATCGCAGAACTGCCACAATTAGCAGGCCCCTGGAAGCTTTGGAAGAAGGTGGCAAAAATGGGTCTAAAACAGGAGGATTTGTTGAAAGTCCAATTAGAAGTTTGACACTCATATTTCATACTCAGCTCTGTTCAATGGGGGCAAATCCTCCCTCCTCACCTGAACAGAAAGCTGGAAGTATACTCTCTGGGGTGGATGAAATTTTGGTTGTTGAACTAGGGGACACCTGTTCCAAATGAAGAAGGGAGTTTCATTATTAAAACAGTGTGATTAACTAAAAATTTTACACTAAATGCTAAGACAGCTCTCCTTTCCTTCTCGCCATGTTTATTTATTTATTTATTTATTTATTTATTTATTTGAGATGGAATTTCACTCTTATTGCCCAGGCTGGAGTGCAGTGACGCAACATTGGTTCACTGCAACCTCCACCTCCCGGTTCAAGTGATTCTCCTGCCTCAGCCTCCCGAGTAGCTGTGATTCCAGGTGCCCACCATCATGCCTGTCTAATTTTTGTATTTTTAATAGAGACGGAGTTTCACCATGTTGTCCAGGCTGGTCCCTTCTTGCCATTTTTCTACATTTGGTTCTCAAAACACAAAACATTGGCAGCCAGGCCTAAACTCCGTATACAAGAGACTGACTGTGAGATCCATCTCTAGAGAATGGACAGTTTCATAAGGAACAACTTAAAGATACTGACATTGAAGTTTCCCTAGTAAAATGGCTCATTACAAATGTCCACTGTGAGCTTCTCAGTGGACAAGTCCGTCTACAGTCTCAGAGCTTCTAATGAATTCTTAAATTCCCATGCTGAAGAACTGACTGGCAGACAGTTGAAGAAATTTCCAACAGGGAAGTCAAATGAACAAACAAAGTAACTTGTAACAACTAACATGGAGAAAACGTTAGATGGGGAGAAAAAAAATCTAACAATTATAATTAATATTTTCACAGAAATAAAAGAAAATATTGCATCCATGAGATAAGCACAGCTAAAGAACATTCGGAGAATGCACACAAACACTCTCTCGGAAATTAAAAAAACCATAGTTGAGATAAAAACACAATGGAAGGTTTAGAAGACAAAGTTAACAATATCTTCCAGAGAGAAGTGCGAAAACATTGAGACTTAGAAAGTAGAAGAGAAAGACAAGGAATATAGAAGAACGATCCAGGAGATCCAACATCCAAATAAGAGGATTTATAGACCCAGAATCAGTGAGGAGAAATCCTCACTGCATGGGAAAGTACAGGCGCACAAAGCTAGATGCAAGTTGTTTAGTCAATTTTAATAAGGTTATTCTGCAGTCAATAACAGCCCTAGAATCTCGGTGGCTTACAACAGTGAAAGTTGGGCTGGGCATGGTAGCTCATCCCTGTAATCCCAGCACTCTGGGAGGCTGAGGTGGGTGGATCACTTGAGGCCAGGAGTTCAAGGCCAGCTTGGCCAATATGGCAAAACCTGGTCTCTACTAAAAATACAAAAATCAGCTGGGCGCGGTGGTGCACGCCTGTAATCCCAGCTACTTTGGAGGCTAAGGCATGAAAACAGCTTGAACCAGGAGGTGGAGGTTGCAGTGAGCCACGATTACGCCACTGTACTCCAGCCTGGGCGATAGAGCAAGACTCTGTCTCACAAAAACAAAAAGAAAAAACAATGAAGATTTATTTGTTACTCACTTACATGTCATTTGGGGTTAGTAGACAACCCACAGAATGGGAAAAAGATATTTGCAAATATGATAAGGATCTAGTGTCCAGAATATATCAAGAACTCTTACAACTCAATAATAAAAACCCAAATAACCCAATTTAGTAATGGACAAAGGACTTGAATAGACATTTCTCCAAAGAAGATATGTAAATAGCCAATAAACATATGAAAAGATGTTCAACATCATTAGTCATTAGGAAAATGCAAATCAAAATAATAATGAGTTACCATTTCAAACATACTAAGATAGCTTTAATTTAAAAGAGTACAAATAGGCCAGGAGTGGTGGCTCATGCCTGTAATCCCAGCACTTTGGGAGGCCGAGGCGGGCAATCACCTGAGGTCGGGAGTTCGAGACCAGCCTGACCAACATGGAGAAACCCCGTCTCTACTAAAAATACAAAATTAGCAGGGCGTTGTGGCACATGCCTGTAATCCCAGCTACTCAGGAGGCCGAGGCAGGAGAATTGCTTGAACCCGGGGGGTGGAGGTTGTGTTGAGCCGAGATCTCGCCATTGCACTCCAGCCTGGGCAACAAGAGTGAAACTCTGTCTCAAAAAAAAAAATAAAAATAAATAAATAAAATAAAAAATAAAAGAGTACAAAATAACAAATGTTGGTGAGAGCTTGGAGAAATTAGAACCCTCATACATTGCTGGTGAAAATGTAAAATGATGCAGCCGCTGTGGAAAAGAGTCTGGCAGGTTCTCAAAAAGTTAAACCTAGAATTACTATATGACTCAGCAATTATTATCTTCTTGGTATATATCCAAGGTAATTGAAAATGTATGTTCACACAAAAACTTGTATATGAATGTTCTTAGCAGTATTATTCACAATAGCCCAAAGGTGGAAATAACCTAAATTTCTATAAACTGAAGAATGGATAAACAACATGTGGTATTTCCATACAATGGAATATCATTTAACCGAAAAGGGAATGAAATTACATGCTACAACATGAATGACTTTTGAAAGCATTATATTAGTTGAAAGAACCCGGACGCAAAGACCACATATTACACAATTCCATGATGTTGGTTGCACAACATAGTAATATACTAAAAGCCACTGACTAATAACACTTTAAAGTGGTAAATTTTATGTGACGTATATCTCAAAATAATTAAATAGAAAAACAGAGTTAATGGCTGCTTTTCAAAACGTGTGAAAGGCCTCATTCATAGACTCAAGAAGCCCAACAAATTCCAAACTAAATAAAGAAAAATTCACAACTATAGCCATCATTGTGATGCTACAGAATACCAAAATCAGAGATAAAAATGTTAAAAGCCAGTCAAAGCAGAGTGAGACTCTGTCTCAAAAAAAAAAAAAAAGCCAGTCAAAGTACCTAAGACCAAACGTTGGACATATAGCTTACTTTTCAATGGTAATAGTGAAAGCCAGAGGACAATGAAATTATATCTTAAATATGTTAAATGAAATTAGAATTCTATATTCAGTAGACCAGTTGTTCCCAACCAAGGTAATTTTGCTCCCCAGGAGATACTGTTAGTTGACACAACTGAGAAGGGAAGTGATACGGTCATCTCATGTGTAGAGGTCAAGGAAACTGCTTAATGTCCTACAATGCACAAGACAGCCCCAACAACAGTTATCTGGCCAAAAATATAAAGCGTGCCAAAGTCAAGAAATCATGCCGTAACATATCTTTCAAAAATGTAAATAAGCCGGGCATTGGTGGCTTGCTCCTGTAATCTCAGCTACTCAGGAGGCTGAGGCAGGAGAATCACTTAAGGCCATGAGTCTGAAAACAGTCTGGGCCATGTAGTGAGACCCTATCTCTAAAAAAGAAGAACGCATATAAAATGAAAAAATATTTGCAGACAAATGAACGTTGAGATAATTGGCTATCAGTAGATCTACATCAAAGGAAATAAACGGCAAATATTTACCTGATCTTTTCAGGTAAAAGAAAATAATCCCACAAGTAAAATTGAAGAGGCAGGAAGGACAATGAAAATAGCAAATGTGTGAGTAAACTTAAACGGATGATAATAACATTAAGCAACAGTAACAATTCCTTATGTGGTTTAAAATACATATAGAATTAAAATTACAAGAATTGCATATAGGTCAAGCTGAGAGTAAATGAAATTAAAGTGTTCTGAGATTTTATTTTGGTTCAGAGTGAGAGTGATAATACCATATAGCATTAGAATCAATAAGTCAGTTGTACTCTAGGGGAACAACTAAGAGACTAGTAAAAGAGTATAAATTATAAATTAACAAAAAAAGATAGAATAATAAGCAAATTAATACAAAAGACGGAAAGAAAGGAGTGGAAAAGGAGTATAAAATGTATGGGACAAAAAGAGGGTGAAAACATAGTAAACTTAAATACAAATTATTATCATAAATATATTAGATGTAAATGAACTAAATGTTCCTAAGGGCAAAGAACTAAAGTCAAAGATTTTCAGGCTGAATAAAAAATAAAAAACAAAACCCAAGAGACAAAACAAAAACATGAAGATAAAGAAAAGTTGATAGATAAAAAATGAAAAAGATATATAATGTGAATGCTACCTAAAATAAGACTGATGTCTATTAATATTAGACAAACTACTTAGGGCAAAAAGCATCATCACACAGTTAAAGAGAGTCACTTTTAATGATGTAAAAAAACCCAATTCATTAGTAATATATAAAAATTCTAAATTAGTATATACTTAATAAAATTGCCTCAAAAAATAAAGTGAAATTGACATAAGTACTACAGGAGATAGATAAATCTACAACCATAATGGGGGGTTTTAGTGTACAATCTAAAAAATCAGTAAAGATATATAAGGCTTGAGAAACACTACCAGCAATCTCTACCTTCTGGATGGCTATACATCACCCAAGAATCACATTTTGAATCAAGCATCCATGGAACATTTACTTTGTAAGCTAGGTCACAAACAAATCTCAATAAATTTCAATGAGTTGGAATCAGAGTATGTTTTCTGACTGCAATAAAATCAAGCTAGACATTTATAAGAAAAATGTAATAGAAATCCTACATATTTGAAAAGTTATAAAAATCAGTTGTCAAAAAAGAAATTATAAAATTTAGAATAAATTTTATACTGAATGATAATAGAAATACAAGACATTAAAACTTGTGGAATGCAAGTGAAGCAGTATTTAGAGGAAAGTTATAACCATAAAATGTATTTTAAAAAAGAAGAATGAGAATTCATCACCCAAGCATGATCTCAAATAAACAGAAAAAGAATAGCAAATTAAAACCAAAGAAATAGTAAAGCAAGCCTTCATGAAACAGGAAACAGAGAACATCAAGAAAGCTAAAAGTTGTTTCTTTGAAGACATTAGACAAACTTCTGGTGAGACTGAGTAAAAAAAGAAAAAGAAAAGAAGCAGCACAAACAAATGGTATCATGAAAGAAAAAGGAGGCATCAGTGTAGATCCTGCAGTCATTAAAGAAAGAAACAAGATTCATGAATTACTTAAGGTCAATAAATATAAAAATTTAGAAAAAAATGAACAAATCTCTTCACCAAATTACAACATACCAAAATGAACACAAGAAGAAATAGAAAAATGAAATAGTCCTATAACAATTCATAACTGAGAGAGGCAATTTAAATCTTTTCCATTAAAAACAAAAAACAAAACCTCTAGGTCCAGATGGGTTTACTGGTAAGAACTACCAAATATTTAAAGAAGAAATAACATCAATCTTATACAAATTCTTCCTGAGAATATGAAGCTGGTATATTTTGATACAAAATCCTAATAAACACATTATAAAAGAAAGGAAAATTACAGTGTGTAATTGTCATTCATGAATATAGATGCAAAATTATAAATGAAGTGTTAGCAAACTTATTCCAGTAATATATAAAAAGGATAACATAATTATCAGGCTGGTTTTATTTGACATCGCAGAGTTTGGTTTAATATTAGAAAATCAACCAATGTAATTCATCACAGTAACAGATTAAAAGAGAGAAATAATATGACCATCCCAATAGATGTCAAAAAAGCATTGAATAAAATTTGACTCCCACTCATGATTTATAAAAATCTTATCAAAAAAGGAATAGAGAGGAACTCTATGAATCTGATGAAAGTAGATACACATCCCCAAAGCAAACCTTATACTTATTGATAAAACATTGAAAGTTTTTCTTTTGAAATCAGGAACAAAACAAGGATGCATACTATTGTCACTTCTTTTCAAATTGTACTGTGGCCTAGCCAGTGTTGTAGGCAAGAAAAAGAAACAAATGGTATAAGAACTGGGAAGGAAGAAATGAAATTATTGTCACTCACAAATTTTATATGATTGTATGTATACAAAATCCAAGAGAATCTACAGAAAAATTATTAGTATTAATATGAGAGTTTAGCAAGTTTGCTAAATCCAAAGCCAACATATAAAAATTAATTGAATTTCTATGTATATGCATCCAACAATTTTGCTGTTTTTTTTTTTTGAGGAGTCTCGCTCTGTCGCCCAGGCTGGAGTGCATTGGTGTGATCTCGGCTCACTGCAGTCTCCGCGATTCTCCTGCCTCAGCCTCCTAACTAGCTGGGACTACAGGCGCATGCCACTACGCCCAGCTAATTTTTGTATTTTTAGTAAAGATGGGGTTCACTATGTTGGCGAGGATGGTCTTGGTCTCCTGACCTCATGATCCACCTGCCTCTGCCTTTCAATGTGCTGGGATTACAGGTGTGAGCCACCACGCCCGCCCTCATCCAAACAATTTAAAACATGAACTTGTCCAGGCGCTGTAACTCATGCCTGTAATTCCAGCACTTTAGGAGGCTGAGGCGGGTGGATCACCGGAGGTCAGGAGTTTGAGACCAGCCTGACCAACATGGTGAAATCCCATCTCTAATAAAAATACAAAAGTAGCAGGGCATGGAAGCCGGCACCTGTAATCCCAGCTACTGGGGAGGCTGAGGCAGGAGGATTGCTTGAACCCAGGAGGCAGAGGTTGCAGTGAGCCAAGACTGTGCCATTGCACTCCAGCCTGGGCAACAAGAGTGAAACTCCATCTCTAAATAAATAAATAAATAAATGGGAACTTTTTTCCATCTAAAAATAGTGAATAACTAGAAATAAAATTTAAAATAAATATTTGAGATCTCTATGCAGAATGTCTTAAATCATATCAAATGTATATGTATATGAAAAAGAAACCTATTTTAATATGGAAGTTTTGCTTAAAATCAATCTACGTAGACCAAGAGCCTTTATTAATAACCTAGAAAGATTAATCTGGTATTAGTTCTGATTAGGTTTAGGGTTAGGGTTAATATGGTGGGGTCTATTATCATGGGTGTGAATGCACTCACTAGAGCACAGGCATACGCATGTTCATCTGAACAAACACACACACATGCACGCGTACGCACGTGCACACACACACACTATATTCCCCAAACATTGTAAAGAAAAACAGAAAGTTTTGATTGCATGAGCAACTCTTTCTTTGCACTTTAGATTTTCATACGCTTTTCATATCTGATTTTCATGGGTGATTTCCATGGATGATTTTCATGTCTGAATCTCATTTACTTCTTATGTTGTTAAGCTTTCCTCTCCCTTTCCTCTTTACCTAGACCCAGAGATGCTCCCAGTATGTTAGAGCACATTATTTAAATTTAGATTTAATGATACTGACTTCCATTAATGCTTTTATTTGTTGTCTTAAAACTCATCCTTGAGTCTACAGCAAAGACTTGCCCTGTGGCAGCTTGGTGCACTGTTAAGAGTTAGGAACTAATAGCTTGAACAAGGACTGAGTTAGAAATTTGTGTCTGCCACTTACTGACTACTTGTATGGCATTGTGAAAATTTCTTCACCTCTCTGGCCAATGTTTCTACATCTGTAAAATAGAAATAATACCTCCCATTCCTACCTCCAGGGCTATTATGAAGATCTAGGTTGATCAACTGCTGTATAACTTCTAGCTAACTGTAGCTAACACTTCCATACCAATTCTTTCCAATTTTCTGTTAAAATGAACAGACCTCAGATTTGTATGTTCCTGCCTAAAGCAGCAAGCATGGATGCAATGGCGGCGGCAGCCCTTTTGTGACCAGACATGAGAGAAAGGCCCAGAGAGTCACAGAGACCTTGCATCCATCTGCTTGTTTAGGTCTCTGGTCCAGCTCAGGGTCACCAACCTTCACACTTCTTGTTTGGTGACAGAAAAAGCCCAGATCTTTAAGCCACTGTTACCTGTGTTTTCTATATCTGCAAGTAAATTCAATTCTTAACTAATACACCAAGCTCTAATGAACTTGTATGATGTGCCTGACACTACACTAAATACCTGATGTATGTTGTGCTCTTTGATACCCCAGAACAGCTCTCCTACAGGACACTGAGGTGCAGAGAGATTAAGCAATTTACTCAAGGTCACATGGCTCTACCGATACCTGTCACATACTCATGGAGGCCTCAACAATTGATTCAGTTATTTAATTATTGTCAGAAAGATGACACAAGATCACACTCTAAACCAAAATACTTTTGTGACCAACATCAGCCAATATTCTATAGCGCTGATCACATCATTGAGTTACCTAGGGTCCATGTTGCAACCACTCTGTCTTAGAGCAGTCATCAGGAAGTTGAACTTTCTAAAATTAGACTTCTTTTATATTTATTTATTTTTTTTTTTTTGAGACAGTCTCATTCTGTCACTCAGGCTGGAGTGCAGTGGTGCAATCTTGGCTCACTGCAACCTCCGTTTCCCAGGTTCAAGCAATTTTTGTGTCTCAACCTCCTGAATAGCTGGAATTACAGGCATGCGCCACCACCATGCCCAGCTAATTTTTGTATTTTTAGTAGAGATGGGGTTTCACCATGTTGGCCAGGCTCGTCTTGAACTCCTGACCTCAAGCAATCCACCTTCCTCCACCTCCCAAAGTGCTGGGATTACAGGCGTGAACCACCACACCTGGCCTAAAATCAGACATTTTTATGTATAGATTTTTTTTCTTAATGACTGCAGTTGGTAAATCCAGGTTTTGCAAATGTTCTCATGTAAATAATTGTGGATATGATCTATAACAGAACTTTGTGACTTAGATCATCAGTTTTTCTAGGTTTCTTGAAGTGGACCCAAAACAGTTTGAGTAACATCTTGGCCCTGCCTATAAAGATTCTCTGTGAGGACATGATAATAAAAAAGAATAACGACTAAACACTGAGTGCTAACTATGTGCTAGGCATGCTTCTAATCACTTTACACGCATTCACTCATTCTAACCTCACAACCCTATGGCAGGTAATGTAATTATCACCATTTTTCAGGTGAGAAAATCAAAGCCAAGAAATGTTAAGTTGCTTGTCCCAGACTTCTTAATCACTATAAAATGGAAGAAAAAGAATTTGAACCCTGAAAGGCTGGCTTCAGGAATATGTCCTGTCTAACTTTTAAAATGGACTGTTCGTTGATTATCAAACATATGCTCAATCTCTCTTTTTTTTTTTTTTTTTTTTTGAGGTGGAGTTTTGCTCTTGTTGTCCAGCTGGAGTGCAATGGCGCGATCTCAGCTCACTGCAACCTCTGCCTCCTGGGTTCAAGTGATTCTCCTGCCTTACCCTCCTGAGTAGCTGGGATTACAGGCACCCGCCACCACGCCTGGCTAATTTTTGCATTTTTAGTAGATGGGGTTTCACCATGTTGACCAGGCTGGTCTCAAACTCCTGACCTCAGGTGATCCACCCGCCTCAGCCTCCCAAAGTGCTGGGATTAGAGGCATGAGCCACCGCGCCCGACCTCAGTCTCTCAATTGGTAAGACAGAGTGTCTATACTTCAGAATCTTGTCAGGAAATTCTCCCTGCATGTTTTAAAGTGTGATGTCAAGATACAATCATCATTGACAATTTTCTGAAGAATAGGAAGTGTATCCATATCCTTGACTCAAGCCAGTTTCATTGTTTGGGACTACAGTGTCTTAGTTCCCTTTGGAACTAAGCTTTTGTTTAGCTTTTAATATTTAATTCAAACATCAACTTTCCTTCCTGGATTGCACCCTTCTCCCACCACCGGATCCCTAGGTTCGGGGGGTGTCTACCCCAACACACTCCCATTGTTTGTCTGTGGGAAGAGCTCCCCAAGGGCAATGGCTGCCCCGACTTATTTGTCTGTATCGCCAGCTCCTAAGCAAGGGCTCAGTAAATGGCCATGGAAGTCAGGAAGAAAGAAGAAAGGAGAGAGGGAAGGAAGTTAGGAAAGAGAAAAATTTAAGAATGAAAAAACAGAAAGAGATGGAAAGAAGGAAAGAAGGGAGGAAGGGAGAGAAAGAAAGAGAAAGGAAGAGAGGGAGGGCGGGAGGGAGGAGGACAGGGAAGGAAAGAGAAAGAATGAAAAAGGGAGAGAGAAAGAAAAAAGGGAGAGAGGGAGGGAGGAAGGAAGGAAGGAAGGAAGGAAGGAAGGAAGGAAGGAAGGAAGGAAGGAAGGAGAGAATCTATTAACTTAGAGAATGGCTTCATCACAATGGTCTGTATGGGTAAATATTGCCCATGGTTTTCAGATCATCTCATACGCCTGGATGTAGGAGACACTCTCCCCTCCCACACACATTCTGATTAAATTTTTGGTTTATAGAGCAAAGAATTCAGAAACTTATATTAAAGATGAAGATCTTAAGAAGATGAGATTCCCCTCCGTGCCCTTCTGTGCACACACAGAGATCCAAAGCCTTTTCCATAGCTGCCTGACAGGTTTCACTGCTGCCCCGAAGAAGTCCTTGAGACTTGCAGCAGGAGAAGGATCTCTGTATAATCTTTGTTTGCCTAATAATAGGTCTTTAAGGGTTTTTAAAAATTGGTTTCCTTTGGGGATCATTTAAATTTCCCATTTCCTTGTAAATATTTTTGGTAAAAACATCCTCTTGGATTTCAGAGGAAGTTAAAATAGAAAAAGCTTGAAAGCATTCACAAAGCAATGTGCTCTCAAAACACAGCCATTCATTTGAAGTTGTCTTTTAGTCTGAATCCAAATCCTCCAGTCAATACAAACCATAATATGCTGCTCGGTCTCTGTGGATCCATTCTGCCTCAAGCTATGAGCTTCAAAATTCTCAAAGAGTTGGACTTCAATGCTGTTTCTTATATTTTATAATACTATTTAATCTGCCTGAAGGTGTAGGATGTAATGTCATGATACTGTACAAACTTCTGGGCTACTGGCCAACCGATACAGATGAGAAATATTCTATTACTATGAAGCTGGAGTTCCTTCCTACTATTTCATTTGTATACATTTGTATTCATAGCAATTATTTACTTAAATATTTTAGCACATGTAATTTTGAAATTATAAAGGACATCTTTTTTTTTTTTCTTTTTTTCTTGGAGACAGAGTCTTGCTCAATCACCCAGGCTGGAGTGCAGTGGTATAATCTCAGCTCACTGCAACCTCCGCCTCTGGGGTTCAATCAATTCTCCTGCCTCAGCCTCCTGAGTAGCTGGGATTACAGGCATGCTCCATCACGCCCAGCTCATTTTTGTATTTTTAGTAGAGATGGGGTTTCACCATGTTGGCCAGGCTGGTCTCAAACTGCTGACCTCAAGTGATCTACCTGCCTGTCAGTTTGGAGCCAAGTAGGCAGAAGGTCAGCAGAGGACTAGAAAGAAACTCTCTGTTCCCAAACCAGTCAAGCGCCTTCCTCTGGGCTCGCGTTCTACAAGCCATCATCAAGCAAACCAAGCTGGAACTATGTCAGCCGCCTCCCCCATGCATCTAATCAAGAGGTAGTTAGCTGTATGATGGCACAGAGAGAAGGTGAGCTCTGAGGTGAATCCAAGACTTTTCAGTGACCACAGTTTCTCTTGGTTAGGGCCCCTGACTCAGAGCCTCACTTCATACAGTGGGGAAGGACCTGTAGGAAAGACTTACATTCATGCCACAAAAGGCAGTCCATTCTGTTCTTGAGTGTAACATCTTTCTGTCTTAAAAATAATAGTAATTAAGGCCAACGCAGGCAGATCATTTGAGGTCAGGAATTCAAGACCAGCCTGGCCAACATGGCAAAACCCCGTCTCTACTAAAAATACAAAAAATTAGCCGGGCATGGTGGTGCACGCATGTAATTTCAGCTGCTCAGGAGTCTGAGGCATGAGAATCGCTTGAACCCAGGAAGTGGAGGTTGCAGTGAGCTGAGATCGTACCACTGCATTCCATCGTGGGTGAGAGAATGAGACTCTGTCTCAAAAAACAACAACAACAACAACAACAACAACAACAAACGTAATTAGCCAGGTGCAGTGGGTTGAGTGCCTCTAGTCCCAGCTCCTCAGGAGGCTAAGATAGGAGGATTGCTTGAGCCCAGCAGTTCAAGGCTATAGTGTGCTATGATCAAGTCTGTGAATAGTCACTGTACTCCAGGTTGGTCAACATAGCAAGACCCCATCTAATAATGATTGCAAGTTGCAGCCAAGTCTCCTGCAAGTTCACCTTCCATAGTGTATCTCAAATCTGTCTCCTCTTTACCATCTTCAGCGCCATCTCCATGCAAGTCTGCGGGACATCATCTCACAACTGAGATACTGCAATGGCTTCCATGCTTGCCCTTGTCACCTTAAAATTCATCTCCTACTTGGTAACCAGAGTGAGCCTCTTAACTTATAAAGCAAATCATGTCACACACACCCCTACCTGCTTCAACCCCTTAAAGGGCTTTCCATTTCTCTTAACTAAACACCTAAATGCATGACCTTGACCCACAAAGCCCCATGTTCCCTGATCCAGACCTCATCTGGCTTTCATCCCCATCATCGGCTACTCTCACCTGCTGACAAGTGCTAGAAGACCCTTGAGGCTACCTGCCTTAATGACTTTGCACTTAGGGATCCTTTTGTCTGAAACACTTTTACTCCTCTCTTCTCAAACCTTGGGGTCTGTTTAAATATTATCTCCATAGAAAGGGTATCACCCACCCTCTACATAAAAGGTAGCCCAATTCCTCTACCCACCATTATTGGTTGTTTGCTGGTAAACATTTAGCAACTGGCTCCTGAGGGTGGGGTGGGTGGGGTAGGTGGGGGAATCCCTGATTGTTAACGTTTGCTTATTTCTGTGGTGTAAATTCTCCTACCACAGCTAATTTCTAGCTATCAGTCTGAAGTCAATAGGCTGGAAGGTTTTTTCTCTTTCCTTTTTTCTTTTCTGAGACAGGGTCTTCCTCTGTCACCCAGGCTGGAGTGCAGTGGTGTAATCACAGCTCACTGTAACCTCCACCTCCCAGGCTCAAGCCATCCTCCTGCGTCAGCCTCCAGAAGTAGCTGGGATTACAGGCATGCACCACCATGCCTGGCTAATTTTTTAATTTTTTGTAAAGATGAGGTTTCTCTGTGTTGCCCAGGCTGGTCTTGAATTCCTGAGCTTAAGCCATCCTCCCGTCTTGGCCTCCTAAATTGCTGGGATTATAGGCATGAGCCACCATGCCTGGTAATAGGCTGGAAGAGTTCTGAAGCATAACAATCAGTTATTGAGAGCTGATGCAAGCTGGCTCCAGCTCTTCACTGCATGATTGTCTATCATATAGCACTGCTTATTTCCTTTAAGGCACCCATGAAAAGCTGTCAGATTATATATTTGTTTCTACACTTGTTTTTGTGTTTATCTCTATAGACACAGATTTTATAGACAGAGATTACAGTGAAAATTCCATGAGAAAAGGTCTATCTCAACCCTAGTCCAATGCTTATCAATGTAGAATATATCCAATATGTATCTATGAATGAATGATAAGAGCTCATTCTGTATACATGAGTCTTCCCTTTTACAGCCTTTTCATTTTCTCAGTTTCTCTAAGTTTAAAAAAATAATTTTTTATTTCAGGGGAAAATGCTCTATTTTACTGCTTTTAACACCTAGAAGCCAAGAAGGAGAGAGGATGTTGAGCAAGAAGGGTGTGAAAGAAGAAAGGGCTGGAAGCGTTTGTTAGAGGGGTGTCATACAATATGACATGGAAGGAATTTATAGTTTAAACCCCTCTAGTGAGATGATTTTTAGTCATTATGTTAATTGGAAAATAAGTTTATCTTTAGCATAGAACACATTCTGCCCCTTGTTATGTAAACTATAAAATTTCTTCTTCATCACAGTGCCTCCTGCCCAGCACAGTGCCTGCCAGACAGGGGATATGTAAATAGTAAATAATAAATAATGCTCTTGACTATGGATTCTAAGGGCCATTCTACAATGGTAGGAAAGTTCCAAATTCAAGCTAATAAAACATTTATTGGACTGGGCATGTTGGCTCATGCCTGTAATCCTAGCACTTTGTGAGGCAGAAGTGGGAGGATCGCTTAAGCCCAGGAGATCAAGACCAACCTGGGCAGCAATATAGTAAGACTCTGTGCTCCACAAAAA
Source organism: Homo sapiens (assembly GCF_000001405.40). Taxonomy (NCBI): domain Eukaryota; kingdom Metazoa; phylum Chordata; class Mammalia; order Primates; family Hominidae; genus Homo; species Homo sapiens. The sequence goes on along the minus strand of NC_000013.11, from coordinate 95,513,051 downwards.
ACTTAAAAATTAGCTGGGTGTGGTGGCATGCTCCTGTGGTCCCAGCTACTCAGGAGGCTGAGGTGGGAGGATCACTTGTGCCCAGCAGGTTGAGGCTGCAGTGAGTCAAGATTGTGCCACTGGACTCCAGCCCGGGCAACAGAGAGAGACCCTGTCTCAAAATAAATAAATAAAAATAAAATAAAACTCTTACTGTGTGCCAGGTATTGGTGAAAACAAAAGTCAAAACCTGGCACTTTCTGTGGGTGAAAAGCTGATTTTTCCCTAATCAGGTTCAGTCTATTTTCCTAAGGAAGCCTATAGGGTTGTAAGCCTGGACACACAAGTGCAGTGCTCTAGCCTGATTGAAAGCATGGCCAGCGTGGTGGAGGTGGCAGAGAGGAGACAGTACCAGGTGACTGGGGGACATGGCACAGGGCTGCAGCTGATACTGCTCTGGGCCCCTGGGAAATTCCCAGGACAGCATCCTGTGTGGCACAAACTAAGATACAGTCCTTGGGTGAAATCATCTCCCTCAAGGGAAGTTAAAACACTCGCTATCCCCCTATTCTCCAATCTCTCCCTTCCTAGACTTGTTGGCAAAACACATTGCTCACATTTACATCGAAAACAGATACACAAACCCAAAACAAACAAACCAAAAACAACAAAAAAGGAGAGAGAATCTTTATCTAAGATGACTTTTCTTAGTTATATCATTGGTCCTAGCCTTGTTGGTCAAACACATTGCTCATATTAACATCAAAAACAGATATACAAACAGAACACAAACAAACAAAAACCAAAAAAAAAGGAGAGACGATCTTTGTCTGAGATGACTTTTCCTAGATCTATCATTGGTCTTAGCCTTGTTGGTCAAACACATTGCTCATATTAACATCAAAAACAGATATACAAACAGAACACAAACAAACAAAAACCAAAAAAAAAGGAGAGACGATCTTTGTCTGAGATGACTTTTCCTAGTTATATCATTGGTCTTAGCCTTGTTGGTCAAACACATTGCTCATATTAACATCAAAAACTCTGGGGACTGTTGTGGGGTGGGGGGAGAGGGGGGGGATAGCATTAGGAGATATACCTAATGTTAAATGATGAGTTAATGGGTGCAGCACACCAACATGGCACATGTATACAAATGTAACTAACCTGCACATTGTGCACATGTACCCTAAAACTTAAAGTACAATAATAATAATAATAAAAAGAGAAAAAAAGTCAGAAAAAAAAGATATACAAACAGAACACAAACAAACAAAAACCAAAAAAAAAAAAAAAAAAAAAGGAGAGAGAATCTTTGCCTAAGATGACTTTTCCTAGTTCTATCATTGGTCTTAGCCTTGTTGGTCAAACACATTGCTCATATTAACATCAAAAACAGATATACAAACAGAACACAAACAAACAAAAACCAAAAAAAAAAAGGAGAGAGAATCTTTGTCTAAGATGACTTTTCCTACTTTTATCATTGGCCTAGGTCTGAAACACCAAAGGAGAAGCTTCCTCTCCTCTTCTTTCTCTCACCTCTGCCTACTGCAGAAAACTCTTTCACAAAGAAACACTTTTGTATGAAACCAGTTTCCTTCACATCACTCAAGTTTCTCAACACTTGTTCTGTTAATAAACAAACATAGGTTTGAAAGTCTTCCTTGTTTTAGGACTTTCAAACCTATGTTTGTTTACTAACAGAACAAGGATTTAGGGTTTTTTTCTCTTTCCTTTTTTGTTCTCTGCCATTCTATCATAGGTTTTGCTTTTTCACCTAAAGAAAATCCCACAATGGCTTGGATAAATGATACTAATCTGTATTTACAGTATCTCACTTTACTCCTTGCTATTTTGAGTTCTTACAGTTGACTGACTTTCAGATGTATGAAAAAATTGGACCAAGTTCTTGAAAAACTGGTTGTCAAATCCTAATTCTGTAGATGTTCCAAGAATTCTTGAGCTTTAAAAAATGATCCCTGTCATGAAATGTTTTATTTTCTAGAAAATTCTTATGCCTGACAAATACATCATATTCATAGAGTACTTTTATATTAGATTTCAGGAGCTTTACATTTTTTTGGCTGACAGAGCGTTTCCAACACCCTGAACATTTTCTTAGTACCTTTGTTTTATACTTGGAGGACTGAGGCCTGAATAACTTGTCTCACATAGCAAGGTAGTCAGTAATGGAGTAAGTTTCCAACTGGTTTATTGTAGACTTACTGGTTCATTGGAGACTCACTCCAACAAATTTTCACTTAATTTCCTAGCAATATAATTTATGAATTATCAATATTAAAATATTTCTTTATTGTGCAAAGACATTTTATGTGCTTCCAAGAATTGTTTTCATAGTGTATAAAAGAGAATATACATATTTTATATAATTATGTATACATATTATATGTATATACTTAAGCCATAAAAACAATTCAAACATGAAGGTATAGAAAAGATTATGGTAAGGCAAATGAGCAAAGGCTTAATAAATAAGCAAGTAATCAAATGTTCAAAAATCAATGCTATGTAAAGATAAGATCTTTACCCTTAAAACATTTACCATTAACCCGGGAAAACAGAAAACAAACAGTCTCTAATTGATGCCAGCACAAAGAACTAGAGTCCTTGTGCAAAATACAAAGACCTTCTGGAAATGGCAAAGGAAGGAATGAATTCATAAACTTTAAAGTGTGCTCAGAGGGGTCAGGACAAGCACAGGCTTCTCAAAGGAGGTGAGTGCTCTTTAGGTGGGAAGATGGTGACCACGTGGATTGAGGGAGAATTGCAAGATTGGCCTAAGCAAAACTCAAAGGCAGAAATGTCCAGATTTTCTCCCTTGTCAAGTGTTCTTCACTGGAAGCCAGACTCTCGCTATCATTCCAGGGTGTCCCTCTGGGGAAAGGGAAGGAACACCACCACATTAAATGTGACTCATCTCAGTCTCAGAAGCTGTGGTGTGCTGGAACTTGCTTGCAAAAGCTCAAGAGAGCTTTCCCGTTGCAATTTGGGGAAGTGAATGACAACACATTGGTAGTTTTGGTAGTTTAGAATCAGCCAAGTTGGGAGTATTTACACCACAGAAAATGACAAATGCTACAAATCAGCTCCCCATGCCTATCCTACCCACCACCTTTTAAATGTTTACCAGCACACCTGGAAGCTGTGCATTTTACAGTCAGGGTGCTATTGTGGCAGCTGTGTGAGAGGAAGAGAAAGGAGATCTCTGGGAGTGGGGCAGAAGAAACAAGTAAGGAGTCGGAGGTAGAGACAAAGACGATGGTGGCAGGAAACCACCAATGACCATCAAGAAGAGCGAGTGAGTCACCTAGGAATTCATGGGAAAGAGATGAGTCCAGAGGGGACTGGAATCACCGTAGGGAAAAGCAGAGTTGCTTAGTGCTCTTACTATATGAGTGCTGACTTAAGATGTTAAAAATCTGCTTATATTCGGTCTGACACCTAACATTTTTATGAAGCTAAAATTATTGTTGCTTTGCTATGTCACCCAGTCACTTGTTTCTGTTCACTGGAGCAGATCCAAAACAATTCTTTAATGAATTTTCGCACTGCCTGCAGGTACTGCTGCCACTCACCTCTGAATTAAGGAATTTCAGGGGTGATCTCATTATGCTCAATTTTCCTCGATGTCAGACCTGACCCCCAGCCAATTTCCTGTTAAAGTGCATAGGTCCATCTTTATGGCCACAGGGAGGGGCTGGTCTTCATACACTTGCCATTGTAAACAGACCTAGCAGTCCAATACCATATTCACAGTCTCTTATTCCAAAACTTGCCTTTTCTCCTACATTACAAACCTTAGTTATTGTCTAAGTAGTTATCCAAAACAGAAACTTGGGAGTCATCTCTAGTTTCTCTATCTCTTTCATCTCCCATGTCTGACCAGTCAGCTTAATATCTTTAGTATCTGTTCCCAACTGCTTCTGTTACTGCCTTACATCAAGTTCTCATCCCTTTTTCCTTGAGTTCCACAAAAACTGCCTAATCATCTAGGCAGTGGACATCTTCAGCCTCACCATCCTCCAGTCTCTGCCCCATATTAGACTCACATGGATAAAGCACACAGCTGATCATGTCAAACCAACAGGGGTTTCCTCAAAGTTTTCTAGAATTTTCAGATAAAGTTCAGACTCTTCTTGTCAACCCACAAGGCCTTATGAAACAACGCTCATCTAGTTCCTCAGTCCCATTGCTCATGAATCCTCCATAGCCACCAGCTCTTTGTGCTTCAGCCTGGAACCCACCAGACTACCCGGCTCCTCCAACTACTTCATTACTTACCTAATTCCTACTCATCCTTCAGGATTCAGTTAACAATCACCTCGAAAAGGAAGTCTCCCATGATGTCCAGAATGATCCAGATATCGCTCCCTCTTCCCCTCACTCCTCTCTGCTTCTATGGTGACTGTATCCATTTCAATCCCAGTTCTGGTCATACAGTTGGGCGGTTGTCCGCCTTCCTTACCTCATGGCAAGAACCATGTCCTCTTTGACCTTGTGTCCCTTTTTACTAGCACTTAATTGATGCTTGATGTATGTTTGGACAATGGTTTGTCCTGGACTTGATTTTCCCTGTAGCTGGGATAGTTAGCTTGAGAATACAGGGGTACATATGATACAGAAAATAATGCAAAGCAGGGAGTAATATGTACTTGGCCGTATTCTGTGACTCTAAAATGTAAGAGCATGAAAGACAAAGATGAAACATTCTTAGACAGGTGGCCTTATCAACACTAATGCAGAGAAGAGGAGTCAGGAAGAGGCTGCTGGACCTGGCCACAAGAATGTTAATGGTGACCTTATATTAGGTAGTTTTAGGGAATGCAATGAATGGCATAGAAGGATAGGGTGTGGGAGAGGAAGCTAATGAATATATGTTAGTTCAGGGTGTGCCAGATGCTTTACATACATAATTTTATGTCATCTTTATTTTTTATTTATTTTATTTATTTATTTTTAAGACAGGGTCATGCTCTGTCACCCAGGCTGGAGTGCAGTGGTACAATCATGGCTCACTGCAGCCTCCACCTCCTGGGCTCAAGTGATCCTTTCACCTCAGCCTCCCTAGTAGCTGGGACCACCGGCATACGACACCACATCTGGCTATTTAAAAAAAGTTTTTTGGCCAGGCTTGGTGGCTCACACCTGTAATCCCAGCACTTTGGGAGGCCGAGGCAGGTGGATCACTTGAGGTTGGGAGTTCAAGACCACTCTAACCAACATGGAGAAACCTCATCTTTACTAAAAGTACAAAATTAGCCAGGCGTGGTGGTGCATGCCTGTAATCCCAGCTACTCAGGAGGCTGAGGCAGGAGAATCGCTTGAACCCAGGAGGCAGAGGTTGTGGTTAACCAAGATTGCACCATTGCACTCCAGGCTGGGCAACAAGAGCAGAACTCTGTCTCAAAAAAAAAAAAATTTTTTTTTTTGCAGGTGTCACTATGTTGCCCAGGGGCGTCTTGAACTCCTGGGCTTAAGTGATCCTCCTGACTCAGCCTCCCAAGGTGCTGGGATTACATAGGAGTGAAACACCGCACCTGACCCCACATCGTCTTTATAATCACTCTAGGAAATAGGTTTATGTCCTTCAGAATAAAAACAAAAAATAATTACCAACAAAGGAGTTGAAACTCAGAGGTTCAAATAACATACATGAAGTCATGCCTTCTTAGTGGGTGATGTGGGATTCAAACCCTGGTTTATTACTTCACAAGACCACATGCTTCTCATTATACCATATTCTTTATAGATGTAGAAGGAGACATCAGAATAAAGCTGGTAGAATTTACCCGAGCCTTAACCCTACTCTTCCCCCAACTCAAAAATGTTTATCTGTTGAAGATGGTAGGAAATTAGGATAATAGCCAAAATTCACAAATCGATCAAAGGAATATTTTTTTCTCAAAGGAGAAACTTGGATGTTTTCAAAGGCAAGTATATCTTTCTATATTTATTCTTAATTTCCATGAAAAGTTGTGCTGATTGGGATAATTTTAACACTATGTTGAGACTTTGTAAGTCCATGTGACAGGATGGTATCATCCAAGGACCACAGTGAGAAAACAAGGATCTAAATACCCAGGGTTCTATGTTCAGCCCGGCCCCAATTCCTCGTGGCCTGCTGAGAAACTCTATTTTGGGAGCTTTACTGCCCCCAAACCCCTCCCCCATGCATCGGTGTGAGTGCTGAACTGGGCAAAAGAAGGTAGGTCACTTTTAGGAGTTTGTGGGGTGGCAACCCTCCTCTTCCCTCCCCTTCCTTTTGAGGAGAAAGAGAATTTTAGTCTTCTCAGAAGGCTGATGGACCCTAGACTACAACTCTCACCAAGTTGGATAAAATAGTAAAGAAATCAGACAGTGTTGATGGAGAGACCAAACCATACTTGGTTCACCAACTGTTGTCCTGACTGACAGGAACGGGTCCACCTTGAGCAGAGAAGGGCCACCATCAGTGAGGGCCTGAGGCTTGAATCTCTGGGGTTTGCAGACACCAGGTGGGTCTGAGGTGGCAGAACTTCTCCCAGAGGGAGGCAGAGGGGAGTCTCTTGAGAAGAGAGGCAGTAGAGGGCATGAAAAAGATCAGAAGGAGAGATAAACATCCATGGAGATACCTTTCCTTTTGGATGCCTGCGTCTTCAAGGGCGGAATTACACATTTGTTCTTCCTGCACTGACTGGCTGTTCTTTTGAGATCTGCCTGACTGTCCTTAAGAAAACTCCATCATAGTTCAGTGTCTGTTTGGAAAGAGAAGGCTGCTGTAGCAGAAGGGACTCATGGGAAGGGATGGAAATTAAATTTCAGCTGTTTGGCAGGGCTCTCGTGTAGACAGGGCTGATGAGAACATCTCTCCACCAGTCCATCCCATGTGACACACACACACAGGCACACACACACACTAGCATCAGCAGCTGCAGACATTCCTAAGGTGGGGCATTAAGCAGTGAGGTTGAATTCCCTAACCCTACCCTATCAAGGATTAATTAGTTCTCCTTTGAAGACAGAAAGGAGCCAGGCGCAATGGCTCACGCCTGTAATCCCAGCACTTTGGGAGGTCGAGGCAGGTGGATCACCAGAGGTCAGGAGTTCAAGACCAGCCTGGCCAACCTGGTGAAACCCCATCTCAACTAGCTGGGCGTGGTGGCAGGCACCTGTAATCCCAGATACTTGGGAGGCTGAGGCAAGAGAATCACTGGAACCTGGGAGGCAGAGGTTGCAGTGAGCCGAGATTGCACCATTGCACTCCAGCCTGGACGACAGAGCGAGACTCCGTCTCAAAAAAAAAAAAAAAAAAAAAAAGAAAGGGAAGGGTCTTGGCACAAGCCAAATTACAAATGTGTCTATTTTATGTTTATTCAAGCATTAGCCCTCACTTTGTAAACATCTGCTTTGCCCACTGCCTCCTTAGTTCATTTTACCTGTTATGGCAGTGATTCGACAGAGATGAGAGCTTTGAGTTGTATTTGCTTCACTGTCTGCCAACAACCACCCTGGAGCCAAAAATACCCTTCAGATAAGGCACAAAGGGACTTGGCCTGGGCTGAAACCAAAATCAACTTCCAAAGACCATAGTCCTTATACGAATGAGAGCTCAGAGCTGTGCACTGAAGAAAGTGAGTCAGCCAACGACTTCAAGTCCCCATGTGCCCATTGTAAGACATCCCTGGAATGTGGCTCTCTGCATTTGAGCAATGGGTAAACAATGGGGCTGCAACAATACCTGCCTTTAAAAATGAGTGGGTTCTGCTAAATTTCCAGAGAGAGAGAACCAGATCTGATTTTATATTTTTAGTTAGGAAATTCCTTGTTTTCTCCCTGTGGACGCTCAGAACCTGATACCATCCTATCACATGGACTTGCAGTCTCAACATAGTGTTAGAATTATCCCAAGGAACACACCTTTTCATGGGAATTAAGAATGAATACAGAAAGATGTATTTGCCTTTGAAAACACCAAAGTTTCTCTACTGGCAAAAAATATTCCTTTGATCCATTTGTGAATTTTGGCTATTACCCTAATTCCCTGCCACCTTCAATAGTTAAACGTTCTTGAGTTGGGGGAAGAGCAGGGTTAAAGCTCAAGGTAAATTTCACCACCTTTAATCTGACGTCTCCTTCTACTTCTTGAAATTAGTGAGAATTTCCAGTGTAATAATCAACAGTGACTTACGCAGATAATCAAAATGAATGCTTTTTAAAAATATGCAAAGCTGGCCAGTGTGATGGCTTATGCCTGTAATCCCAGCACTTTGGGAGGCTGAGGTGGGGGGATCACTTGAGCTCAGGAGTTTGAGACCATCCCGGGCAACATAGTGAGATCATATCCCTATAAAAAGGAAAAATAAAAATATTAAAAAATATTTTAAAATTGCCAGGCGTGGTGGCTCATGCTTGTAATCCCAGCACTTTGGGAGGCTGAGGCAGGCAGATCACCTGAGGTCAGGAGTTCTAGACCAGCCTGACCAACGTGGTGAAACCCTGTCTCTACTAAAAATATAAAAATTAGCTGGGCGTGGTGGCACATGCTTGTAATTCCAGCTACTCAGGAGGCTGAGGCAGGAGAATGGCTTGAACCTGGGAGGTGGAGGTTGTAGTGAGCTGAGATCAGGCCACTGCACTCCACCTGGGTGACAGAGTGAGACTCTGTCTCAAAAAAATAAAATAAAATAAAATAAAAAATTAAGGAATATGTAAATGTCATCTCATATTTTAGTAAATGTGATTAATGTTTCTTGCAGAGGACTTAATGTTTCTTGCAGAAGTAAAAAATGTAGGCAGACAGAAGAGAATATTCCTGTTTTCCTGTCCATAAATATGCCCATATATAGTCTTCTGTAACTTACACTATTCACCTCACTGTAGTCCTCTTTCTGGTTCAATTGTCATACTTCTTCAGTGATGATATTTGCTTGCTTGGCTGGCTTTATCGACAATCTCTACTTCAAACTCTTTTCAATGACCAAATCCAGGAAATATTTTAAGGTGTGCATTTTCCTGTAATTCCATGTAGTATCCATGACTACTCCTTTTCATTTCAATGTTTAAAATTCTGATAAAATACAGGTAACATAAAATTTATTATTGTAACCATTTTGAAGTGTACAGTTCAGTAGTGTTAAGTATATTCACATTTGTGCAACCAGTCCCCAGAACTCTTTTCAACTTGCAGAACTGAAACTCTGTACCATTAACAACAGCCCGCCATTTCTCCCTCCCCCTTCTCCCTAGCAGCCACCATTCTACTTTGTGCCACTATAATTTTGACTAAGTGCCTTATATAAGTAGAATTATACAGCATTTGTTTCTTTGTGACTGACTTATTTCATTTAGTATTACATCCTTAAGATTCATGTATGCTGTAGCTTGGGTCAGAACTTTCATCCCTTTTAAGGCTGAATAATATTCCATTGTAAGTATATAGGACATTTTGTTTATCCATTCATCCACCCACGGACACTTGGGTTTCTTCCATGTTTCAGTTTTTATAAACAGTGCTGCTATAAACATGGGTGTACAAATATCTCTTTGAGATCTTGCTTTCCATTCTTTTGAGTATTTAACCAGAAGCGGAATTTCTAGATCATACGGTAGTTTTATTTTTAATTTTTTGAGGAACCTATGGACAGCTCTTGATATAACATCCTTCCCTTTGGTTTTATATAAAAATGCATTCTTTTGAATATTGTACCTGTATTTTTATCAATACTTTTTAACCCTCAATATTAGCCACTTTCCATGGTTTAGTGTTTGACCCTCTAATGTTTTTTTCTTTACATTTTCTCCTTTGGTAAACACATTCACTCTTGTGGCTTTTATTAATATTATCACCTCTATGAAAATCTACATATTCACCTCTGGCTTCTGTCTTGAGATCAAAATATTTAGCTATATATTAAATATCTCCAATGGGCAAATATCCAAAATACAGGCCCAAGACAGACTCCATCTGTGAATCCATTTCTCTTCACCTACACAGGAAGCATTTGAGCAAATTTAACCCTACCACAAGATAGAGCCAACCAACAGTTAGAACAGTATGCTTGGGTGGCCACTGGGAACCTGTTGAGACTTTAAGTTTTACTCCTATCCCTTTCATTCATCCATACAAATGTGTCCATCAGAAGAGATAGATGCTCCAGAAACAGGACATCTTTGCTGAAGACCTTTTTACTGAGTGAGCATAATGCATCGGGAGAGTGCACATCCCCCTCACTTAAAACATGCTGCCGGTTGGGCAAAGTGGCTCATGCCTGTAGTCCCAGCACTTTGGGAGGCTGAGGCGGGCGGATCACTTGAGGTCAGGTGTTCAAGACCAGCCTGGCCAACATGGTGAGACCCTGTCTGTACTAAAAAATACAAAAATTAGCCAGGTGTGGTGGCGGGCTCCTGCAATCCCAGCTAGTCGGGAGGCTAAGGCAGGAGAATCGCATGAACCTGGGAGGTGGAGGTTACAGTGAGCTGAGATCATGCCACTGCACTCTAGCTTGGGTGAGAGAGTGGGACTCTGTCTCAAAAAACAAACACACAGAACAAAACAAAACACAACAACAAGAAAAAACATGCTCCCAAGCTGTTCCTCACCATAAACGTCCTGGCAACAGTTGAAGTGGGGAAAACTTTCTAGAGAAGGAGTGACTAGGCTGATTCACAGGTTTGTACAACCACTCCCTGAGGCTGCTCAGACATTTGAGAGGTGAGAAATCACAAGTAAGGCCAGACTTCCTATAATTAAGCAGGTGGGAGGACAAAAAAATTAAGATTCGAAGTGTTACTGCAATTATGATCTCATTTGTACTCCCAGACTGGTGATTTCTTTTCTAGATGAATTGTAGACTATATGCCCAAGTCAGGAAGCTTGGAGTTCAGCTAAACTTCTTTTTCTCACCTTTAAAATCTAACAAGCTTCCAAGTGAATCTATCCCTTTTAACATGTGCGGAAGTAAAATACTATAGCTTAAAGGATTGGGTGTGGGGGCTGGGGTGGTTATAAATGGAACACAACTATTGTAAAATTCTTATATTAGATGCTATGAATTCAAAGTAGACCCTGATAAGTTAAGGGTGTAAATTGTAATCCCTAGAACAACTATTTTAAAATGCCAAGAAGTATAGCTAAAAGATCAATAAAGGAGATAGAATGAAATATTAACAATTATTCAATAAACAGAGAAGATAGAAAAGAAGAACAAAAAGCAGCTGGAACAAATAGAAACCCCCCACCAGCAGGATGTAGACTTGAACCCAACTATATCAGTGATTACATTAAATGTAAATGGACCACCAAACATTTCAAATAAAGGCAGAGATTATTAGACTAGATTTTTTTAAAAGATAAAATAGGCAAGACCCAATTATAAGCTGTTTATAAAGAATGCACTTGCAATATAAAGAAACAGACAAGTTCAAAGTGAAATATGGAAAAAGATACCCATGCAAACACCAATCACAAGAAGGCTGGGGTAGCTGTATTGACTTCAGACAATGAAGACATCAAGACAAGAAGAATTACTAGAAATGATTAGAGTCATTTCATAATGATAAAAAGGTCAGTTTACAACAAGACCAAGAAAAGCTGGGCATGGTGGCACACACCTGTAGTCCCAGCTACTTGGGAGGCTGAGGCAGGAAGGTCTCTTGTGCCCAGGAGGTCAAAGCTGCAGTGAGCTACGACCGCACCACTGTACTCCAGCCTGAGAGACAGAGTGAGATCTCTATCTCTAAAAACAAAAAAAATGGGCTGGATGTGGTGGCTCACGCCTGTAATCCCAGCACTTCAGGAGGCCAAGTCGGGTGGATCAGTTGAGGTCAGGAGTTCAAGAACAGCCTGATCCACATGGTGAATCCCTGTCTCTACTAAAAATACAAAAATTAGCGAGGCGTGGTGGCATGAACTTGTAATCCCAGGTACTTGGAAGGCCGAGGCAGGAGAATCGCTTAAACCCAGGAGGTGGAGGTTGCAGTGGCTGAGATCATGCCACTACACTCCAGCCTGGGTGACAGAGTAATACTCTGTAAAAAAGAAAAAAAAAGAAAATTAAGAATTAAAAAAAATTTTTTTAAAAAGACCAAAATGATCTGCCCTCGATGGTATCCCTTACATGCCGCGCCCTCTCTGCTTCTTCCACTCCTTTTGCTCAGTTCAATTTTCTTTGTTTCCCAGGAGAATTGTGTCACCCTTCCATTCAAATCCATCCCAGCAACAAGTTTATTTTTAAAACGAAAATGAGGTCACTTCTCTAATTAAAAACTTTTAATGGTTTCTGGTGGTTAGCTGGATAAAGTTGAAATCCCTTCATTAGCTTCTTATTGGTGTCTCAAAGGCTTGCCCCAACCCACCTCTCCAACTTTGTCATTCACTGATCATCACTCATGCCAGACCCTACTCACAGCAATTGCTTCTTGTTCCTCAACAAGCATTGCTTCTTTCTGTGCATCCTTCCTCCACTTGCCAGAGACCTCCTCCCTTACCTTCCTCCACACATTCCTGAAACATCCTTCTGTACTCAGCTACAAGCTGTGCATAAACTGGCCTCTCCCATCCTCCCACTCCACCCTCACTCTACTCCAACACTGGCCTCAAATGTAGTGAGTTGTCTCCCATTTGAGGCTCACTCTTGGCATTTGCTGTTCCCTCTGCCAGGCGCACTCTCCTTCCTGGATCATTGCATGGCGACTAACTCCTTTGAGGCATTGAGGCCTCAGGCTAAATAGGTACTTCCCAGAGATGCTTTCCCTAACTTCCCATTCTTATTTAGACCCCGCCTCACTCGCATGCAACATGCTGTTTTACTGACCTCTCAGCCTTGTTTATTTATCTGTTTAGAGTGTGTCTCTCCACTTCAATAGAATGGAATGTAGACTCTAGGAGAATGGGGAGCCTTTGGGCTTTATTCGAGGATATATTCTCAAATTTTAGAACAGTGCCTGGCACATAGCAGGCAGTCAGTAAGTATTTGCAGACTACATGAATTGGTAGGTGGGTGGGAACATTTAACATAGAGCAAGCTTGTCCAACCCATGGCCTATGGGCTGCCTGTGGGCCAAGGATGGCTTTGAATGAGGCTCAACACAAATTTGTAAACTTCCTTAAAACATTATGAAATTTTCTTGTGGTATTTTTTTTCTTTGTGCTCATCAGGTATCATTAGTGTTCATGTATTTTATGTGTGGCCCAAGACAATTCTTCCAATGTGGCCCAGAGAAGCCAAAAGATCGGATACCCTTGGTATAAAGGAACTTTTTTCTAGTGCTAAATCCCTTCCCAACGTGTCAGGCTTGCTTTGTCAGTGCCTGGGTCAGTGTTGGGGCTCCGCTGCTGATTCCATTTATCACCCCCTTAGGCAGTTTCCCTCCCAGACTCTCAGGCCTTCCTGGGAACCTTCCACCTCCACTGGCAGCAGGGCTGGTCAGGTCTGGATCGCTCAGTCTGCCCCGGTGCCTGTCTATCTGCCTGTCAGCATGCAGATCCAAATCACTTAGTCCTGTCTATTTTCTTTTCTTTTTTTTGAGATGGAGTTTCACTCTTGTCGCCCAGGCTGGAGTGCAGTGGCGTGATCTCGGCTCACTGCAAACTCTGCCTCCCGGGTTCAAGTGATTCTCCGGCCTCAGCCTCCCAAGTAGCTGCGATTACAAGCGCTTGCCACCATGCCTAGCTAATTTTTGTAATTTTAGTAGAGACGGGGTTTCACCATGTTGGCTAGGGTGGTCTAGAACTCCTGACCTCAGGTGATTCACCTGCCTCAGCCTTTCAAAGTGCTGGGATTACAGATGTAAGCCACTGCGCCTGGCCAGTCCTGTCTCTTTTCAATGCTGGCTAATCAGAAAAGGGTGCTTAATAATTGCTGCCAATCATGACTTATAAAACTCTTTTAAACACAACTCCAAGCATTTTCATGGACTTCTTAAAACGTATTCCTGGCATGGACGGATTAATGGATAAACAAGATGTGGCCTATCCATACGATGGAATGTTATTCAGTCTTGAAAAGCAAGGAAGCTCTGACTCATGCTACAACATGGATGAAAATTGAAGACATTATGCCAAGTGAAAAGCCAGTCACAAAAGGACAAATTCTGTGCGATTCCACTTATACGAGGTATCAAGAGTCATCAAATTCATAGAGACAGAAAATAGAACGGTGGTTGCCCGGCAGTGGCAGAGGCAGAAATGAGTTCTTTAATGGGTACAGAGTTTCAGTTTTGCAAGATAAAAAAGTTCTGGAAATTGCTTGTGCAACAATGTGAACGTAGTTAACACTATTGAGCTATACACTCAAAAATGGTCAATGTGGTAAAGTTTATGTTGTGCATATTTTAATTTTATCACAATTTAAAAATTATAAAGGAGAGGAATAGGCTGGGCACGATGGCTCATGCTTGTAATCCCAGCATTTTCAGAGGCTGAGATGGGTGGATCACTTAAGGCCAGGAGTTTGAGACCAGCCTGGCAAACATGGTGAAACCCCATCTCTACTAAAAATACAAAAATCAGCCAGGCGTGGTGGCTTGTGCCTGTAGTCCCAGCTACTCGGGAGGCTGAGGTGGGAGGATTACCTGAGCCCAGGAGGTTGAGGCTGCACTGAGCCGTGATGGCACCACTGCACTCCAGCCTGGGCAACAGAGCAATCCCTGTCTCAAAAAAAGAAAAAAGAAAAAAGAGTATATCACCCATAAAATATTTTGCCCATAGACATCTTGTGTGTGTAGTTGTACTGGAAACTGAAATTCTCTTTGGAATGTTTCCTACTGTGATGCTGCTGGAGAAGGATCTAAAGGAATGAGGATCTGGAGTTTGGCGTTGTGGATCCCTGGAGGATTCAATGAAACAGTAGTGAGAAGGCAGGATAGTCATGCTGGGAGATGAGGGCTGCCTGGCAGCTCCAAGGAGGTGCTTTCCTCAGGTCACACACTGACCTTCAGATTCCCTCTCAGGAAGAACCTGATCCATAACTCTGAATGCTCCTGGGATCTGTTAAGCAAGAATCTGTGTTTTAATTTTATTACATCTAGAAATTAATAGACTGTAAAAATTTCCCCTTGGTTTGCTTTTTAAAATCATCTTGTATTGTTTCTCTTTTTGTTGTGTTTTTATTTTAAAGAAAAATGTTCAAGTTTACCTTCTCAATGTCCTAAACCTTTAAGTTCAACATCATTTTACTTTTCCCAAGATGTCCCTTCACTTCTCTTCTCTTCTTTGATTTTTTCTTTCCTTCCAGAATTCCCCTTTCTAGTATTCAGTGGCCTGTTTTCTTTTGAGAGAAAAATGTTTGGCAACTTACTCTTTGGCTGCAAAAGTGCTGAACAGGTTTTAAACACTTGGATTTTCCCAGCTGGCCCTAATCCTTTGCCTGTTACATAAAGGGACCACTTAAGCCCCTGAAATTGCAGGGGACATTTGTGTTGAAGTTCACTATTCTAGGATTATTTGGTGAGGTAGGTATGGTTGTGAAACTGCAATGCACATTCAAAGATGACACTACCACGAGTCCAAATCTATCTGCACAAAGCCGGGAGGATGGGCAGGCCTGCCTCCCTCTTTGTGTGGCTGGTCTGTCCTTTGCAGAGTAACAGCTCTGCTTCCTGTCAGGGCTGTGGCGGTTGGCACAGAGTCCTGGCACTGAGCTCAGTGGCCCCTTCTTCCTTAAGCCCAGCCACACTGCTTCTGATTCCTGGCTCATGCTTGCCATGGCTTCTCTTGTGATTTTCTTTCAATGCTATATTGTCCTCTAAGAGCCTAAAATAGAAGCTTGACCATGATCCTTTCATAGAATTCAATATTCAGCCTCAAAATAAATTAAATATTGCCACATAATAAGTTTCATTCACTATAATATGTTTATTAATAACCGATATAATAGATTGTTTAATTATAGTTAATTATTGATACTGACATTTCATGATTATAGCTGACATTTTTTTTTTAGTGCTTCCTTTGTGTGGCCCCGTATTGCCCTGTATAGAAGCATTTCGTCTTCACAACAACTCTATGAGGTAGGTACTATTATCCTCGTTTTCCAGCTGGAAAACAGGCCTGGGGAGATTGAGAAACTTACCCAAGTCCCACAGCTAGGGAGTGGTGGAGCTGGGATTGAGTTCAGGTTGTCTGTTTTCAGACCCAGAGCCTGCACTGGAGTTTGTGTGTCCCTATGTGCATTCCACAGAACCCAGTAGCAGATGGTGCAATGAGGAAAACAAAAGGAGTGTCATGTACTGGAGGCTTGGGTCCCCCTCAGATCCATATGTTGAAGCTGTAACCCCCAATGTGATGGCATTTGAGGTGGAGTCTTCAGGAAATAATTAGGTTTACATGAGGTCATGAGGGTGGGGCCCCCGTGGTGGGATTAGTGCCCTTACAAGAAGAGGAAGAGACAAGGGCTGGGTCACTCTCCAGAACATGAGCACACAGTGAGATGGCAGCCATCTGCAGGCCAGGAGGAGTGCCCTCTCCAGGAACTCAATCTGCCGGCCCTTGACCGTGAACTTCCCAGCCTCCAGAGCCATGAGAAGTAAATGTCTGCTGTTTAAGCCACCCAGTCTATGGTATTTTGTAATCGCAGCCTGAGCACAGTAAGACAAGGGGTAGTGCTTTTTAATCAAATCAATTTTGAAAATGCCCCATACAGTACTATCTTCCTATCTTAAAGGACCAATGATGCCTATTGAAATCAAAGACTCTGAAAAGTCCTGCAGTAAAGGAAGCTATTTAAATTTGTTTAAACAATTGCTTCTCAAACTTTTTGACTATGGAATATCTCCCCACTTATGAATATCTCAAAGAACACACTGGAAGGTACTACTGGAAGTGAAGCATATGCGTCAGACGTGAATGTGTGCTTATTTACCAGGTGGGATGAACTGCCCAATGAAGCCATAAAGTTGTATAGGCGAGGGTTTGGTAGTTGAAAAGAGGAGAGAAGAATGCAGACACAGCCTGAGAAAGGGCAAAGGGCCGTATCCAACATGTGGGAAGTGCCATTTCAGGGAAAAGAGCCCAAATATTCCGGAACATCTGGGGAAGATAAAAGGAAGTTGTTCTTGGGATAAATTTGGTGAGAACCTACTTTCAAGAGCAGAGTTTAGGGCCTGTCCTGGCTGGAGGAGCTGATTTTAAGAACAGAAAGAACAGTCCAGTATTAAATGTTAATTTGAATATAGGAGGATAGGATAAAAAATGACTCAGAATTATTATGTTATCTGGGCTGAAAAGCGTCATATTTACTGCCCATTAGAAATTCCTTACAGGCTGATTTCCTAAAGTTAGCTTCATTTCTTTCTTTCTTTCTTTCTTTTCTTTTTTTTTTTTTTTGAGGTGGAGTCTGGCTCTGTCGCCCAGGCTAGAGTGCAGTGGCGCAATCTCGGCTCACTGCAAGCTCCGCCTCCCGGGTTCACACCATTCTCCTGCCTCAGCCTCCCAAGTAGCTGGGATTACAGGCGCGCGCCACTATGCCCGGCTAAATTTTTATATTTTTAGTAGAGACGGGGTTTCACTGTGTTAGCCAGGATGGCCTCGATCTCCTGACCTCATGATCCACCCACCTCGGCCTCCCAAAGTGCTGGGATTACAGGCTTGAGCCACCGCGCCTGGCCGAGCTTCATTTCTTTCTAGGAAATTACAAGACATGGACTCAAATAAAAGGCTCAGTTGACCAAGGGAACAAGATCTTGTTTAGTCCTGGTAATACCCAATAAATATTTGCTAAATATATGCAAAGGGGCAGGGCACGGTGGCTCACGCCTGTAATCCCAGCACTTTGGGAAGCCAAGACGGACAGATCACTTGAGGTCAGGACTTCGAGACCAGCCTGGCCAACATGATGAAACCCCGTCACTACAAAAAAATACAAAAATTAGCCAGAGGTTGTGGCATGTTCCTGTGGTCCCAGCTACTCAGGAGGTTGAGGCAGAAGCATCGCTTGAACTCAGGAGGTGGAGGTTGCAGTGAGCTGAGATTGCACCACTGCACTCCAGCCTGGGCAACAGAGAGAGACTCCATCTAAAAAAAAAAATTAATTAATTAATTAATTAATTATATTGAAAGGACAAGAAAGGGAGGATTAATTGCACAATTTGGGTTTTGCATCCTTAAAATGAAATATTAATTTTACCAAGCAGTTAGTTTTTTAAGAGTAGGGGTGGAGGGGAGAAGGTGAGATTGCTGGCAGAAAGATAACAAATTACACAAAAGCCATCAAGGTGTTGTGTGATCTTACGATGAGGTTTCATGTCTGTTCATCTGTCAGATGATGGGGCCAGACTAGGTGGTCTTAAAGGCCCTGTCCGTATCTACCATCCTAAGATTCTCTGTTCTTCAGAACACGCTAGAGGAAGTTTGGGAAAGCAACTGTTTTATTCAGAGATAAGTACACTTAATACAATTCAGACAATACATTTGTAACGGGCATTTAACACAGCAATCAATTGTACAAGTAGATTCTATTTACTTTTTCTTTTATTAAGCGGAAGAATAAATAAACATAACTGGCCTCAATTATTTAACACTAAAAATGTTGACATTGTAGAGATAAACGTCAACACCAAGAAATACGTTTTCCATGTTCTCCTTAAAACAAATAGAAAGTTTGAATGATATCAATAATTATCCCTTAGAATTGGGATGTATTCAGGTTTTATGCGTGTTACATAGAGCAAACAGGCTATTTTCAATTTCTGTGTTTGTATATTTACCTATAATTGCCAACTTTCTGCAAATGATGTTTCCTCTTGTGTAAATACCAACTGGATTTAGCAAATGTCATGATTATTCGTGCCACCTATTGGTGAAATGTAGTATGACAGCATCTTTTGTGTGCAAGACAGCTACTATGGGGAGAGGAAGGTTGTCAGGACAAATTAAACAGGAATTCTGTACTCAAGAACGGTGGAGAATCTATCTTTTATGAGGCAATTCAAAATTTGAACACTGGAAGGGTATTTGATGGTAGTAAGGAATTACTACCTTTTTTATTTCCTATTATTTTTTAATTGTTTATTTTTAGGTGTGACATTGGTATTGTGGTTATGTTAAAACGTCTTTATCTTTTAGAGACACATAGTAAGATATTTATGAATGAGCGAAAATGATATGTGTAACATGATTTAAAATAGTATTAGCAATTTTGATACATGCACAACGTGGATGAACCTTGAAAACGTGCTAAGTGAAATAAGCCAGACACAAAAGGACAAATATGGCCGGGCATGGTGCCTCACACCTGTAATCCCAGCACTTTGGGAAGCTGAGGCGGGCTGAATACTTGAGGCCAGAAGTTTGAGACCAGCCTGGCCAACATGATGAAACCCCATCTCTACAAAAAATACAAAAATTAGCTGGGCGTGGTGGCATGTGCCTGTAATTCCAGCTACTCGGGAGACTGAGACAGGAGAATCTCTTGAACCCGGAAGGTGGAGGTTGCAGTGGAGCCAAGATCATGCCATTGTACTCCAGCCTAGGTGACAGAGTGAGACTGTGTCTCAAAAAAAAAAAAAAAAAAGTGGGGGTAGGCAAATATATAGGGTATCTAGAGTGTCAGATTCACAGAGACAAAAAGTAGAATGATGATTACCAGAGACTGGGGGAGGGGAAGTGGGGAGTTACCATCTAATGGGTCCAGAGTTTTAGTTTTGTAAGAACTCTTTTCTGGAGATGGGTGGTGGTGATGGTTGCATAACAATGCGGATGTCTTTAATACCACTGAACTGTATACTTAAACATGATTAAAATGCAAAGTTATAACATGTATTTTTTAGCACAATAAAAAAAAAATTAGGGCCAGGTGGGTGCACCTGGGCTGGCAAGGAAGGGGCACCCGTCTGGGTGGGTGGGGCAGGGAAGGTACCTGAGGTCACTGGCTTGGCGGTAGCGGCAGGGGTGGCAGAGGTGGAACTGCAGAGTTGCAGGGTCCACTGACCCTTACCCTCAGCTGGAGAATAACCCTCCAGATCAACTGCAAGAACAAACCAGCAATCCTGAGAGGAGCCGCAGACCCTCTGAAGGAAGCGGACTGCCCCTGCAGGACACAGGAGACACCCCAAATACTGTGAGTGCCCCAACTGCGGAAGTGGGAAAGGGGGACCCTCCTCTTCCAAACACACATCACCACTGGGGAAGCGGAAGGTCTGTTTTTGGGAGAAGTTTCCAACTTTACCTCAAGCTGAGTCAAGTTAGAGAGCTGAGCCGAGCAAAATACAAGGGTAGAGGAAGCAGCAGAAAGGTCCTGGGAGCTCGTTGGGTCCCCAAGCAGCCCATTCCTGCCTGACACCACAGGGATCCATCAGGAGGGTGGCCAGAGGAGAAGGGGGTAAAACTCCATAGGGAGAAGGAATTCTCTAGCTGAACTTTATAACAATTTGAAAGGGGCAAGAAGCCTCCTGACCAGAACCTAGGGGAGAGCATGAATCTGGTGTGCAGACTTCACATGCAGGGGGAAGAACTGAAGCCCTTTTCTTCCACAGCTGGAAGGGAAAAAGCCTTGGGCAAGTTTTCAAGCCCATCTCACCCTCCACCAGGAAACAGACTCGAGGCTGTTGGGGGAGGCACGGTGGGAGTGAGGCCGACCCTTCGGTTTCTGTGGGAGCTGGGTGAGGCCTGTGATTGCCAGCCTTCCCCAACTTCCCTGACAACCTGTATGACTCAACAGAGGCAGCCATAATCCTCCTAGGTACACAATTCCAGTGACCTAGGAATCCCACCCCCATCCCCCACAGCAGCTGAAGCAAGACCTGCCCAAGGAGAGTCTGAGCTCAGACACACCCAGCCCCGCCCCCACCTTATGGTCCTTCCCTACCCGCCCTGGTAGGGAAAGACAAAGGGCATTTAATCTTGGGAGTTCTAGGGCCCCACCCACCACCAGTCCCTTTCCACATGACTACAGCTGATGCTTTCTGGAAAGCACCACCTCCTGGCAGGAGGCCAACCAGCACAAAAATAGAGCATTAAACCACCGAAGTTAAGGACCCTCACGGAGTCCATTATACCCTCCTCCACCTCCACTGGAACAGGTGCTGGTATCCATGGCTGAGAGACCCACAGACGGTTCACATCACAGGACTCTGTGCAGACAACCTCCAGTACCAGCCTGGAGCTGGCTAGACTCACTGGGTGGCTAGACCCAGAAAAGAGACAATAATCACTGCAGTTTGGCTCACAGGAAGCCACATCCACAGGAAAAAGGGGGGTGTACTACATCAAGGGAACACCCCATGGGACAAAAGAATCTGAACAACAGCCTTCAGCCCTAGACCTTCCCTCTGACAGAGCCTATCCAAGTGAGAAGGAGCCAGACAATCAACCCTGGTAATATGACAAAACAAGGCTGTTCAGTATCCCCAAAAAATCACACTAGTTCACCAGCAATGGATCCAAACCAAGAAGAAATCCCGGATTTACCTGAAAAAGAATTCAGGAGGTTAGTTATTAAGCTAATCAGGGAGGGACCAGAGAAAGGAGAAGCCCAATGCAAAAGTATCCAGAAAATGATACAAGAAGTAAAGGGAGAAATATTCAAGGAAATAGATAGCTTACAGAAAAAAATAATTTAAAAATTCAGGAAATTTTGGACATACTTTTAGAAATGTCAGGTGCTTTGGAAAGTCTCAGCAATAGAATTGAACAAGCAGAAGAAAGAAATTCAGAGCTTGAAGACAAGGTCTTCAAATTAACACAATCCAACAAAGACCTAGAAAAAAGAATAATAAAATATGAACAAAGCCTCCAAGAAGTCTGGGATTATGTTAAATGACCAAACCTAAGAATAATCAATGTTCCTGAGGAGGAAGACCTCACATTTCAATACAATATTGAATATAAATGGTCTAAATGCTCCATTTAAAAGAAGAACCACAGAATGGATAAGAACTCACCAACCAACTCTCTGTTGCCTTCAGAAGACTCACCTAACACATAAGGATTCACATAAACTTAAAGTAAAGGGGTGGAAAAAGGCATTTCATGCAATGGACACCAAAAGCGAGCAGGGGTAGTTATTCTTATATTAGACAAAACAAACTTTAAAGCAATAGCAGTTAGAAGAGACAAAGAGGGACATTAATGGTAAAAAGACCTTGTTCAACAGGAAGCTATCACAATCCTAAACATATATGCACCTAACACTGGAGCTCCAAAATTTATAAAACAATTACTATTAGACCTAAGAAATGAGATAAACAGCAACACAATAGCAGTGGAGGACTTCAATACTCTGCTAACAGCACTAGACAGGTCATCAAGACAGAAAGTCAATAAAGAAACAAAGGATTTAAACTATACCTTGGAACAAATGGACTTAACAGATATATACAGAACATTTCATCCAACAACTGCATTCTATTCAACAGAGCATGGAACTTTCTCCAAGATAGACCATGTGATAGGCCACAAAATGAGCCTCAATAGATTTAGAAAATTGAAATTATATCAAGCACTCTGTCAGGCCATAGTGGAATAAAACTGGAATTCAACTCCAAAAGGAACCTTCAAAACCATGCAAATACATGGAAATTAAGTAATCTGCTCCTGAATGAGCACTGGGTCAAAAACAAAATCAAGATGGAAATTTAAAAATTCTTTGAACTGAATGACAATAATGACACAGCCTATCAAAACCCCTGGGATACAGAGTCGAAAGGCCTCTTCAAGGAAAACTACAAAACACTGCTGAAAGAAGTCATAGATGACACAAACAAATGGAAACACATCCCATGCTCATGGATGGGTAGAATTAATATTGTGAAAATGACCATACTGCCAAAAGCAATCTACAAATTCAATGCAATCCCCATCAAAATACCACCATCGTTCTTCACAGAGTTGGAAAAAACAATTCTAAAATTCATGTGGAACCAAAACAGAGCCCACATAGCCAAACCAGGACTAAGCAAAAAGAACAAATCCAGAGGCATCACACTACCTGATTTCAAACTATACTATAAAGCCATAGTCACCAAAACAGCATGGTACTGGTATAAAAATAGGCACACAGACCAATGGAACAGAATAGAGAACCCAGAAATAAACCCAAATACTTACAGCCAACTGATCTTCAACAAAGCAAACAAAATCATAAACTGGGGGAAAGGACATCATTTTCAATAAATGGTGTTGGGATAATTGGCTAGCCACATGTAGGAAAATGAAACTGGATCCTCATCTCTCACCTTAAACAAAAATCAACTAAAGATGGATTAAGGACTTAAACCTAAGACCTGAAACTATAAATATTGTAGAAGATAACATTGGAAAAACCTTTCTAGACATTGGCTTAGGCAAGGATTTCATGACCAAGAACCCAAAAACAAATGCAATAAAAACAAAGATAAATAGCTAGGACCTAATTAAACTAAAGAACTTTTGCATGGTAAAAGGAACAGTCAGCACAGTAAACAGACAACCACAGAGTGGGAGAAAATGTTCACAATCTATACATCTGACAAAGGACTAATATCCAGAATATACAACAAGCTCAAATGAGTAAGAAAAAAAATCCCATCAAAAAGTGGCCCAAGGACATGAACAGACAGCTCTCAAAAGAAGATATATAAATGGCCAACAAACATATGAAAGAATGCTCAACATCACCAATGATCAGGGAAATGCAAATCAAAACCACAATGCGATACCACCTCACTTCTGCAAGAATGGCCATTATCAAAAAATAAAAAAAAAACCAGTAGACGTTGGCATGGGTGCAGTGAACAGGGAACCCTTCTGCATTGCTGGTGGGAATGTAAACTAGCCACAGTGGAAAACAGTATAAACAGCCACTATGGAAAACAGTGTAGAGAGTCCTTAAAGAACTAAAAGTAGGGTCGGGCGTGGTGGCTTACATCTGTAATCCCAGCACTTTGGGAGGCCAAGGCAGGTGGATCACCTGTGGTCAGGAGTTCAAGACAAGCCTGGCCAACATGGTGAAACCCCATTTCTACTAAAAAGTAAAACTAGCCTGGCGTGGTGGTGAGTGCCTGAATCCCAGCTTCTCGGGAGGCTGAGGCAGGAGAATTACTTGAACCCAGGAGCCGGAGGTTGCAGTGAGCAGAGATCATGCCATTGCACTCTAGCCTGGGTGACGAGAGAAACTCCGTTTCAAAAAAAAAAAAAAAAAAAAGAACAAAAAGTAGAACTATGATTTGATCCAGCAATCCCACTACTGGGTATCTACCCAGAAGAAAAGAAGTCATTACATCATTACACCAAAAAGATACTTGCATATGCATGTTTACAGCAGCACAATTTACAATTGCAAAATCCTGGAACCAACCCAAATGCCTATCAATCAACAAGTGGATGAAGAGATTGTGGTATATATATAGTGGCATATATATATATATGATGGAATACTACGCAGACCTAAAAAGAAATGAATTATCAGTGTTTGCAGTGACCTGGATAAGACTGGAGACTATTATTCTAAGTGAAGGAACTCAGGAACGGAAAACCAAACATCATATGTTCTCACTGATATGTGGGAGCTAAGCTATGAGGATGCAAAGGCATAAGAATGATACAGTGGACTTTGGGGACTTGGGGGGAAGAGTGGGAGGGGGCAAGGGATAAAAGACTACAAATATGGTGCAGTGTATACTGCTCGGGTGATGGATGCACCAAAATCTCACAAATCACCACTAAAGAATTTACTCATGTAACCAAATACCACCTGTACCCCAATAACTTATGGAAAAAAAATTGTTAAAAAATTGTTAAAAAAAAAATTTGAGGCCAGGCATGGTGGTTCACACCTGTAATTCTATTACATTGGGAGGCCGAGGTGGGTGGATACTTCCACCAATTGCATCTTTCTTTTTTTTTTTTTTTTGAGATGGGGTCTCACTCTGTCACCCAGGTCAAGAGTTTGAGACCAGCCTGGCTAAGACGGTAAAACCCTGTCTCTACTAAAAATACAAAAATTAGCCGGACATGGTGGCAGGCGCTGGTAATCCCAGCTCCTTGGGAGGCTGAGGTAGAGAATTGCTTGAACCCGGGAGGTGGAGGTTGTGGTGAGTCGAGATCACGCCACTGCACTCCAGCCTGGGTGACAGAGCGAGACTCCATCTCAAAAAAAGAGAAAAGAAAAAAAATTAGGCCAGGCTCAGTGGCTCATGCCTGTAATCCTAGCACTTTGGGAGGCTGAGACAGGAGGATCACTTGAGCCCAGGGGTTCGAGACCAGCTTGAGCAACACTGTGAGACCCTGTCTCTACAAAAAAATTTTTTAAAATTAGCCAGGCATGGTGGTGTGCACCTGTAGTCCTAGATACTCGGGAAGCTGAGGTGGGAGGGTCATTTGAATCTGGGAGGTCAAGGCTGCAGTGAACCATGATCACGCCACTGCACTCCACCCTGGGCAACAGAGTGAGATCTCATCTCAAAAATTAAAAAATTAGAAAAACTTAGAACCATAGGGAATGGGAGTACAGATGTGACAACATTGTCCATGAGTTCATGAAGTATGTGAGAGTTTATACTCTTCTCTGTTATTTTTGTATATGTTTCAAATTCTCTATAATGAAAAATTTCTTTTTTTCCTAATGAAACTCCTGGTCTAGGAGGGAAGATAAAATGTGAACATGAATAACTTCTACATGACAGAAAGAGATAAACTAAGAGAAGTGCAGAGGAAATTTCAAGAATTACTATGCTTCCACAGATGAACCCAAATGCAAAGCTTAGAGCAGTGATAACATACTCTTTAGCCAGTCTTCAGCATTATTTGTACTGAATATTCAAAAATGATTTTGTGATGACTTTATATCAGTGTAAAGTTCTCTTCATAGGTAACCCTCTAAGGGAAAAATAGAAAAGTAAGTCCTGCAAACAGGAGATAGTCTTCTTGGGAAACTTCAGTTCTGAGCAAGAGGATGCTAGGATAGCAGAGACTGGACAAGAGTGTTCTCCTAGAAATGACATCATAGGCTGCCAGAACAAATTGCCTGTGAGAATAGCATGTGCTTAATCAGGAGATAGATGCAGAGAACACCCATAGGTGTAGGTTAGAATCATGCTAAAGAGCAACAGGCTGGACACGGACAGTTCAAATCCGTGCGAAACACAACACAAAGACGATAGCACAGCGACAACAGCAAAATCTCCACTTCATTTTGGCCATGACTTTTCACCTCTTTTCTCCACCAAAAACCTTATTTCTTTAAATTTTCCATGTGCAACTCATTGATTGAGCACCCAAGTATCAGGCACCATGTTGAACACTGAGGCGGTAAAGGGAGAGTGTAGTTCTGCCTCCCCAAAGAGCTCACAACGTGGCCAGGTGGAGGCACATGCACAACTGAGAGGCTAAAATGTGGCTACTGAATCATATGGCCAGGATGGAAAAAGAAAAATCTTTAGGAATAAAAAGCAAGGCACCTTTCATTCTGTTTGAGATGCCTGTGAGGCAGGTTCACTGTACTCTGGTTACCAATTCCAGGGGAGATCCTACTACATGGAGGATAGCAAAGATCATCACTATGCCAACCAACCACCAGGAAGAGGAGTCCAGATACTTCTGCCAATTGCATCTTTTTTTTTTTTTTTTTTTTTGAGATGGGGTCTCACTGTGTTGCCCAGGCTGGAGTGCAGTGGTGCGATCTTGGCTCACTGTAACCTCCACCTCCCAGGTTCAAGTGATTATCCTGCCTCAGCCTCCAGAGTAGCTGGGACTACAGGCGCACGCCACCATGCCTGGCTAATTTTTGTATTTTTAGTAGAGACGGAGTTTTGCCATGTTGGCCAGGCTGGTCTCAAACTCCTGACCTCAAGTGATCCACCCACATCGGCCTCCCAAAATGCGCCTATTGCATCTTGGGCTGCAATTTCTACCACTTGCAGGAGTTGAGGGAGACAGAACACTCACAGAACAAGTTAGGCAAAGCAACTTTATTCATCACAGATAGGCAGCAAGGCACAACAGAAGCCTAGCATCCATTGCGAGCTGATTCTGCAAGGCTCAGGAAGCTACTCAGAATGGATGGAGTCTTGTCTGCACATGCCCCACAATGCACTGTAGCTGAGGCACTCTGAAAGCACTCCACTCTGGGTTTTATACCCTGGGGGGAAACTGGGATCACTGGACCACAGCATTGGAGGACATCTTGTCCTAAGAGGAACAGAAACAGAATCTGGCATATTCTGGACAGCTTTTCCTTATCTCAGAATGTTGTTTCCAGCACATTCTAGCATTATTCTGAGAACTACAAGTGAAAAATGGGGGAAGAGCTGGGTTATCAAGGCCATCCAGGCACTTATCCTGCAATGCCCAGGAAAGTCACCCCAGAGGAGGTTACATTTGAGTTGGCCTCAAAGCACGGCTAGAATTTCTAGTCCTTATCTGGAGGAAATAGAGTGAGGAAAAACATACAGCTGAGTATGCCAAAAACACAAGTTGTCCAGTGAATGTGTGTAAACTCAGGCTGAAATTTAGCAGGGATGATGAGAAAGGAGATATGGATTAGGCCTGATTAGGAATGCCCTGATGTGCCATTCTAGGGAATCTGGAGTGGGCCCGGGCTTGAAAACCAGCAGTGATGAATGGTAGAATTCTGTTTGGCCAGATCAGATTTGAAAATAATTTTGAATACCTTTGGATAGGAAATTCAGCTCCAATGACTCATAGACCTGTGGTGTAAGGCCTGAAATTAAGATTCAAAACTAAGTGCTGCCTTGACCATGGAGGCTGGTAAAATCAGGGTACAGAGGCTCAAATGGATTAACTGCAAGTTCTCCTCCCACTCTGCTCCTGGTGGATAAAGTCCTCTAGCCAAGCAACCCTCCTTATCAAAGGGACCAGGCGCAGTGCTAGGCTTCAGGTCCCCGTCAGCCTGTAGAATTATCCAAGCAAACCAAACACATCCTCTTACAGGAACCAGGGGCACCTCGCCCTCTTGTTACTACAAAGCCTGCCTCCCACAGCTTCCTGGTGGTTCACTCTGTTCCCAGCTGCAACCCCCACGTGGCTCTCTGTGGGGCAGTGTCGTCCTTCCCTGGGCCATGAGCATATGTGACTAATTACCTGCTGCCCATCTCATCTGTCTAGGCTTGGATGTTGTACATTCAACCATCCTCTCAACTCTAGGGCGGAATCCCTCCCTCACCAGTGGGGTGAAGTGGAGGCAAACTAAATCAAACTAAATAAGACCCCATCATACCATGTTGTATTGCACTCTGCTTCTTTTTTTTTTTTTTTTTTTTTTTTTTTTTTGAGACAGGGTCTCACTTTGTTACCCAGGCTGGAGTGCAGTGGCACAATCTTGGCTCATTCCAACCTCCACCTCCTGGGTCCAAGCGATTCTTGTGCCTCAGCCTCCCGAGTAGCTGGAACTACAGGTGCTTGCCACCACACCTGGCTAATTTTTGTGGGTTTTTTTTTTTTTTTTTTGTATTTTTAGTAGAGACGGGGTTTCGCCATGTTGGCCAGGCTGGTCTTGAACTCCTGACCTCAAGTGATCTGCCCACCTTGGCCTCCCAATGTGCTGGGATTACAGGCGTGAGCCACCACACCTGGCCTCATCCTGCTTCTTTACACACTTACATTTCCTGCATAACTGAAAAAACTTGACCTTGTAACACCTCTTTTCAGGGGAATGACATATAAAATTATTCATAATGACAGACTATGAAATATTTTACCAATATTTTCCTTTAAGAAAGATTAGGGAAGTAGTGTTTAGGATAGATTCTACATGGAACAAATTAGAAGTAGAAAGACCAGTCAAGAAGTATCTGAACAGAATGATAGCCGAGTGGTGTGCAGTGGATACTGTGATATGCTGCCCAGAAAGGACAGTGAAGGACATCAGGCCCCAGCTGCTAGAAGTGCTGCTGCAGTCAGCCTGTAGCTCTTAGCCCTCTCAGAAAGTGACTGAGCTGCAGAGAGCTGCCTCACCCAAGGACATGCCCTATCTTTGTCCTTTTGGGCTGCTATCCTACCAGAGACTAAGTAGTTCAAAAACAACAGAAATGTATTTCTCACAATTCTAGAGGCTGGGAAGGCCAAAGTCAAGGCACCAGCAAATTTGATGCCTGGTGAGGGTTGGCTTCCTAACTGATAGAGAATGTCTTCTTACTGTATCCTCATGTGGTGGAAGGGATAAGGGAGGGACCTCTCTGGGGTGTCTTCTATAAGGGCACTAATCCCATCCCGAGGGCTCCATCCTTGTGACCTAATCACCTCCCAAAGGCCCCACATCCCAATACCATCACCTTGGGGGTTAGCATTTTAACATACGAGTTTTGGAGGGACACAAATATTCAGACCATAGCACACTCATGCCTGGGGAAGCTCATATCGAGTGACCAATGGATGGTGGAGCATAAGGGCTTGGCCAGCTCAGCCATGCTTGGCATGTTTCTAAAAGTCCACCTAACTCCAGAGCTCTTGGTGAGGTTTGCTGAGACTGTCAGCCTTGGGTTGTAGCTCAACGTCACTGCTCTGCCCACTCCTGCTTCTGTCCCCTACCTTCCACAGGTGTGGTCCCTCCCACAGGCACGCCTTCATGAAATGCCTCTTTAGAGTCTGGTTTCTGGGGATACAACCTGTGATGCTTAAAAAATTAAGAGGCCGGGCACAGTGGGTCATGCCTATAATCCTAGCACTTTGGGAGGCCAAAGCAGGAGGATTGCTTGAGCTCAGTAGTTGAAGACCAGCCTGGGCAACATAGTGAGACCATGTCTCTACAAAAAATTTTAATAAAAAAGAAAGAAAAAAAATTAGAGATGAGAAATGAGGGGAGGAGAGGGAAATTGAGAAATAAGCTTAGATAATTTTCACCCTAAGGGTAAATCTCCCAAATAATGTTTCCCCATCTTCTCAGAGAGCCCACAGTCTGAACGAGGAGAAAGCTGTTCAATGAAAAATCAATAAGTAGTCAGGTGAATCCTCCAGGAATCTGCACAGAGTGGCAGTGCCACACCTTTTACATAAACCAACCTCCTCACTCTCCCCTCCTCAGCAGCTCCCAGGCCTGAGGACGGGCAGCGTCACTTTCTCCCAAGAACGATGGAGAATCATTTCTCACCAGTAAGAATGTTGGCCTCACATTAAATTCGTGATGTTTAATGGGCTTATTTATGTATTTATTTATTTTTGAAATGGAGTTTCGCTCTTGTTGCCCAGGCTGGAGTACAGTGGCACGATCTTGGCTCATTGCAACCTCTGCCTCCTGGGTTCAAGAGATTCTCCTGTCTTAGCCTCCGGAGTAGCTGGGATTACAGGCACACGCCACCATGCCAAGCTAATTTTTTGTATTTTTAGTAGAGATGGGGGTTTCACCATGTTGGCCAGGGTGGTCTCAAACTCCTGACCTCAGGTGATCCACCCACCTCAGCCTCCCAAAGTGCTGGGATTACAGGCGTGAGCCACCGCGCCCAGCCAGTTTATTCATTTATACTTCAATCAGGATTAAGTACATCATGAGAATAAAACAATCCAGATGGTTCTGAGACTGAATCTGAGCTCCTGGGTAACACAGCAGGGTGGATCTGGACTAGACTTCCTGCCCTGGATCAGCAAGATTGGTCTCATAGGTGTGCACTGAAGGCAGCCCGAGAAGGTGTGATTTGATGGGCACCTAGAAGACCCATCTATCCCCAAAAGACATGACTCAGTGAGGCTCTAGACCCTTTCTGCCACAGCAGCTTCATGTGGGCTTTGTAGATCAGCACAGCTCTTAGACCCAGCTGTGCACGGCGCCTGACTTGGGCCATATATATTAGAGAAGGGGTCAACAAACTACAGACTTTGGGCCAAATCTAACCTCCCCATCCAGACCTGTTTCTGTATAGCCTATGTAAAAAATGTTTTTTACATTTTAAAAATCTTTTGTAAATTTTTAAATTTGTAATTGTTGTGGGTACATAGTAGGTGTATATATTTATGGGGTACATGGGACGTTTTGATACAGGCATGCGATGTGAAATAAGCACATCATGTAACATGGGGTATCCATCCCCTCAAGCATTTATCCTTAGTGTTACAAACAATCCAATTATACTCTTTTATTTTTACATGTACAATTAAGTTACGTTATGATTGAGTTTTTACTTTTTTGAGTCAGAGTCTCACTCTGTCGCCCAGGCTGGAGTGTAGTGGTGCGATCTTTGCTCATTGCAACCTCCGCCTCCTGGGTTCAAGTGATCCTCCTGCCTCAGCCTCCCAAGTTACTGGGATTACAGACATGCACCACCACACCCAGCTAATTTTGTATTTTTAGTAGAGATGGGGTTTTGCCATGTTGCTCAGGCTGGTCTCCAACTCCTGATCTCAGGTGATCCACTCACTTCGGCTTCCCAAAATGCTGGGATTACAGGCGTGAGCTACTGTGCCTGATCGAGTTTTTACATTTTTAAATAATGGAAAGAACCCAAAAGAAGAATATTTTGCAACATAGGAAGATTATCTGAAATTCAAATTTCAGTGTTCACAAATGAAGTTTTCCTGGAACACAGCCATGCTCATTCTCTTAAATATCATCTGTGGCTGTTCTCATGCCCAACAGCAGAGTTGAATAATTGCCACAGAAACCACATGGCCCTCAGAGACTAAAAGTTTACTACCTGGTACTGACCCCTGCTTTACAGCTTTGCTGCTTCATTCTGTGGTCTGAAGACCAGCCTCACCAGCTTTACCTGGGAGGCTGTTAGAAACGCAGAATCTTGGTCCCTGCCCTAGACCTACTGATTCAGATCCCAGGAAATTTCTATTCCCATGAATGTTGGAGAAATGTCAGCTTAGAGGGTTCTGCCCCGGCCATCCTCTGCTGCCCTTCCCCTCAGTGCAGGCAAGGTCCGCACTGAGTCACAGATTTAACATTATAGTTAGTCATAAATGTTTTAAAATTATGAGTCTGCAAGGTCAAGGGCATGCGTCCTCCTGGAAACTCTTCCCCATCTAGGCCATGCTCTGAGTGCCTGGGAATTTTCTGCCTCCAGGGTCAATGCCAGCTTCCTCTCTGGGGTCCATTCTAGCCCAATAGGTGGTCAAGATGCAGCTGTTACAGGGTGGACGGAGAGTGCCTGTGCTTGAATTTATGGATGGTGTGTCCTCTTGCTCAAGAAGCAAGTTCCTCATGGCATAAAGTGGGAAGACAAAGGGGAAGGATGGCAGCTGGGGGTTAGCTCTTGCTGTCCCATTACCTTCTGGCTTGGGCTATAGAGCCCAGGAATTCTAGCCTGCCATGTAGTTATGTATATATATTTGACAGTTTATTCACTTGATAGATAACTTCTAAGTATTTCAACATAGCTTATGGGCCTTCATTGGTACTCTTGAATGTGAATAGCGTGTCTATTGAATATTTCTCAACGTGTGTTCTGAGGACCCCATGCAGCAGAATTCACGTGGGTTGTTTGCTTAAAATGCAAATTCCTGGGTCCCGTTTTTGATTATCCTGAATCAGAATTTTTGAGGGTGGAGCCAAGGGATCTGCATTCTAACAAGTTTCCCAGTGGTTCTGGTTCACACCAGAGTTTTAGGAACTCTTGAAACTGGGGTAGGGTGGACAGGAGCTGGCTCCCAGTGGGCAGGAGCTTCAGGGGAGAAGAAAAGGAACCAGCCAGCTCAGGGGACCACAATGGCTGCCAGCTTCAGACGCTTCCTATTTCTCTCATTATCTCTCTTCCGCATCTGGCCTGAGCCCAGCTCTGGGTGTGAGCTGTGGAGAGAGGTTTTCTGCCAGGATTGGGCAAGGGCATTCTCCTCTAATACAGGGCCTTCAGAGACTGCTCTACCGAAGGAAGTGTCTGAGTCAATGTGAAACTGGAAAGAAGAGAGATATGGTTTGGCTGTGACCCCACTCAAATCTCATTTTGAATTATAGCTCCTACAATTCCCATGTGTCGTGGGAGGGACCCGGTGGGAGGTAATTGAATCATGGGGGCGGGTCATTCCCATGCTGTTTTTGTGATCGTGAGTCTCACAAGATCTGATGGTTCTATAAGAAGGAGCTCCCCCGCACAAGTTTTCTCTTCCCTGCCACCATGTAGGATGTGACGTTCCTCCTTCACCTTCCACCATGATTGTGAGGCCTCCCTAGCCATGTGGAACTGTGAGTCCATTAAACCTCCTTCCTTTATAAATTCCCCAGTCTTGGGTATGTCTTTATTAGCAGTGTGAAGATGGACTAATACAAAGAGGAACTAGGGGAGCTTGGAGGAACCAGAGACTCAATCAGGGATTCAAGTGAAGTCTCTGTTGCAAACCCTTGAGCAGGTGAGAACCCCTGGACTCTTGCAGGGGATGTGGGAGGAGCTGTACATACAGACAGTGCTGTCCAGCCAATGTGGGTTCAAACCCTGCATCTGTCACTGGCTATGTGACCTTGATCAAGTTCCTTAAGGTCTCCAGGTTTGTTTTCTTATCTGTAAGATGAGAATCCTCTTCTGCAAACCATGTCTGTTTAAAATATGTGCTTATTTTGAAAGTGATGTAGCAACATTTTCTCTAGTTAATGTTCTTTCTCCCTCATAATTTTAAAACATTTATTCATGACTATAATGTTAAGTCTGTGACTTTATTTTTGCTAAATGTCCATCTCAGAGAAGAATATGACTTTATATAGCGAAGTATTTTTTAAAAAATAGCCTTAGTAATGCATATTTGCAATAAAAATATTTGACAATCCTAATACCTTCAGGCTTGTCATTGGAATGAAATGTGATAATTAAGTAAAACCCATTCTTGCTACAAAGATTTAAGTGGTGGCCACTTTTTTTCCCCCCGAGATGGAGTCTTGCTCTGTCACCCAGACTGGAGTGCAGTGGTGTGATCTCAGGTCACTGCAACCTCTGCCTCCCAGGTTCAAGCAATTTTCCCTGCCTCAGCCTCCCAAGTAGTTGGGATTACAGGCACCCGCCACCACACCCGGCTAATTTTTATATTTTTAGTAGAGATACGGTTTCACCATGTTGACCAGGCTGTTCTTGAACTCCTGACCTCGTGATCTGCCTGCCTCGGCCTCCCAAAGTGCTGGGATTACAGGCATGAGCCACTGCACCCGGCCGGTGGCCACTATTTATTAGGAAGCTTGTTATCTTCTACCACTGCACCTGCTGATGATTGCTCTCACAGGCACTTAACCACTGGCTAATAAAATGAAAGTTCCTTAAACCTTACGCACAGGAAGCCACTTAGGCTGCAGTTGCAGCCCTGTGCCAGGGCAGTGCTTGGCCAGTGACCTATAACTCCCTGAGGCTCCTTGTGAGGGAGCAACTCCTGAAGTCACATGGCGAAGATGCTCACAGGACATGATTCTTAGGATGATCCCACCTGTCGAGACCACAGGCTGTAACTCACTGTCACAAGTTAGTGATGAACGCGGAACCTTAATGAAACCGCCAGCGACAGCTGTGCCATACTGCAAGTCACCACTAGGGGGAAGCAGAATACAAGCATCCGGGTAAGAACCAACGAAGCGCTGAGGAACGTGGCCCAGGAAGCCAAATGGGGATGGGAGGGGAGAAGGATCCTAGGCGCACCCTCCCTGTTCACCCCACCCACCGGGCAGACCTGCACACTCCTGGTCTTGCTCTCAAACCATCTGATTCCTCTGTTTCTCTGTTCTCTGGTCCTGGTACAGCACATTATATCTTCCGTATGGCAAAGGCCAGTGGTTCTCTAACATGGCTGTATGTTTAAATCACCTGGGGAGTTCTGTAAACGCTCTACATCCTGGCCTTATCTCAATTAAATCTGAATCTCCAGTGTTTGGAAGCAGGGATCAGTGCTTTTTATATTTATTTATTTACTTGCTTATTTATTTTTGAGACAGAGTCTCACTCTGTTGTCCAGGCTGGAGTGCAGTGGTGCGATCTTGGCTCACTGCAACCTCAGCTCCCTGGGCTCAAGCGATTCTCATGCCTCAGCCTCCCAAGTAGCTGGGACTACAGGCATGCACCACCATGTCCAGCTATTTTTTTTTTCTATTTTAGTTGATATGGTGTTTTGCCATGTTGGCCAGGCTGGTCTTGAACTTCTGACTCAAGTGATCTGCCAGCCTCAGCCTCCCAAAGTGCTGGAATTATAGGCATGAGCCACTGTGCCTGGCCTCCAGAGCTTTTTAAAACACAACAGGTGATTCCAATTTGCAGCCAATTTTGAGAACCACTGTTTTAGGCAAAAGATCTCATTTCTTTTCACATGAAAGCTGGCTTTCATTGTTAGAGGACTCCTCCAAGAAGCCTCCCTAACGAACCACACGTTTTCCTCCTCCTCCTCCATCTGTCCACGGGCCTGTCTGCAGCTGATGCCAGTACTTATCATGGCTTAAGATACATATGGGTTACCTGAGGGTGTTGCAGATTCAGATTCGTTCAGTCTGGGGTGAGGGGTTGAGACGCTGCCTCTCTAAGTCCCAGGTGCTGCTGGTCCACAGACCATCCACAGTAGGGTTGGCAGGACATCAACCTGTGTTTCCGCATGTGCACCTTTGCAGTTGTTCTCTGTTTTGCATTCCTTTTCTGCTTCTGTATTAACCATGTTTCTCCTTTCTGTAAACCTGATGCTTTAACATCTGCCCCGCGTGCATCTGCAGGACACACCTTGCTCTGTGCAACCCAATAATATGTCTCCCTCACTGTCCCCCTCCCCCTGGAAGGAGTCCTCCGGGTGATATGCTTTTCAAATGAAAACCAACCCAGAGCTCGCATCCCAACCAATTCCCTTATCTGGCTCTCACACTCCAGGCCACTATCCCCCTGCCCTAATCACCCAGGACCAGGTATCTGACAAATAGGAACAGCCTGTATGCCCCAGAGCCTGCTGAAATGATTTAAACTAGCCAGTCCTGAGCTAGCTAACCCTGCCTTGCCCACTCTTTCCTGTGGAAACCATAATAAGGGCTCTGGCCACGTTCTCTTCTCCCTCTGCCTCTTGACCAGCCCTCGTGCTGCCCCGGGTGTCCCTGCATGGCGTGGCGTGCCCACTTCTCTTAGATCTGAGAGTAAGAAACTCTCTCTTCAGTGAGAGTCATCATCTGATCTATTGGCCTCACCAAAGCTGAATAAAATTAAAACCTATTAGAGCAACTCCCCTGCTAGGAGGAGAGGCGTGGCTGGTTCCCAACTTGTCTGCATCCCGCCTCTCCTCCCAGTCTTGCTTGGGTCCCTGCTATGCTGCTCATGGTATGAACACAAGACCCTGTACACACACAGAAAAGAGCACAATCAGTGACTGTTGAATGAATAAGTGAACAAATGTAGGGAGAAAAATTCTGAACTTGGAGACCTGGCTCTGCCACTAACAGCTGTGAGAGATTGTGAAGGTGCCCCCGAGACTCAGTGACTTCATCTGTCCTGTTATTTCATAGTGAGGCCACCTGAGCAATATGTGTTAAAGCCCCTTTTCATCCACATGGTAGCATCCTCCTTTCTCTCTCCATCTCCTACTTGTCACTGGTGTTCAGGGTTCCAGCCTTGCCCTTCACACACTGCCTGGGAGGTCCCATCTGTTTCTGAGTCTTTGAATCTTCACCCACAGCTGCTATGGTCTGAATATCTGTGTCCCTCCAAAATTCACACGTTGAAATCCAAATGCCCAAGGTGATGGCGTTGGGAGGTGGGGCCTTCGGGAGGTGATTAGATCTTGAGGGTGGAGCCCCCATTAATGGGATTAGTGCCCTTATACAGAAGGCTCCGGAGAGCTGCCTCACTTCTGCCACCACGTGAGGACACAGAGAGAAGACTCACCTGTGAATCAGAAAGCAGCCCTCACCGGACACCAAATCCATCAGCACCTTGACCTTGGACTTACTTCCCACCCTCCAGAACCGTGGGAAATACATTTCTGTTGTCTATGAGTTACCCGATCTAAGGCATTTTGTTATAGCAGCCTGAACAGACTAAGACACCAGCTCAGGCTCCCCTCTTGAGCTCCACACACGTCTAACCAAATGCCGACAATCCATCTCTATCCTGTCAACCTGCCTGTAAGTCATATTTGACACATTCAAAATCGAGTTTATCATGCCTTTGCGCCTCCCAAACCAGCTCCTCCCCTCATATGTCCTATCACCACAAGTGCCCAGAAGGGGAGTGGCACACGGAAGGAAGCAATCTGGGCGATGGGGGTGGAATTAGATGGCAGAGATTTGTGACAAGCATAGAAGACCACCCAGCACGCTCAGGGGCAGCATCAATCATAAGTCACATCACAGCAGAGCCATGGTGCTCATCACAGCAGAGCCATGGTGCTCAAGTCCCGACAGGGAGAGAGGGTGAGGGAGAGAGAGAGAGAGAGGGAAAGAGGGAGAGAGAGGGACAGAGAGAGACAGAGAGAGAGAGAGAGATGCAGGGACCCTCGACCCATGCAGGTGGGCTTGGGATCATGAGAGCACATGAGGATAGACCCCAGGCTGGCTTCACTGAGACGCCACCCAGAGAAAGGCAGCTGGAGGATGAGGTGGGAATGGAGCCCTTGCCACCTTCCTGGAGCTCCAAGCCAGTCACCCTCACCAGGGGCCCAGAGGCCATTGGGGCAAACAGCACTGAAACTCTTTCAAACCCTGCTGGCCACTTCCCTCCCTTGGGGAGCAGCAGAGAAGCCCACTGGTGGCCAGTGCTCAGTCAGCACAGCTGAGGTGGGCTGGCAAAACTCCTGGCTCTCTCTGTCTCCGAGAATTGGCTGGGGCATCTGATGGTGGTTGCAGAGCCTCATCTCCCCTCTCTTGAACTTAGCGGAGATCAGGCTCAGCAGATCTGCCCAGGTCCCCAGGAGGCCGGGCTGGTTACAGTCTCTGGGGACCAGGTGCTCCCCTTTTGAACCAAGGTT
Source organism: Homo sapiens (assembly GCF_000001405.40). NCBI lineage: Eukaryota > Metazoa > Chordata > Mammalia > Primates > Hominidae > Homo > Homo sapiens. The sequence goes on along the minus strand of NC_000013.11, from coordinate 95,475,304 downwards.
ATTTCTCCCAACCAGGGAGCTTCCATAATCACAGGGATGTCCCCTGACCCCATCCCTACAAATATGTAGAGTGCAAGGGAGCAGGCAGCAGGGGGCAGGGGTGGGCTCTTAATCCCTGGCAGGGAGCTGCTGCCGTCTGATCCTCTGATCCGAGTTGTGGGACAGCACTGGGTGTGTGCTCCTACTTCCTGGCTTATAGGTTTCCTCCTCTGTGTGGCACCAGCATGTGTGTCCTTGACTCCTTAGCAGAGAGGAGCCAATTCACTCTGTCTGTGAAGCCAAAACACAAGAGACCTGCAAGTTTTGAACCCTCCTCTCCACCAAGATGTGAGACGTATACTGGCAGATCCCTGAGATCCCATTAGGCTCAGGCCCTCCACCCACCGCCTCTTCTGGGCTCAAGCCTCCCTCTGGCACCTGCAGCACAGAACAGCCTCCTCCAGCCTGGCTCCACGCCTGCCCCACCCCCATCTTCCTCCACCCTACCCCCTGGAATGAGCTTCCCAAAAGGCAGATCTTACCAGGTCTCTCTCCTCCTTGGAGCACTTATCAATCTCTACTTGCCTTTTCCATTCTCTTCTCCCCATCCGTTTCTACATATGGGTTTCCTCCCCAGTTTCACTGAGACAGGGCCATTGCCCTTGCAGGCCTCCCTGCTGTTTCTGAATACACAGCTTCTTCTTGGATTTGTTCTCTTACTCTCTTCCCTGCTAGAAGCCGTGGCTAACCTGTTCTTATCTTCCCTGACTGAGGTGGGCCTATTTCTCCGCTCTGTGCTCATAGCAGCCTCCTCTAACCTCCATTTGAGACTTTGTTTTATTGCAGGGGTCCCCAACCCCTGGGCCATGGGCTGGTACCAGTCTGTGGCCTGTTAGGAACTAGGCCGTACAGCAGGAGGTGAGTGGCAGGCAGGTGAGTGAAGCTTCATCTGTATCTGCAGCTGCTCCCCATGGCTCACATCACCACCTGAGCTCCGCCTCCTGTCAGATCAGCTGGGCATTAGATTCTCATAGGAGCACGAACCCTATTGCAAACTGCACATACGAGGGATCTGGGTTCCCTCCTCCTTATCAGAATCTAATGCCTGATGATCTGTCACTCTTGATGATCTGTCACTGTCTCCCATCACCCCCAGATGGGACCGTCTAGTTTCAGTAAAACAAGCTCAGGGCTCCCACTGATTCTACGTTATGGTGAGTTGTATAATTATTTCATTATATATTGCAATGTAATCATAATACAAATAACCTGCACAATAAATATAATGCATTTGAATCATCCTGAAACTACCCTGCGACCCCCGTCCGTGGAAAAACTGTCTTCCACGAAACCGGTCCCTGGTGCCAAAAAGGTTGGGGACCGCTGTTCTATTGCATTACATTCTAATACTTTATTTTTTATTTCTGTTTCCTTCACTGTGGGCGAGCCCCTTCAGGGCAGGGGTTTGTTCCCTCCGAAGCTTAACAGCCTGGCGGCAGAGCTGGCCTTTGAAGGTTTTCTGTGAAATGAGTTCACCGGTGATTCTCCAGATGTGGTCCCTGAACCAGCAGCATAGCAGGGCCCAGGAACCTGTGAGAAATGCAATTCTCAGTCCCGCCCTGACCTGCCGAGTCAGAGCTCTGGGGACGGCACCCGGTCCTCAGCCCTCGGTTCCCGTAGCCCTTCTGGGTGATTCTCATGCATGCTCTCATTAGAGGTCAGCTGAATAAGGCACGTGAGAGCCTAATGAAATATGATGTGAATGGGATTTGCTATTACTACTCAGCCTAGACTGAAGGATCCTGGGGTGGTGAGCGGCCGAGGGCGGAGCTGTTCCCTGGCCCCCCATCCTCATCACTTGGCATGCAGGCTGCCTGAGGCACCCGAGGCGCATCTCTTCCTCAGCCCTTGTTAGACCATGTTATTTCTTTTTTAATTTTAATTTTTAGTTCTGGGGTACATGTGCAGGATGTGTAGGTTTGTTACACAGGTAAATGTGTGCCATGGTGGTTTGTTGCATCTATTAACCCATCACCTAGGTCTTAAGCTCAGCATGCATTAGCTATTTTTCCTAGTGCTCTCAATTGTGTTGTTAGTAATACACACGGAAGTTCTAGGGAGGAACCCAATGCCCAAAGAGAGACCCTTGATTCTCTCTCTCTCTCCTTTTTTTTTTTTTTTTTTTTGAGATAGGTTTTCACTCTGTCACCCAGCTTGAAGTGCTGTGGTACGATCGTAGCTCACTGCAGCCTCAAACTCCTGGGCTTAAACAATCCTTCTACCTCAGCCTGTTGAGTAGCTGGGACCACAGGTGCATGCCACCACACCCAACTAATTTTTAAATTATTTGTACTGACAAGTCTCCCTGTGTTGCCCAGGCTGCTCTTGACCTCCTGGGCTCAAACAATCATCCTGCCTCAGCCTCCCAAAGTGCGGGGATTACAGGTGTGAGCCACTGCACCAGGACAGAGAGCACCTGATTCTAGGAGCCATGGTTGGGACATCCAAGTGGAACTCTGTGGTCATAGAACCGGGTTTCTCATCCCACACTCTCAAATTAAAAACATTTTGCTACGGGAATCAGCTCCCTTTTGCCTTAGAGTTTCTGTTTTACCTGTAGTGACAAGTATCCCACTCTATTTTTTTTTTTTTTTTTGAGACGGAGTCTCGCTCTGTTGCCCAGGCTGGAGTGCAGTGGTGTGATCTTGGCTCACTGCAACCTCTGCCTCCTGGGTTTAAGCAATTCTCCTGCCTTAGCTTCCCAAGTACCTGGGATTACAGGCACACACTACCACACCCGGCTAATTTTGTATTTTAAGTAGAGCCATGTTGGACACACTGGTCTCAAACTCCTGACCTCAAGTGATCTACCCACCTCGGCCTCCCAAAGTGCTGGAATTACAGATGTGAGCCACTGTGTCTGGCCTATCGCACTATATTTTAAAATTTGGTCTAAAGGAGTTGATGATGAGTTTCTTTTAGCCTTTTATTTTTTGTCTGTTGGTTTTTGAATGTATTTGTTATCAGTATCTGGAGTTTGAAAAAGAAAGAACCTCATTTTATGAGCTCTGTAGTGGGAGGGCTGCTTGCTATCACTGGATTTTCTCCCATGGCCTAGTACTACCATATCTGCTTCTAGAGTGTGCTCAGCAAATAGTGGTTTTTGATTACTCAAAGCAAAACTGAGAAGCCATTTAACAGGCTGGGAAATAATTTCTTCAGCACTGAAGAATATATCCATAGGCTGGGCACAGTGGCTGACACCTGTAGTCCCAACACTTTGAGAGGCTGAGGCTGGAGGATCGCTTGACTGCAGGAGTTCGAGACCAGCCTGGGCAATAAAGCAGACTCTATCTCTACCAAAAAAAAAAAAAAAAAAAAAAATAGCTGAGTGTGGTGGCATGCGCCTTGTAGTCCCAGCTACTTGGGAGGCTGAGGCGGGAAGACTGAGGCTGCAGTGAGCCATGATGATTGAGCCCCAGAGGCTGAGGCTGCAGTGAGCTGTGATGGCGCCCCTGCACTCCAGGCTGGTGACAAGAGTGAGACTCTGTCTCTGTTTAAAAGAGAAAAAAAAGGTTAGGTGCAGTGGCTCATGCCTGTAATCCCAACACTTTGGGAGGCCAATGAGGGTGGATCACCTGATGTCAGGAGTTCGAGGCCAGCCTGGCCAACATGGTGAAACCCTGTCTTTACTAAAAATACAAAATTAGCCAGGTGTGGTGGTGAGCGACTGTAATCCCAGCTATTTAGGAGGCTGAGGCAGGAGAATCACTTGAACCCTGGAGGTGGAGGTTGCAGTGAGCGAAGATCACACCACTGCCCTCCAGCCTGGGCGACAGAGCAAGACTCCATCTCAAAAAAAAAAAAAAAAATATATATATATATGTGTGTGTGTGTGTGTGTGTGTATATGTGTGTGTGTATATATACATGTGTGTGTATGTTATATATATACACACACACACACATATATATCCATAAGTCAGAGCTGAAGTTCTGGTGAGCACTTCTTGGAGTTCTGTGACAAGCCCCTCCACTGGTGGTCTAACTCCTGCCTTCCTCGCTTGAGTCATCTCGAGACAGTCACTCCAACATGCCTTACTCTTTCAGTTCCTTGAATTCCCTGAACTCCCGTTGTTCTGGACCTTTGGATCTGTCTTTCCCCTGCCTGGAAATTCTCCTCCCCTTTTCCTTCAGGTCACAGTGAAATCATTTGGCTCAGAGTGGCTTCTAATCCTCTGTGAGGCTAGGACTTTACCCTTTTCCGTGCTCATGCTCTCGGGCTTTCCTGTAACCTCTCCTTTCTCGTCTCCTTTCCCCCTCTAGCCTGGAAGAGCAGGAACTGTGTCTCCTTCACTTTCCCCAGCACCTATCTCAGAGCCGGGCCCGCAGTAGGGGCTCATGCATTTGTTGGCTGGCGTTAACGTGAACCAGCACGTCGGCTGTGGATGAATAACTTTCCAGGTCCCAAAATTGTCCACTTGCTTCTCTTTCACCGTTGGGCTGAGAACGTAGCTACTAATAAACCCGGAGTGGGAGGGGGTATCAGTAACAGAGACAAGTGTGTGATTGAAATGGAAGACAGCTGGAGAGAAGAGAACAGAAATAGGCAGGACGTGCACGGCCAGCAGGAAGTTGCTGTGATTCCCGCAAAGCATGTCTTTTCATTCGTGAAGAGGGGTCCCTAAGATGAGAGTTCCATGGAGACTTTCCCTAAGGGCTCACTATGCCTTATTCTCTGATATGTTGAGCCTTCGGGGGTTGGCTGTAAATAGAGACTGAACTTTGACTTAGAAGAAAAAGGGGAGAGAAGAACATGTTGTATCTCTTTGTGTAAATGGTTACTACTCGCTCCCCAAACAAGCTACTTTAATAGGGGCATCACACAAATTATAGAATACAGGTCTCTCATCCAGCCAGCCATGATGGTGCGCACCTATGGTTCCAGCTGCTTGGAAGGCTGAGGTGGGAGGTCCTTTGAGCCCAGGAGTTCAAGGTTCAAGTCCAGCCTAGTTAACATAGCAAGACTCTCTAAAACAAAACAACAAAACAAAAACAATCTAATCTTAGGATTAGAAAGGACAAGGACACCAGATGTCATCAAGTCCCATCCTTTGACCTCTGTAGGAATTCCCTGTGCATATTTCTGGTAAGAATTCACTAATCCACTAGTTGTCAGTTCTCCACTTCACTAACTTATGGGGCAGCCTAGTTCCATATTTGCAGGGTTCTAGTTGTTGAAAAAGTCCATGTAGCCCAGTACATTGTATGTAGTGGTGGTTTATTGAATGAGATACATGAACACAGACAACATTTATAATCGAGACTTTAGAAATTATTTTCAAGTACTGTTGTATTGTTTTAAAAATAGAATACGGTGAGAAGATTGTCTTAAATGTTTGACATAGTGTCTCCAGCTTTCAGATCATACCAGATACATATTCAATTTATCACCTGGGCAAGTAAAAAATTAAAAAGACAATAAAGCCTGTCTTGTTATATACTTAGAGCCAATTACTCAATATTTACCAAATAGCCCACCAAATGTCTCATAAGCATTTTTTGAGTGTGTTCAGTCTTGAGATTGAACTTTCAGAACGGGCCTCCCTTGCTCATCCTGGGCTCATGATGATCCGCTTCAGCATTTACACAAGGAGAGCAAGGGAACAGCACAGATCAATGGAAAGGAGACAGCAGATTATTTTCCAGTTCTATCCCTGCTACTAACTAGTGGTGAGATCTTAGGTAAGTTGCTAGACACTGCTGGATCTTAGTTTCCTCCTCTGTAGACTACGGTGATTAAACCAGGTGGCCTTCAAGGTTCAGTACCACTGTAACCCTCTGTGGCTCTAAAACTTTACATTTTCCTCCTAAAGACAAAAGCTTCATGAGTGAATTTAACTCTCATCCCATTGAATAACTGATCAGTAGCAACAATGTGCTCCTACTAAATATAGAAGGTGAAGTTAAATATGGAATATAGCTGTCCACATCCCCTGAATTCGCAGAAACTTAGGTTAATAGTTGGCTACATCACTCAGATCATAATCTCTCCATGGCACATCATTTCTGCCTTCATAGTTGGCTAAAATACCTGGATGTCAGCTGAATCTAGACTTTTTTAATGATTCTATTTTTAAACTACAGTCATGAGACCACATAATCCTAGTGGGGTAAATGCCAGAGGAAGAAAAAAAAAAAAAAGAAACAGAAAACAAAACCAAAAAACTGTAAAGAAATCTGAAGTGGTTTTCCATAATTCTCTTTTTAGAATAATTTTTTCTCTGATATGATATTTTCTGATAGTAAGGTATGATTATTATGAAATCATAATGTATTTAGTAGAAAAATAAATTACATTATTTCATTAGGAGCTAAGGTTTTCAGTGCAAGAAAAATATAAATATCAAATCAAAGAAGTTAAATAAAAACCTTCTATCCTAAGTTTGAATTGGAAATATTAATAAGAACACATGATGTGTTTTATGGTAAAATACACTATTCTTAGCTCTGTCTGTTGAAAAGGCCTAGATACCTTGACTAAGAGTAGCTAAGTGTGTCCTTAGCACCCAGGCCGTTTTCTTTCTTCATTTTTTTTTTTGAGACAGGGTCTCACTCTGTCACCCAGGGTGGAGTGCAGTGGCGTGATCTTGGCTCACTGAAACCTCCACCTCTGGGGTTCAAATGATCCTCCCACCTCAACCTCCCAAGTAGCTGGGATTACAAGTGTATGCCACCATACCTGGCTAATTTTTGTATTTTTAGTAGAGATGGGGTTTCACCATGTTAGCCAGGCTGGCCTCAAACTCGTGACCTCAAGCAATCTGCCCACCTCAGCCTCCCAAAGTGTTGGGATTAAAGGCATGAGCCACATATCTGGCCTGGCCTAATGCACTCTAAATACCATTTCTGGTTAAAGTGAACAGGGTTCTTTGGAGAAATGGTCGATTCAACATCAGGGATAAGTTTGGAACATCTTGTCATATCAGCCAGCAAAGAAACTGTCAAAGACGGTAAAAGCATGCCAAAAAGACTTAGGAACCAGAGCCTATTGGCCAGAGGTAAGACAATTACCAAAACAAACAAACAAACAAACAAACAAACAAAAACAGGAAGAATCCAGAATCTAATCAGGACCTAACTACTAACTACAAACTTATAGGAAATACACTCTAGGATAGTAAATTTTGTGTGTCAACTTGACTGGGCCATGGTGTGCCCAGATATTTGGTCAGACATTATTCTGGATGTTTCTGTGAGGGCGTTTTTAGATGAGATTAATATTTAAATTGGTAGACTAAGTAAAGCAGATTCCTCCCTTTTTGGATCATTGTAGACCTCATCCTACAGTTGAAGGCCTGAATAGAACAAAAAGGTTGACCCACCCTAACTAAGAGAGAATTCTTCCCATCTGACAGCCTTCCAGAGGGAGCATCAACGTTTTTCCTGTCTTTGAACCAGAACTGAAACATCAGCTCTTCCTGAGTTTTGAGCCTGCTGGCCTGTGGACTGAACCACACCATCAGCTCTGCTGTTTCTCAGTTTTTCAGATTACACTCTCTTGGGGCTCCAGGTGGTTGGCTGCAGATCTTGGGACCTGTTTGCCTCCATAATTATGTGACCCAATTCTTTGTAATAAATCCTTCTTTCTCTCTCTTTCTTCTATTGATTCTGTTTCTCTGGAGAAACTTGGCTAAGCCACACCTCCACAGGGATAAAATCAACAAAAAGCAGAGTATAGGACATTTTATAGGCCAACAGAAAGTATTACTCATCAACAAATAAATTGCCCCCCCCAAAAAAAACAATAGAGGGAGGGGTAATTTATAGATTAAAAGATATTTAAAAGGCATATTCACCAAATGCAATGGAAGAGCCTTAGTTTGGATTCCTATTTGAACAAACCAAGTTTTAAAAAAAGTATGAGACTATCAGGGATATTTGGAACATTTCCTGGATACTTGATGATGTTATGGAAATATTGTTGATTTTTTTTGGATGCAATGACATTTACAGGGCTATGCTTTTAAAAGTCCTTAAATTTTAGAGATATATACTGGAATATTTATGAATAAAATAATTTCAGTATCTGGAATCTGCTTCAAAATAATTCATCAAGAGTAGGAGTATGGGTTAAAAGTAGAGGGGGTGGCTGGGCGCGGTGGCTCACACCTGTAATCCCAGCACTTTGGGAGGCTGAGGTGGGCAGATCATGAAGTCAGGAGATCAAAACCATCCTGGCTAACATGGTGAAACCCCATCTCTGCTAAAAATACAAAAAAAAAAAACGGGCATGGTGGCAGGCGCCTGTAGTCCTAGCTACTCGGGAGGCTGAGGCAGGAGAATGGCATGAACCAAGGAGATGGAGCTTGCAGTGAGCCGAGATCATGCCACTGCACTCCAGCCTGGGAGACAGAGCGAGACTCTGTCTCAAAAAAAAAAAAAAAAAAGTAGAGGGGGTATAGAGGAAACAAAACTGGTCATGTGTTGATAATTGTTGAAGAATACAAGATCAGAATATGGGGGATTATTATACTATTTTCTCTACTTTTGTACATTATTTCTATACTAAAATTTTTACAAGTAAATGCTTTATTTTTTTTGCCTACCTTGACGTTAAACTTATATTTTTAAGGCATCAATGACAAGTTATTCCTTTCTTGTCTATTACAGATATATTTCCACTTGCCTCCTAAGCTGTATGATTTTTTTTTCATTTGCTTCCTAAACTATATGATTTCAGTTCTCCTTTATCTCATGAGGAGGGTTCCCATTTACTTTGTCATATATATTTACATGTAGTGATTTGTTAAATTATTATTTCAAAATTATTACTGAAATGCACATTCTCTGGTTCAAGCTCCAATGGGTTCTCACTGCCTTGTTATAAAGCCAGGCAGCCTCACTTTAACAGTCAAAGCCTATCATCATCAAGCTCTACCCAACACATCAGACAAGCGCTTCCAAAAAATAGAAGAGAGGAAACACTTCTCAATCCATTTTATGAGACCAATATTACCCCAACACCAAAAGCAGACAACAACATCAAAAAAAAGAAAGAAAAAGAAAACTACAGACTAATATCCACATTTTAGTGAATAGTAAAATCCTCAATAAAGTAATAGCAAACCGAATCCAGACACATATAAAAAGAATTTTACACTTGAAAATGGTTCAAATGGCAAATTTTATGTTATATATATTTTACCACTATTTTTAATAGTAAAGTAAATAAATAGTGGTAAAATATATATAACATAAAAATATTTTTAAAATAGTAAAATAAATAAATAAACATAAACATACACCATGACTAAATGGGATTTATCTCAGGGATTCCAGGTTGGTTTAATATTAGAAAATCAATTAATGGAATACATTATATTGATAGAATAAACAGAAAATCACACAATCATCTCAGTAGACACAGAAAATACATTTGACAAAATCCAAGTTCATTAACTCCCAGATAAACAGCACCTATTCTAGAGGATCTCTAAACATAATGAGATGACAGTAGCGAAGAAAGACTCTGAGTATCGAAGGTGAATGGATCTCAGAGATTGCCACAGGAAAAGATATCTTTTTGAATCTAGTGGAGAAAATCTTTGTAAATCTACTTTTATCATAAACAATGCCAGCATGAATGACTTATCCAAGATCTAAGAGGAGTGTAGAATGAAAACTCTTAAATGATAGGAAGTGTGTGTATTTCTCCTTTGCCGCTGGCATGGTTATTCACCTGCCAGGTGGCCAGTGAGTATTTTTGTAGTGAATGGCTTGGAGTTTTAGGGCAAGTACTCTAGACTTAAACTTAACTTTCCTGGCTGTGTGATTGTAAGCAAATTACTTAACCTTAAAGTCTCAGCATTTTGCTTATTGTTTCATCTCTAAAGTTAAGATAATAATTCTACTACCATAAGTGAGGGTTTTAAAACACAGTATCAGCGGGGCATGGTACACCTGTGATATGGTTTGGCTCTGTGTCCCCACCCAAATCTCAAGTTGAATTGTACTGCCATAATTCCCACGTGTTGTGGGAGGGACCCAGTGGGAGATAATTGAATCATGGGGGCGGTTTTCCCCATACTGTTTTAATGGTTGTGAATAGGTCTCACAAGATCTGATGGTTTAATAAGGGGCTTCTACTTTCGCTTCTGCCTCATTCTCTCTTTCTGCCACCAAAAGGCAAAAGTGTCTTTTGCCTTCTGCCATGATTGTGAGGCCTCCCCAGTCACGTAGAACTGTGAGTCCATTAAATTTATTTTCTTCCCAGTCTCAGGTATGCCTTTATCAGCAGTGTGAAAATGGACTAATACAACCTGTTACCCTAGCACTTTGGGAGGCCAAGGTAGGCGGATGACTTGAGGTCAGGAGTTTGAGACCAGCCTGGGCAACATGGTGAAACATCATCTCTACAAAAAATACAAAAATTAGCCATGTGCTGCACACCTGTAATTCCAGCTACTTGGGAGGCTGAGGCGGGAGGATCACTTGAGCCTGGGAGGCAGAGGTTGCACTGAGCCAAGATCACGCCACTGCACTCTAGCCTGGGTGACAGAGTGAGGCCCTGTCTCAAAAAAAAAAGCAAAAACACAGTATCTTTGAAATGTGCAGCACTGCAGCATGGCGTCTGGGACATGTACACCCTTGTCATCATGAACAACATCCAAGACCATAAAAATCACGGGTCTCCAGCCATCCCATTACTGGGTATACACCAAAGGAATATCAATCATGCTGCTATAAAGACACATGCACATGTATGTTTATTGCGGCACTACTCACAATAGCAAAGACTTGGAACCAACCCAAATGTCCAACAATCATAGACTGGATTAAGAAAGTGTGGCACATATACACCATGGAATACTATGCAGCTATAAAAAATGATGAGTTCATGTCCTTTTTAGGGACATGGATGAAGCTGGAAACCATCATTCTCAGCAAACTATCGCAAGGACAAAAAACCAAACACCGCATGTTCTCACTCATAGGTGGGAATTGAACAATGAGAACACTTGGACAAGGAAGGGGAGCATCACACACCGGGGCCTGTTGTGGGGTGGGGGAAGGCGGGAGGGATAGCATTAGGAGATAAACCTAATGTAAATGACGAGTTAATGGGTGCAGCACACCAGCATGGCACATGTATACATATGTAACAAACCTGCACGTTGTGCACATGTACCCTAGAACTTAAAATATAATAAATATATATATATATATTTAAAAAAAATCATGGGTCTGTCTTGGGACTATTAGGCTTGCCAGTTGTATACATAAATGTTAGATTAGACAGCTTCATAATACCAAGTTAAAAATGACTAATGTCCTTGTGTAATGAATAAACTTGCTCCAATAACCTTGAAAATGAAAGAAAAGTTTGATCACAGAGTGAAATTTAATTCAGACAATTTCAGCAGCTGTGTATTTCAGATAAACCCATAAATGGCACAAAGAAATGATAGCCCTAGCTGAGTTGTCCAAAAAAGAGGGTTTGGACAACTCTTTTTGTCCAAAGACAAAAAGAGGCAAGTCCTTAGCCTGTGTATTGGGTCACTGCCAAGAGATGATGTTGTCCATGTGGAGGCAGAGAGTGAACTTCCTTCAGTTCTGACTGACTGCTGTAAATAGTGTCACATGGCTAAACCTGTGTAAGTAGTTTCAAAACCTGCTTTAAAGTATAGTTAAGGCCAGGCTCAGTGGCTCATGCCTGTAATTCCAGCACTTTGGGAGCCTGAAGTGGGAGTATTGCTTGATTCCAGGAGTTCAAGACCAGCCTGAGCAGCATGGCGAAAACCCATCTCTACAAAAAATACAAAAATTAGCCAGATGTGGTGGCACATGCCTGTAGACCCAGCCACTCAAAAGGCTCAGGTGGGAGGATCACCTGAGCCCAGGAGGCCCAGGCTACAGTGAGCCATGATCATGCTACTTAACTCCAGTCTGGGTAAAGGAGGGAGACTCTGTCTCAAAAAAAAAAAAAAAAAAAAGGCAAATATATATATATATATATATATATATATATATATATATATTAAGCATTTGCACTTTTGACTCAACTATATGTATATATACAGAAATATATATACATACATATATATGTGTATAGATAGATAGATGATAGATAGGTAGATAGTTAGATATTGATAGTTAAGAGTCAAACTCAAATGCTCTTATGGGCAAAACAATGGAGAGAAAACCTTAAGGATATTATTATAGAGAGATGTGGGTCCCTGGTTAGAGGGCTTGCCCTGTCGACAAGGATTTACATGAGAAACATTTCAGAAGCACCAACATAGCAAACACAAAGGCTCTGAAGGCCTCAGTCCTTGGCAAGCAGCTTACAGCCACTGATTAGGGGAACAAGGCATAAATTAGGCATTACTCTTTTGTATCCCTGAGCCCGTAGATTGTTTTTCTTCTTCCAATCAGATAAGAACCTTGCAGAAACTGGACTGTTAGTAGTGGAATTATAGCATCACAGTATCTTTTGAGTCGTTTATATTTTCCCCATTTCTGGTTGCTTCCAGTTCCCTTTATAAATTCTTCCTTTCCTTTTTTCTACCTAAAACTCAGCTGTTATTTAGAATGAGGTGGAACTTGGCTACCATTTCTGTTTTTTGTCTTCTTCTCCAAATACTTAATGCCTCAAACAGGTTTGTGTGTTCTGGCCTAAAAACTAACTCCTCTGCCAAGTGGTCCCCAGGCCCTGACTCCTTTTTCCTCACTTCCAGCATCTGAGAGACTCCCAACCACCCTTGTAAAGGGAACCGTGTGATAGGGCTGTGCCCACCCTAGGTCCTGCCCACATGTTTATTCTGGGCCTCTTGGCTTCCTTTGATACCCAAGTCTTTGTCCTTATGAAAGTTATTTACTTCTGAAAAATGTTTACAGAATGATGACATGAAGTCAATATTGGTTTTAATAAATTTAAATAACTTTCCTTACAGGCAGAATGAACAAAATAAGTAAAAGTGGCTATAAAGATTATAATCTGAATGTGATTTAGCAATGTAGTATTGAAAGGCAATGTTTAAAAAGGTAAAATCATAATTCATACAAATACAAATGACCATCGTTAACTCATGAGTTATTTATTATTAATTATGATTAATTAATGCAGGACTCAGTGAGGTATTACAGCTGGATTTTACAGGCTTTACCCAACAAAATTCTTCAATAGGGTTTAAGTACTACTGCATGTAAAGTGTTTATTTTTATTTTTGAGACAGGGTCTCACTCTGCCACCCAGGCTGGAGTGCAATGGCACTGTCATAACTCACTGCAGCTTTCACCTCCTGGGCTCAAGTGATCTTCCCACCTCAGCCTCCTGAGGAGCTGGAACTACAGATGGCACCATTGTGCTTGGCTAATTTTTTTTTTTTACTTTTTGTAGACATGGGGTCTTGCTATGTTGCCCAGGTTGGTCTTGAACTCCTAGCCTCAAGTGATCTTCCTGCATTGGCCTCCCAAAGTATTAGGATTACAGGCATGAGCCACTGTGCATGATCAAGTGTTTCATTAAGAACAAGTTCTGCTGTTCTGTGTCTCACAGAAGTGCACAGGTAAAGCATTTGCACTTGTGGGATCAAGTGGTAGCTTTGATTTATAAAGCAGAACTGTCATCAGGAATTTGGTTGAGGAAGCTGAAGTTGTTTTATCTCAAAGTTGTTTTCCTGGAATAATTCAGTTCTCCAAGGGAACTCTGGGATTCACAAATCATGACGAGGTCAGGAAAACAGTCATGCTAATGAAAATGGGGTCTGGTATAGGACAGGGGAAAGACCAATAACTTCTTTCTCTAAAGTAGGATGCTGGAGACACCACCATAGAACAAAAAAAGTCAAATAACTTGAGGACAGGAGTGAACAGGAATCAAAGGCAAAGGAAAAAGGTAAAGTGACTTTTAGCATAAATAAAGGCCTCAAGAAGTATCTGTTCTTTCCTCTCCTGAATGACTCCATTATGAGGGATAGAAATCAAAGAGCAATAGAATGGGGTGGAGTAGAAGTACTAGAGTGTTCTAGCTGAGCTCCACTCAAGGTCACACTATTATTTAAGAACACAGAATGCAAGGCTGGGCATGGTGGCTCACATCTGTAATCCCAGCACTTTAGGAGGCTGAGGTGGGAGGATTGCTTTGGAGTTTGAGACCGGCCTGGGCAACATAGGGAGACTGTGTCTCTAAAAAATAATTTTTTCTTCTTTTGAGACAGAGTCTCGCTGTGTCACCCAGGCTGGAGTGCAGTGAGCTGATCTCGGCTCACTGCAACCTCCACCTCCCTGATTCAAGCAATTCCCCTGCCTCAGCCTCTGGAGTAGCTGGGATTACAGGTGTGCACCACCCACATCCAGCTAACTTTTTTGTATTTTTAGTAGAGATGGGGTTTCACCATGTTGGCCAGACTGGTTTTGAACCCCTGACCTCAGGCAATCCGCCGGCCTCAGCCTCCCAAAATGCTGAGATTACAGGTGTGAGCCACCGCACCCAGCTAAAAATTAAAATTTTAGCTGAGTGCGGTGGTATGTGCCTGTAATCACAGCTACTCCAGAGGAGAGAGGCTCAGGTGGGAGGATTGCTTGAACCCAGGAGGTTGAGGCTGCAGTGAGCCATTGATATGGTTTGGCTGTGTCCTCACCCAATATCTCATCTTGAATTGTAATCCCCATAATCCTCGTAAAATCTTCACATGTCACGGCAAAGATCAGGTAGAGATAATTGAATCATGGGGGTGGTTTTCCCCACGCTGTTCTTGTGGCATTGAGTGAGTTTTCATGAGATCTAATGGTTTTATAAGGGGCTCTTTCCTTTTTGCCATGTGAAGAAGGTGGCTTTTTCGCCTTCTACCATGATTGTAAGTTTGCTGAGGCCTTCCCAGCCACAGGAACCATGAGTCAATTAAACATCTTCCCTTTATAAATTACCCAGTCTCAGGTATTTCCTTATAGCAATGTGAGAATGGACTAATACAGTCAATTGGTACCACAGAGAGTATGTTGCTGCTATAAAGATACCTGTAAATGTGGAAGCAACTTTGGAACTGGGTAACAGGCAGAGGTTGGAAGAGTTTGGAAGGTTCAAAAGAAGACAGGAAGATGTGGAAAAGTTTGAAAGTTTCTAGAGACTTGTTGAATGACTTTGACCAAAATACTGATAGTGATATTGACAATGAAGTCCAGGCTGAGGTGGTCTCAGATGGAGATGAGGATCTTTTTGGGAACTGGAATAAAGGTGACTCTTGCTGTGCTTTAGCAAAGAGACTGGAAGCACTTTGCCCCTGCCCTAGAGATCTGTGGAAATTTGAACTTGAGAGAGATGATTTAGGGTATCTGGCAGAAGAAATTTCTAAGAAGCAAAGTGTTCAAGAGGTAACTTGGGTGCTCTTGAAAGCATTCAGTTGTATGCATTCACAAAGAGATGATTTGGAATTGTAACTTATATTTAAATGGGAAGCAGAGCATAAAGTTTAGAAAATTTGCAGCCTGACAATGCAATATAAAAGAAAACCCCATTTTCTGGGGAGAAATTCAAGCAGGCTGGAAAAATTTGCATAAGTAATGAGGAACCAAATGTTAGTCACCAAGACAATGGAGAAGATGTCTCCAGGGCATGTCAGAGGTCTTCATGGCTGCCCCTTCCATCACAGGCCTGGAGGCCTAGGAGGAAAAACTGGTTTCATGGGCCAGATCCAGGGTCTTGCTACTTTGTCCAGTCTCAGGACTTGGTGCCCTGCATCCTAGCCATGGCTAAAATGGGCCAATGTACAGCGCAGACCATTGTTTCAGAGGGTGCAAGTCCCAAGCCTTGGCAGTTTACACATTGTGTTGGGCCTTCAGGTGCACAGAAGTTAATAATTGAGGTTTGAGAACCTCTGCCTAGATTTCAGAGGATGTATGGAAATGCCCAGATGTCCAGGAAGAAGTTTGTGGCAGGGGTGGAGCCCTCATGGAGAACCTCTGGTAGGGTAGTGTGGAAGGGAAAGGTGGGGTCAGAGCCCCCACACAGAGTCCCTACTAGGGCATAGCCTAGTGGAGCTGTGAGAAGAGGGCCACTGTCCTCCAGACCCCATAATGGTAGATCTACTGACGGCTTACACCATGCACCTGGAAAAGTTGCAGACACTCAACGCCAGCCTGTGAAAGCAGCCAGGAGTGGGGTTGTACCCTGCAATGCCACAGGAACAGAGCTGTCCAAGGCCATGGGAGACCACCTCTTGCATCAGTGTGACCTGGATGTAGGACATGGCGTCAAAGGAGATATTTTGGAGCTCTAAGATTTAATGACTGCCCCACTGAATTTGGACTTGCATGGGGTCTGTAGCCCCTTTGTTTTGGCCAATTTCTCCCATTTGTAACAGGTGTATTTACCCAGTGCTGTACTCCCATTGCATCTCAGAAGTAACTAACTTGCTTTTGATTTTACAGGCTCATAGGTGGAAGGTACTTGACTTGTTTCAGATGAGACTTTGGATTTGGACTTTTGGGTTAATACTGGAATGAGTTAAGAATTTGGGGGACAATTGGAAAGGCATGATTATGTTTTGAAATGTGAGGACATGAGATTTGGGAGGGGCTGGGGCAGAATGATGTGGTTTGGCTGTGTCCCCACCCAAAATCTCATCTTGAATTGTGATCCCCATAATCCCCATAATCCCTGTGTGTCAAGGGAGAGACCAGGTGGAGGTAATTGAATCATGGGAGCAGTTTCCCCCATGCTCTTCTGGTAATAGTGAGTTTTCACAAGATCTGATAGTTTTATAAGAGGTTCTTCCCCCTTCACTCATCACTTCTCCTTCCTGCTGCCTGTGAAGAAGGTGGCTTGCTTCCCCTTCACCTTCCACCATGACTGTAAGTTTCCTGAGGCCTTTCCAGCCATGCAGAAGCATGAGTTGATTAAACCTCTTTCCTTTATAAATTACCCAGTCTCAAGTATTTCCTTATAGCAATGTGAAAATGAACTAATACAGCCATGATCACCACTGCACTCCAGCCTGGGTCACAGAGCAACACTTTGTCTCAAAAAACAAAACAACAAGAACAACAAAAACACGGAGGCTATTTCTCTACCTCTTGACTCTGTGTTTGGCCATATGACTTGCTTTGACCAATGGGATGTCATAGACATGATACAATCAGAGGTCTACACAACCACTCATGTAATTGAGCTTGTTTTGCTGTGTTTTTGCCATGAAAAGTATATGCTCAGGCAAGCCTACTGTTCTAGGAGGTAGACAGGTAGAGCAGAACCAAGTCACCCCAGCCAACCTCATCTAAGGTCAGCCAACCCCCATTAGACCCCAGGTGCATAAGTTGAGTCCAGTTGAGATCAGCAAAGTCCAGCCTAGATTAGCTGAACTTCACAGGTACAAGAAATGAATGTTCATTATTGTTGTTGACCATGAGGATCTGTGGTTGTTGGTTACATAGCAATTTTCTGACAATAGCTAACTCACAGGTTGACTTATTTTCAACATACCCTAATGAGATGACAGAGATTGCTGCAGATATGCCCAGTGCAGTTTTGGCTTCCTAGAGGGTCTTCAAGAGAGTACACCCTAGAAAAAGGGCAGAAACCATCACTATATACCCAGGCTGCCTCTTCTGTTTGGAAGAGATTCTTATTTGAAAACCATTCATATGCCAGGCTAGTGGCATCCCCAGCGAAACTGAGGGTCAGAAAATAATATCTGATAACTGGGAAGAACTAAGGTCATTTCTAGTTGCAGAGTATCTGAAACTCGAGTAGGAAACTAGAGAATGGAACAAATAGTGGTAGCAACAGGGAATCCCCCTACATCAGTATGTGATTCACCAAGTACAAGGTCAAACAGATAACCACAACTGCTCTGTCAGTTCCCAAGACTGCACAGAACACAGAGCCCCAGCACCTTGCTTTGGTCCTCCCTGAGTTTCTACACACCTGGCTTCTCAACGAAAGAGGATCCATTTGCATACGAAACAAACTCTGCAATGTAGAAGATGGCTGTTTGATCTGAAGCAGATTTTGTAAGCTTGTGCAATGGTAAGAACATAATTTAACTCAACAATTTTTTTTTAGTAACTTATTAATGCTGAAAACTGGAATAATCTCCAGAGATGTGGATGGACTAGGAATTGGATCTGCCTCCATATGCCAGGGTTAAGACATAGTCCTGCTAAAGAAACAAGCAAATGCATACACAACAACAGAGGTGACCAGAAGATGGGTGCAATAAAATGCTTCTGGATCACAGGAACACTTGCGGGACCGAGACGCAACAGGAAGGCTGTGGGAGGAAGTGCTTTTGCAGAGGAACATGATGAGTTTGGTTTAGGACCTATGCTATTTACAGCCTGGCAGAGACTCCATCTGTCTTACATATTTGTACATATCAGCTCCATCTTTTTCCTATTTCTCATTCTGCTTCAATCCTGCCTGCAAATTTAAATCTCCCTTGGAGAATAGACAAAATAACTTGCTTTTTTGTGATCTGTCTTTACAAACAAAGCAAAATGCCTTATGCATAGGAGATGCCTAATGAATGTTTTCATTTTGTTTTTGTTTCATTTTGTTTTGTTTCGTTTTGTGCAGGGTCTCCCTCTGTAGCACAAGCTGGAGTGTAGTGGCATGATGACAGTTCACTGCAGCCTTGAATTCCTAGGCTCAAGCAATCCTCCCATCTCAACCTCTTAAGTAACTGAGACTAAGCTGTGCTCCATCATGACCAGCTAATTTTTTTTTTAATTTTTTGTGGAGACAGGCGTCTTATTATGTTGCCCAAGCTGGTCTTGAACTCCTGGCCTTAAGCAATCCTCCTGCCTCAGCCTCTCAAAGTGCTGAGATTACAAGAGTGAGTCACCATGCTAGGCTGATTTTTGTTGCATGAAGGAATAAATACATATTTGAATATTCTTGGACAGGGGTTTCACCTCTGCTTCCTGGAGTTCCTTAGAGAAAAGTGGGGTGGAATAGGAGAGTAGATATGGGAAAGGGGTTGGGAGATTTGTGGAGACAAGGAACAGACAAGGAATAGGTAAGAAAGCAGCGTTGGCAGAACCCAGAATTAAGATTTTTGTGAAAGTAAAGACAGGGAGTAAAGATGGGAGACGATTTACTTGGATGTGCAGATAGCAAGTGTAGTTTAATACCTACAAGATATGAAATTAAAAGTTTCACCCCAAATGATACACAATTTTATTGCCTCTGGCATCACAATAAATAAAAGCCTCTTTCAGCTTTTTTGTACCTGCCTCTGGCCTGATGCAGTCATTTTTATTGCACTGGATGGCATCTGTATTTATTATCAAACCAGGGGATTTCTGCTAAGTCATCTTGAAGTCTAACTTAGCTAGCACAACATGCTGTTTCATAATTAAATTAAAATTGCAGGATGTTTTGGATTAGAAGAATCTTCCTTCAGCCAGGCCTGAGGTTGGTAAGGGAGTGTGACCTGTATGAAATAGAATTCCCTCATCCAAAACATCCGGAACATTTCACTGGATTAATTTGTAACTCACTGGGAGATTTTTAGTTCAATTTGCTAAAGATTTTCTGTTTCCATTTCTCTTTTCAATTCAGGTCAATATACAGTTATTCAACTCTCTTATTGAAAATGATATGAAAAGTGTTATTGAGTCCAAAGAATAAACAAAATGAAAGGTAAAATGCAAACAAAGGAAGAAATGTAATGAGTGAATAAATAAGTTCTTTCATGAATAAAGAATTTATTCATGAATAAATAAATCCATTCACCCAACAAATGAACTTACAGAACCCTTATTTTTACCATGCACGAAGCTAAGTAAGTACTGTGCAGTGGAGGCAGAACTATAAGCCACAGTTTCTGTTCTCTAGGATTTTAGAATTTTGTTTATTATAGAAAATTTGCCATTAGACAGTTTAAGTCCAATTTATATTGGTGTTTTAATTCAATCAAAAACTTCACAAAGAAATAAACCATGAACAATTCCCTTACACCTTTAAGAAGACATTAAACACCCTCTGTGGGAAAAGCCTAACAAAATCACTTTTTTGTACTTTGCACCACTGGACAGGATATGTATATATTGGCTAAACAGAATCCTGTGGCCACTGGCCAATAGGCTGCAGGAAGAGAATTTTAAAATAGTTTTTTTTTTTTTTTCTATTAGAGGCTATAGAAAATAATCCTTGACTGGGCATGGTGGCTCGCCTGTAATCCCAGTGGTGCGATCATGGCTCACTGCAGCCTCTAACCCCTGGGCTTAAGCAGTCCTCCCACCTCAGTCTCCAGAGTAGCTGGGATTACAGTTGTACTCCACCACACCCAGCTAGTTTTAAAATGCTGAGGTCTCACTACGTTGCCCAGGCTGGTCTCCAACTTGTGGCCTCAAGTGATCCTCCTCCCTTGGCCTCCCAAAGTGCTGGGATTGTAGGCATGAGCCACCACGCCCAGCCAAGATGTTGTTTTGACTGGACTTGCAGGCTTGTGACTCAAACTTGATTGTAAAGGGGTGGAAATAGGCACCACACCTCCCCCAAAATATTCATTTGCATTTAAAAACCAGAAGCTGCCTATAAAGTGGGACAGCATCTTTGCCCTCAGTATATCCTCAGATTCATGAATTTTCATAGGAGTCAAGAAGTTTTCTGAAAGGGCCCAGGACCCTGACAAGGATCCCACACCCCTCCCTTCATCCTTCCACACTCACACCTCATCCCCTCTACTGCCTCTCCACTAATCTTCTGTGACAAGGCTGGAGTATAGAAAAAGGACACTTTGCTTCCCGCCCTGCAATCCACAACCCCACAGCAGGGTGGGGAGAGAGGGGAGGGGAGCCTGCACCAGTGGTTCTGTCTCAGCATCAGGCTTGCTTTTCCTTCCTTTCCTTCCTTCCTTCCCTTCCTTCCTCTCTCTCTCTCTTTCAATTTTGAGACAGTCTTGCTCACCCAGGCTGGAGTGCAGTGGGGCAATCTCACTGCAACCTCCACCTCCCAGGTTCAAGTGATTCTTCTGCCTCAGCCTCCCAAGTAGCTGAGATTACAGGCATGCACTACTACACCTGGCTACTTTTTGTATTTTTTAGCAGAGATGGGATTTCACCACATTGGCTAGGCTAGTCTTGAACTCCTGACCTCAGGTGATCCACCCGCCTCAGCCTCCCAAAGTGCTGGGATTACAGGTGTGAGCCACCTTTCCTGGCCTGGCCTTCTTTCAATGGCTGGGGAGAAGTGCAGCCCTGGCCCAGTGGACACCTGCACTCAAATTATCCTGACTTGGTCAACCTGGTTGCGGGTAGATCTTCTGGCAAACACTTGTCCGAAGATAAATTGAAATTGTTACCACGCTTGGGACCCTTGGAGGGTAAGAAAGAGAGAAGGTAGATTCAGGGCTGTCAGAAGCCAGCATAGGGGAATGAGATTGATGAGCAATGTTGGCACTAGATCCCGAACTCCCAACCTCAGGTGATCCGCCCGCCTTGGCCTCCCAGAGTGCTGGGATTACAGGTGTAAGCCACCGTGCCCAGCGAGGCACTAGAATCTCAAGTGGGAAGAGCTCATACACAGAAATGTTACTGGGACAGCCATGCCTATGGACCTTTCCTAGAAGCAGTGTTAGCATAAAACACGTAGTTTTTAATCTCTGTGCTTGCTCTTTTTTTTTTTTCTTTTTCTTTTTGAGATGGATCTCACTCTGCTGCCCAGGCTGAAGTGCAGTGGTGCAATCTTAGCTCACTGCAATCTCCACTTCCTGGGTTCAAGTGAGTCTCCTGCCTGAGCCTCCCTAGTAACTGGGTTTACAGGCATGTGCCACCATAACCCGCTAAGTTTTTGTATTTTTAGTAGAGATGGGGTTTCTCCATGTTGGCCAGGCTGGTCTGGAACTCCTGACTTCAGGTGATCCACCTGCCTCAGCCTCCCAAAGTGCTGGGATTACAGGCTTGAGCCACCAGCCCAGCCTCTGTGCTTGTTTATTTAGAGGTAAGGCTAATGGAGTTTGAGACTGGTGGGTGAGGTTGTTGGTGGAATGAGAGCCCAGCCCAGTCCTGCTGACAAGATAGTGGGTTCTCCCGACAGACAAGAGCAGGTAGGAGAAGAGGAGATAATTACAAATATTGATAGGGAAGAGATGTTTAGGGAGGGGACTCCTGGAAAAGTTTGGAGTTTCTGCCTAGATTTCATGTGAATTGGGACATAAATGTAAAGATAATAGCATTTGTTCCCATAGGTTGGTATAGTACAGACAATAACTTTTACAAAAATAAAACTTAAAAACAAAACAAAACAAAACCAAAAACCATTGCATGCTGATTAAGGGAAGAATCAAAGTTTATAAATAGGAAGGCAAGACCTGTACATTGAAGTTAATAATAAAAGGTAATTACAAGTATTTTAAGAAACACAATATTTGCAATGTTTGAGTTGGGGAGTGTGTGTATGGTTGGAGTCAGAGGAAGTAACAGAAAGTCCTGACAGGAAAAATAATTCAGATAGGAAATAATTTATTGTTAGAAAATTATTTCCACTTCTCATCTTAACCATTTGAGTCAAAGGAAAATAAAGTAAGATACATGAAAGAACAACTATTTCCAAACCAATCACCCTCAGCACGTTTTATAAAAGAGATAACCCAAATGGTACCAGGCTATCTCGAGAAGGTTATGGCTCATAATTTAGTCTGCTCTCAGTGAATGGTACTTTATGTTTACCTTGCACTTTTACTAAGTTGCTCATAACATTCAGAAACTGGAGCCCTCATAGAAATGTCCACACGACCCAGTCACTTTTCTGAATCCAGCAGCTGAGGAGCTGGAAAGTTCTTTTTCTGCTGACTGTGGTCATGCATGACTGGATAATTTATGGGCAAGACCAACAACCACATCCATATCTCAAATTCATTAATAATCGAGAGAGGGACTCAGCCCAGAATCACTCAGAGGGTGAGTCCTCAGGGAAGGAATCTGTTCAAATAATCAGAGCCTTTTTAAAAATAAAAATAATAATAAATTATGATTTTTCTCAGCAGTACCTTTCCAATACAGGGAGGGCTGTTTCTTACTACCCAAAGGGAACATTTTGAAGGGTGCCTGAGATTTTTCATGTGAATATCTATATGAAAGGACCAGACATGATCATAGAATGAAGGAAAACGTGAGCAGCGAGAAAATTAGGGGTTAAGAAAATGTCCCAAATTTCAAAAGGGTATGTTTCGGAAATTGCCATTGATAACAATTGGTAGCTTTGATAATAGCATTGATAGCTTGGTAGCAAATGATAGGAAAATTCCAGAATAGATCATTAAAGAGATGGTGTTTGAACCTTAGAGATAAAAGGGGCTCCTGTTGAGAACCAGGGTGAGCCGCTAAGAGCAAGAGATGTGTATTAAATACTTTCTCTTTTGAAAAGTGTGCCAGGATGCTTTGCAACATCTATCACACTGTGCTTTGGACAAGAAGGTTGAAGTTGGGCTGATAACCATTCCAATAGACTTGCTAACGGCACCAAGGAAGGTGAACCTGGAAAGTCTCCATGCCCTGTGGTCTGCTCCTTGCTCTCACTCATTCAACTCAACAAATGGTTCTGCAGTAACTCAACATACATGAATACAGCCTGGATTTTATGCAGGGTGCTCTTCCAGGCAAGGGATAGAAAGAAGTTGTTGGATCCCTGTCTTCATAAGGCTTATAATGCAGTGGTGGCAAAGGGCAAGTGCACAAGTAACCACAATGCAAGGCAGAGTAGCAAAGCCACAAGAAAAGAAGTACCAGCTGTGCATGGAGGCTTGCACCTGTAGTCCCAGCTACTAGGGAGGCCGAGGCAGGAGGATAGCTTGAGCCCAGGAGTTGGAGGCTGCTGTGAGCTATGACTGTGCCACTGTACCCTAGCCTGGGTGACAGAGCGAGACCATATCTCTAAAAACAAAACAGAAGTACCAAGTGCCAGGGAGACCTATGAAGACAAAAGTCCCTTCTAGCTAGAAGATTAAAAAGGCTTTGAATAACAAATGGCATTGGAGGTGGAGTTTGAAGGAAGAGAGAGATGCGGAGTGATGAAAGAAGGTGTGTGCCCCAAATGGCATGAGCAGAAGCACAGAGAAGGGAGAAGTTAATCTCAAAGTCCAGTTCGATTGAAGCAGGAGGACTGAAAAGGACAGTCAGGACTGTTTTGATGCATTCTTCCTGCCGGGGATTGGCCATTTCTGAGAGTCCTTGATGGATAAGTGATAGGACTTTAGGACTCAAGAATTATACAGTCTCACATTTGCATCCTGCCATGGCCACTACCTTAGCCATGACACTGAGCAAGTTATGGCCCTTCTCCAAGCTCTGTGTAGTTACCTCACCTGCAAAACGGGCATGGGTAAAGCTCCTAGCACAAGAGGTCACTCTGGGAACCAAGTGAGGTGATAGTTACAGTGGTGCATGCACAGAGTAAATGCTCTCAACGCAGCTGAACAGAGCCCAGGAACTGGAGGAAGCTCTGCCTTTGGGGGTTTCATCTGTAGCCTTGATTCGAGCAAGTAGAACAGTGAATATGTTTCTTTTTACTATTTGATCACAATCTAAACTCAGCAGGGAGAGCCTAGATGCTGAGCCCAGGTAGACGATAACCTGAGCCAGAGACAGAGCAAAGCTCCCTCCAGGGAGAATGGGAGGGGTGAGCATCAGATTTGACAGGACTTTGCATTGGCTGGGCGTGCAGTCTGAAGAAGCAGCAGATGGGCCTTATGTGCTGCGGATGTCTAACCTGGGTGACCAGCTGAATGGAGTAGCAGGAAAATCAGAGCGGACTGTGAGGAAGACACATGGCAAAGAACATGGAATTCAAAAGGAGGAAGCTTGGCGAAAGCCTGGGATCAGCGCTGTGGGAAAAGAGAGGAAGAGAGAAATGTGCTGCCACCCTACTGGATTCAGACATCTCAGAGCAACACGAGAAAAAGAGGGAAGGGCTCTTAATCCCTGCAGGATTCTCACAGAGACCTCCAGGGAATGTGCAGAAGGTTTTTAGGTGATGCCAAACTGGGAGATTAGCTAACACAAACACAACAAAGTCTGGTTTCAAAGCAGTCTTGAAAAGCCAGAATTGTGAGTTGGAGCAAACAACAAAAGCTAACTCATATATTAACTTTCATATAAGGAAGATTCTGTTATTATCTTCATTTTACAGATAAGAAAACTGACACACAAGGCCAGGTGCAGTAGCTCATGCCTGTAATCCCAGCACTTTGGAAGGCCAAGGTGGGAGAATTGCTTCAGGCCAGGAGTTCAAGACCTACCTGGGCAACATAGGGAGAACCCTGTCTCTACAAAAAAATTTTAAGGCCGGGCGTGGTGGCTCACGCCTGTAATCCCAGCACTTTGGGAGGCCGAGCAGGCGGATCACAAGGTCAGGGGATTGAGACCATCCTGGCTAACACGGTGAAACCCCGTCTCTACTAAAAATACAAAAAATCAGCCGGGCGTGGTGGCGGGCGCCTGTAGTCCCAGCTACTCGGGAGGCTGAGGCAGGGGAATGGCGTGAACCCGGGAGGCGGAGCTTGCAGTGAGCGGAGGTTGTGCCACTGCACTCCAGCCTGGGAGACAGAGCAAGATTCTGCCTCAAAAAGAAAAAAAAAAAAAAAATTTAAAAATTAGCTAGCATGGTGGTGTGCACCTATAGTCCCAGCTACTCAGAGGCTAAAGTAGGAGGATTCCTAGAGCCCAGGAGTTCAATGTTACAGTGAGCTATGATCACACCACTGCACGCCAGCCTAGATGCCAGAGCAGGACCCTGTCTCTAAAAAATAAAACAACAAAAAAAGAAAACTGAGTGGCAGGGCACAGTGGCTTATGCCTGTAATCCCAGCACTTTAGGAGGCTGAGGTGGGAGGATCACTTGAGGTCAGGAGTTCGAGACCAGTCTGGCCAACATGGTGAAACCCCATCTCTACTAAAAATACAAAATTAGCTGGGTGTGGTGGTGCATGCCTGTAATTCCAGCTACTCGGGAGGCTGAGGCAGAAGAATCACTTGAACCTGGGAGATGAAGTTTGCAGTGAGCCGAGGTTGCGCCACTGCACTCCAGCCTGGGCAACAGAGCGAGATTCTGTTTCGAAAAAAAATAAAAATAAAAAACTGAAACACAGACAGAGTTTAAGTCACTAGGTCGGTAGTAAAGCTAGTAGCAGCAGTCCTGGGATTCCAACAGGACATCAGGCTTTGAGGTCTGTGATCTGGAAGGAATGGAGGAGGGAAATGGATCATTATGGAGTATTTACAATTTGCCAGACTCCAAGCTGGGAGACCTGGAAGGAAGTAAGGTGATTTAGAGTATGGCTTAGTGGAACGGGGCACGGTGGTTCATGCCTATAATCTCAGCACTTTGGGAAGCCGAGGGAGGCAGGTTACTTGAGGTCAGGAGTTCAGGACAAGCCTGGCCAGCATGGTGAAACCCCATCTGTAGTAAAAATACAAAAATAGCTGGGCGTGGTGGCATGCGCCTATAATCCCAGCTACTTGGGAGGCTGAGGACCGAGAATCACTTGAACCTGGGAGGTGGAGGCTGCAGTGAGCCGAGATCGTGCCACTGAACTCCAAACTGGGCGAGAGAGAGAGAGAATCTGCCTCAAAATAAAATAAAATAAAATAAAATAAAATAAAATACTATGGCTTAGTGGACAAAGATGATGATGTGATGGAACGTCACTTCTAGGTGCCCCCATAGGCCTATGAGAGGCATCTGGGGAGGCAGGAGCTAACTTTTCTGTGCTGACCCCTGCCCCAATATGAATGACTTCTGAGCATGGTGTGGGTAAGCAGCCATCCCCAGCTCTTTCTGTCCAGGGGGGTCACATTCCTCACTGTCTGTGAAAATCTTGGTCTCTAAGTCTTTCTTTCCCTCCGATGACTATGCGTGTGACATGTATGAGGTGTCTGCAAGGTGCATGGTGTATGTGTATGTAGGTAGTTATGTGTGGAGCTTGCATTGTTGTATTTGGGTCAATGGGTGTATATGTGTGTGGGGTGCCTGCCTGTATGGTGAATGCACATCTGTGTGTGCCTGTGTGTATGATTGCATGGCAAATGGCTGGCTATGTTTGTGTATGTGTGTGTTGCCCACATGTATGTGTGATGTGTATGTGCTGACTGTATGGTGAGTGTGTATTTTTCTGTGTGTGTGTGTAGTGTGTTGAGGTGTCTGCGTGATAAGAGATTGTGTGTATGAGTAGTTAGCTGTAGAACCTGCCTGGTGTATGCGTGTGCATGTGTGTGCCTGTGTGGTGTGGGCAGTCTAGTTTAAGTTTATTTCATAATCCTGGATGGAACTGGAGCAAAAGCTGGGTAGCTTAGCACCTGTGCAATGGCAGATCACCCCCACCTCTCGCCGCAGGCACAGGAAGCAGAGGCAGAAAGAGCCTGGCAAGGGAGAGGCGGCATAGCTGCACCCCCGCAGGGCAGCTTTGATGCTGCAGGTGGGAGGGGAAGACTCCTGGGGAGGACACTCTTTCTCGGGCTCCACACCTGCTGTCACGGACACCCCAGACTTGAAGCTGGAATAGAGGGAGCCACTAGGATAACATGCATATTTTTCCAGATGAAAAAATGGATACACACACACACACACACACACACACACACACGCATGTGCACTCCCCCTTCTCGTTTTCCCCCAAATTCTCACAGCTAGGAGCCATGCTTTGACAGTTCTTCCCAAGGTGTGGGGTGAGAGAAAGCAAGTCCTGGTGAAGGAGCTGAAGCAGGGAGGCAAAGGAGAGGCCCTGGGGATCAGGCAGATCAATAGCGTCCAGAACATAATGTTTAGGACAGGCACTGGGTCAGAACTGAGCCACCAGGCATGCTGGATTTAGGGTATGGGACCGTCGTAAGACAGATCTACCACCTGGAACCAGACATCAGCCGCGAGGAAAAAAGTGAGAGGTCTGCGGTCCAGGTTTAAACAGGAGAGTGGGCAGCAGCTGACCACCAGGAGCTGGAAGGCTGAGCAAAGTGGCACAAACACAGAACCAGGCGCCGCGTCAAGGAAGGACCTCGGCCACTGCAGTAGAATCAGTTTAGTGGGGACGTTTGTAGGAGTCCTCCAGAGCAGGCTAAAATCCCCTCATATGACTGGCTCAAGACTTGCCGGTGGAAATAAAGGAGAACATATGGCCGTAGTAAGATAAGAAGAAAATTGTCTTCCATTTTCCCCTGCCCACCTCACAAATGTCCACATTCTGTGTTCTGGAGAAAATCAGCCTCCCAGTAGGATGGCGGGTCGTTTTTATGCATGGACTATATTTGGTGCGTATAAACTAGAAATATCAACCCAAGGAAATTTAGTTAAAGGCAGGACTCGTTCTCTTGTATCCCCCTGCCCCCGCCATCACTCGGCTCTGTGCCTGGATTTAGAAGTAGTAGTCCGTTCTCCCAGAAAAGGTTAGATGGCATACACTGTGGGCTTCTTAGGACCCTTCCAGATATCAATTAGAGATGGAGAGCTATGTGTTTCTTATATTAATTATATTAATTCTTTTTTTTTTTGAGACAGAGTCTCACTCTGTTGCCCAGGCTGGAGTGCAGTGGCACAATCTCGGTTCACTGCAACCTCTACCTCCTGGGTTCAAGCGATTCTCCTGCCTCAGCCTCCCAAATAGCTGGAATTACAGGTGCCTGCTTCCACACCCAGCTAATTTTTGTATTTTTAGTAGAGGTGGAGTTTTGCCATGTTGGCCAGGCTAGTCTCAGACTCCTGACCTCAGGTGATCCTCCCGCCTTGGCCTCCCAAAGTGTTGGGATTACAGGCGTGAGCCACTGCGTCCAACCTTCTTATATTAATTCTAACATTGATTAACATATAGGTTTAAATAGAATGTCATTAACATAACATATATAACATTTACTGCTTCAATTCATGATCCCTTCTAGGCTATGAACATCTAAGGGCAGAGATGAGGTATTTTTATTGCCGTATTCCAAGTTATCTAGCACAGAGCTTGGCAGTTGTTCAAAACTATTGAAGTCAATATGCAAATCAAAGACATAGATTTTTAAATATTTGTGTTTATTTGCACATGTGCACAGAATCTCAGACCTCTCATACTGGAAACTGCTTGAGAGACTGCCTCATCTATCTTCCCAGCCAGTGCAGGAAGGGGTTCTACAGCCTCTTAGCAGAACCCCCTCGACCTCCTCTGGGAACTTCTAGCCAGGTCTCTGTGAGACAGCCTGTCCCATTGCGGAGCAACTCTGATAGAAATGACTTCTTCCAAGTGATCCTAAACCGGACTCTCTAGTAACATCTACCCAATATCTTCTCCCACTCTGTGCCCTATATATTTTTTTTCCATTTCTTCCAGGTGAAACAAATGGCCATGTGAAGTGATTTCAAAACCTCTCATCCTCCTAGTCACCCTCCTCTAGAATCAATGAATTGGTTTATGTTCATGTCCCTTAAAATATACGGTGTGCAAGACTAGAACTATGCAATTTGACTACAAAGTAGTTGGGGACTATTACCCATCTAACTTTGTTATTCCTGTGCCGCTAATGTCACCTACAATTGCATTAATCTTTGTAGCTGTCACATTTTCCTCTTGTATTAGACATCTAAAGAGCACAGCTAAAAAAAAATTAAACTCGGTCAAACTAATCTGTCTCACTCTCTACAATTGGTGTTTCAAGGCCAAACCCCATTAAGTTAAGAAACTGACTGACTGAGATCTTGGTACGTATTGGAAAACACCATACTAGGAGAAGGAACTAGAGGTTACGTTGGGACCAGCTTTCTCTATCCCACTGCCCATCAAGTTTCCTGGCAGAAATCCTTGGAGACATCCTTGACCCCTCTCATTCCTCATAAGTCACCAAGACTCAACAATTCTGCCTCAAAATATCTTTCTTTGTATTCCTGCTGCTATGCTCTTTGCTCAGATTCTAACACAAAATACTGCAGGGTCTTTGTTAAGTGTAAGCCCCATGGGTATTCTCTGCTTAAAATGTTTCAATAGCTTTCAGCTTCTTCCAGACAAAGTCTGGATCCCTTTGTAGGGCTTAAAGGTCCCTTTGGGAGCTTTTGTTATCGACGTCTGCAGCCAGATATTCTCCCCCGCTCTGTGCACATCTTAGGTGTCAGCCATTCCAATTATGTGCTTCCTGTTCCTGCATGCACTTGCCTTCCTCCTGCTTTTTAGGTCTTTCTTGTATGTCCCAGGCATTGCTCTAGATGCTGTATGCAAATTCATGCATTCAGTCGTCACCATCATCCTCTGAAGTAGATAACATTTCCATTTAACAGATGGGAGTGCTCAGGCCAGGCGTGGCGGCTCCTGCCTGTAATCCCAGCACTTTGGGAGGCTGAGGCAGGTGGATCACCTGAGGTCAGGAGTTCGAGACCAGCCTGGCCAACATGGTAAAACGCTGTCTCTACTAAAAATACAAAAATTAGCCAGGAATGGTGATGCACATCTGTGCTGAGGCACGAGAATCACTTGAACCCTGGAGGAGCAGGTGGTAGTGAGCCGAGATAGCACCACTGCACTCCAGCCTGTGTGACAGAGTGAGACTCTGTAAAAACACCACCACCAACAACAAAACAAAACAAACAAAAAACAATGAAAACAAAACTAAACAAAAACAAAAAATAGATGAGGGAGCTCAAATGTCAGGCATTCTTCTCAGAAACATGCAGTTAATAATTTTTGGGTTGGATGAGTCCCTTAGCCTAAAATGCCCTCCTTTCCTTGGCAAACTTCTTGTGAAACTTCGCCCATCTTTCAAGACAGTTCAAGCCTCAGCTCTTTGAGAAGTCAGTGTCCCCCTGAACTTAACCGTCCAATAACATTTAGCATTCTGGGCTAATTGCCAAATGGTTGCTTTACTCCCAACAGCATGTATCTGAAGAACTGCCCCTGTCCTGTTCCTCCCTGAGTCCTCAGAGCCTATATTCTGCACCAGGAATCTGCTGAATGATTTGCCAAATTATTAACCTTTGGTAATCAATTTTTCCTGCAATGCACACAAAAATCTGGCAAAAGCTTAATTGTAGACCTGCTGCCTTCTGCAATTCAAGCCAATTATCCCAAGTTCATTTAGGAGCAGTGGCGCTTTCTATAATGTACATTACCTAAACATGCACAAGGGCAGGAAGGTTTTAAATGACTAAGCCCAGCACACCATTTGCTCAGAAGATGTTCCTCACTACATCTCCTTTAGGATGCAATTTAGTCTGTGAGGCGCGAGGAAAGCTGTGCGGTGGAGACAGCCAGATGGGCAATGAGCAGGGAGAGGAGCTATGAACCTTGTGAGAGATAAACCTGAACCTTTTCTACACTACATGTTCACCAGGAGAAAATCAGATAAGTATGAAGTCTTAAAGGAGTA
The DNA here is from genome assembly GCF_000001405.40 of Homo sapiens. Classification (NCBI taxonomy): domain Eukaryota; kingdom Metazoa; phylum Chordata; class Mammalia; order Primates; family Hominidae; genus Homo; species Homo sapiens. Next base: position 95,444,003 of record NC_000013.11, on the reverse strand, counting down.
GGGGACAGCAAAATCCATGCCTTGCTGTCCCACAGTCCAAACACCACCAAGGGCTCTGGCATCTATGCTGTATTAACTCTGTTTTCTTGTTTTCTGTATTCTCCATGCTCTGGCACTTGGGGCCTTGCTGACTTGGGGGAAACTGCTCCTCCAACCCGAGGGCTAGCCAGTTATTACAGATAGCAAATGACCCCCCACAAGCACATCTTTCATAAGCAAACCAACCAGCCCAAAGACCACACCCCCAACTACCTCCTTTCCCAAGTGTTTACCCATTAAGCAGATATTTCCCTGCCCTAATCACCCCAGGGTGGCAACCAGACAACTTGGGGCTCCTACACTCCAAAGCCTGCTGAAAGTATTAAAATGAGCCAATCCTAAACCTGCTTAGTTTTCCCAGCCTGGCTTATTCCTTCCCACAAAAATCACAAGGACTCAGGAACATGGTTTCCCACCCAGCTCCTGAATGACCGTGGTTCTTCCCTGCGTGGTCTCGCGTGCCATGCCATGTCTCCCGCTTCTCGGGATCGACGAGTATAAAACTTCTTTCCTGACAGTTATTTCCATGTCTGTGCATCTTACCACACCCGATTAAAACAAATCCCCAGTTCATTTTAAACACAGGTTAGTCTACGTCATACAATAAGATTCTTTTCCTTGACCTTCCCCACCAGCTTTTGAAGCATGTAACTAGACATCATCATTGTCAACAACATCATTATCATCGTTATCCTACAGCTAAGAAAGGGAAACAAGGGCAAATGCCAGGGATTCACCTAAGGTCCACAAAACATGGCCAAGCTGGGACTTAAACACAAATTTGGGAGCTAGCACCAAATGCTGGCCATTTCCCCAAAAAGATTTGCAGAAGCCCATAGGAAGTTAGAAATATGGTCCCCAGTGAACCTCAGCTGCTTTATATATAAAATGGAGACTTTAGAGTATCAGTCTTCTGGAGAACTATGACAATGTATGTGAAAGCACTTCGTAAAACACACTGTATACATTCATTTAAAAACCAGTGACCTTATGCTACATGGTTAAAGTCATCAATGAATAACATGACGGCTAACTTATGATTGTGACAGCTGCTCATGATGTAAAGCGTTTTACATTATCATTTCATTTAACCCTGACAACAACCCTATGAGTTGATTCGTATTATTACCTCCATTTGCAAATGAGAAGATTGAGTCTATGAGAAGTTAAGTAATGTGCTCGAGTTTGCATCGTTAGCTCTATGTGGAGCTATGATTCAAACCCATATATTAAACTGTCTGTCCCAAAGTTTTTCCCTGCCCTCAGAACTAAGAATACTCAAGTAAACATTTGCTCTTTTTGGCTGCCCGGCATACCAAACACACCCTGAGCTTGTAGGAGCCCTGCCTTCCCCTGTGGAGCCCAAAGGGGGCCTTTTCTCCCCATTCCAAGCTATTAGAACGTGTGATTGACTCAAGGAATAGATCCACATCTTTAATGAGTAACTGACATCGAAATGCAAGGTGGTCTTGCCTTATACAAAATAGCAAATCCTAAGTGCAAACTATAGTCCAATATCCTTCACATCATGAGCACAATATCCTTTACATCATGAAAAATATGACAAGACACGCAGCAAAGGAGCAAAGGCATGCTTCTATCAGGCTTTGCATTCTAAGAGGCAGCTACTGCAGTCCTGGTTGGAAACAAATGGGTAGAGCAGAGTAATAGCCACCTTCCTACAGCAGAGATGTGACCTTTCAAGGCACTGAAAGAGGTATTCATGGACATAATCGCCACTCTTTATGGAGAGCCTTGTGTCTGGTACTACATAAGACACTTTGCCTGTGTTATTTGTTGTTTTTTGCTTTTTTGAGACAGGGTCTCACTCTGTCACCCAAGCTGGAGTGAAATGGCTCAATCACAGCTCACTGCAGCCTTGACCTCCCTGGCTCAGGTGATCCTTCCACCTCAGCCTCCTGAGTAGCTGGGACTATAGGTGCCCACCATCATGGCCACCTAATTTTTGTACTTTTTGTAGAGACGGGGTTTCACCATGTTGCCCAGGCTGGTCTCAAACTTCTGCGCTCAAGCGATCCACCTGGCTTGTCTCCCAAAGTGCTAGGATTACAGGCATGAGCCACCATGCCTGGCCATATGTGTCTTCTTTAATCACCATTTAACAGGAAAGAACACTGAAGCTCAGAGGGATTAAGACCCTTTAGTAAATGTTGGGTCCATCACATTCCTAAGGCCAAACTCCAGGCAAAGATTTCTCAAACATTTAATGTGCATAGAAGACACCTGGAGAGCTTATAAAATTGCAGATTCTGATTCAATAGGTCTGTAGTGGGGCCTGAGATTCTGCATTTCAAGCAAGCTCCCAGGAGATATAGATGCTGCTGGCTGGTGGATCACATTTCAAGAAGCAATACTCTAAATGTTTGTGCTTTTTAGATACCATCATAAAAAATATTCATGGCAGGCCAGGTGTGGTGGCTCATGCTTATAATCCCAGCACTTTGGGAGGCTGAGACAGGATTGCTTGAAGCCAGGAGTTTGAGATAAACTTGGGCAACACAGTGAGATTCCCGTCTCCACAAAGAGATGAAAATTAGCCGGATGGTTGGCATGCACCTGTAGTCCCAGCTACTCAGGACGATGAGATGGGAGGATTGCTTAAACCCAGGAGGTCAAGCTGTGATCACGCCACTGCACCCCAGCCTGGGAGACAGAGCAAGACCCTGTCTCAAAAAGGAAAGAAAAGACCACAAAAACAAATCCATGGCTCTTTTACTTGTTCTAAACACTTCCCTAGGACTTTCTCCCTTTTCTAGAACTTGGTGACATGAGAAGAGATTCCCTCTGCAATACAAATGTCAGAATTTAACTCAATGAACAATTTCTCCTTCCGTTTATTCAATCCACACAACTTCGTTGAGTGCCTTCTAAGCCAGACACAGCAGTAGGTACGGGGGAGACCAGGATAAATGAGATAAGGTCCTGGCCCCTAAAAGAGGAACTATGGATGAAGACAGGATGTCTTAAAAAGTTTCTGATGCTTCCATGAAAGAACAGCCTGCAGCACACTGCTTTAGGATCCCCAGTCCAGTCGTCCGCTGCTATGGCAATTGAGGTCATTCTGACCGCTCCAGCGCCATCTTCACCACTGTAAGGCTAGGGCACTTTTCAGCATTGTGCCTTCTTCCAACCATATTGATACAGAGACAATTATACAGTGGCTCAACCTGTCTAGATTCTACTGCGAAAGTCCAATTCACCTACCTTGGGTTATGACTGTGTCAGTACACATATAATATTATGCCTCTGTTTGTTGGAACAGGAACATGTCGAATGCTTCTTGGACTTCACCCAGGCTGGAATGCAGCTGTGCAATATCAGCTCACTGCAGTCTCAATCTCCCCAGTTGAAGCAATCCTCTCACCTCAGCCTCCCAAGTAGTTGGAACTACAGGCATGTGCTGCCATGCTTGGCTATTTTTAAATTTTTTTGTAGGGACAAGGTCTCCCTGTGTTGCCCAGGCTGGTCTTGAACTCCTTGGCTCAAGTGACCCTCCTGCTTCAGCCTCCCCAAGTGCTGGGACTATAAGCATGAGCCACTACTCCCAGTCTCTGTATACTTTTAAATAATTTTATATGCATTTGGGACATAGCATAAAAACTAATCTGAAATTAAATTTAACCTTAAGTTTATTTAATGAAACTTAGTTTCAGAAAGCAGCATCAGGATCTTAGAGAATGGAAAGGTAAGTGTTATCCAAGGGTGCAGCTATCTGTTAAAAGTATTAATATTGGCCAGGCATGGTGGCTCACGCCTGTAATCCCAGCACTTTGGGAAGCTGAGGTGGGTGGATCACGAGGTCAGGAGTTTGAGACCAGCCTGGCCAACATAGTGAAACCGCACCTCTACTAAAAATACAAAAATTAGCCAGGCATGGTGGCGCGAGCCTGTAGTCTCAGCTACTTGGGAGGCTGAGGCAGGAGAATCGCTTGAACCTGGGAGGCGGAGGTTGTGGTGAGTTGGGATCACGCCACTGCACTCCAGCCTGGGCAACAGAGCGAGACTTTGTCTCAAAAAAAAAAAAGGGTTAATATTTTGGAGGCATCTAACTTACTAATTTTCCCTCATTGACATGGTAATTTGTTTTCATTTATTCATTATTGTTGTTTGGTATTTATTTACTATTATTATTTAATCACGGACTAAGGCACTGCTATGTTGTGACTCTTTGTGTGCCCCTAAATTTATATGTGGAAATCATAACCCCCAAAATAATGGTATTAGTAGGTGGAGCCCTTTGGGAGGTGATTAGGTCAGGAAGGCAGAGCCCTCATGAATAGGATTAGTGCTGTTATAAAAGAGGCCCCAGAGGCTGGGCATGGTGGCTCATGCGTGTAATCCCAGCATTTTGGGAGGCTGAGGCAGGCAGATCACTTGAGGACAGGATTTTGAGACCAACCTGGACAACCCAGCAAAACTCTGTCTCTATTAAAAATACAGAAATTAGCTGGGTGTGCTGGTGGGTGCCTGTAGTCCCCGCTACTTGGGAGGCAGAAGCAGGAGAATCGCTTAACCTGGGAGGCAGAGGTTGAGATTGCACTACTGCACTCCAACCTGGGCAATAGAACAAGACTCAGTCTCAAAAAAAAAAATAATAATAACATAAAAAAGAGGCCTCAGAGAGCTGCCTTGCCCCTTCCACCATGTGAGGATGCAGTGAGAAGGTGCCGTCTATGGGCCCTCACCACGCACTGAATCTGCCAGTGTCTCGATTTAGGACTTCACAGCCTCCAGAACTATGAGAAATAAGTTTCTGATGTTGGTGAATTACCCAGTTTATGGTATTTTGTTATTGCAGCCTGAGTGGACTAACACAGGCATACATTCCAACTAGCAAGAAGTCTAAATTGATGACATCAGATGGCTCCCAGCTGTTCCCTAGATGTGAATAAACCCCCACAGAAAACCCTCTTTCTCTAGCAAGTGCTATTCCTTTACCCTCCGCTTTTTTTTTTTTTTTTTTTTTTTGCGATGGAGTCTTGCTCTGTCACCCAGGCTGGAGTGCAGCTCGATCTTGGCTCACTGCAACCTCTGCTTCCTGGGTTCAAGTGATTCTCCTTCCTCAGCCTCCCAAAGAGCGGGGACTACAGGGACCCGCCACCACGCCTGGCTAATTTTTGTATTTTCAGTAGAGACAGGATTTCGCCAAGTTGGTCAGGCTGCTCTTGAACTCCTGACCTCAGGTGATCCACCTGCCTTGGCCTCCCAAAGTGCTGGGATTACAGGCGTGAGCCACCGTGCCTGGCCTCTTTACCCCCATTTTTATGGCATGGCCAAATAAGGGAGTGGGGAGAGAGGTGAAGCATCTGGAAAGTGAGGAGAGAAGGCTCACACTGCTGCAGACAGCCAGCATCATTTGACTGCAGCTTCCAGATGCCTGTTTGGTTTCATTCCACTGAAATCCTGGCACTTTGACTTGGGTCTTGTGGTCATTTAAGGTCATTTAAACCTATCTCAACCCAGATGCTGAGAAGACTGTAAACAGTCAGGAACACAGGAAGCTGGTCAAGATAACAGATAAGGGGGAAAAAAAGGCCTTGGCAGGGCACGATGGCCCATGCCTGTAATCCCAGCACTCTGGGAGGCCTAGGCTGGAGGATCACTGGAGCCCAGGAGTTTGAGACCACCCTGGGCAACATCACAAGACCCTGTCTTTACCATGTCCAGCTAATTATGTTTATAAATAAAATTATAAACAAAATTATAATTACTTATAAGCAAAAGTAGCTGGGCATGGTGGCACGTGCCTATAGTCCCAGCTACTCAGGAGGCTGAGATGGGAGGATCACTTGGGCCCAGGAAGTCAAGGCTGAAGTGAGCCATGATCGTGCCACTGCACTCCAGCCTGGGTGACAGAGTGAGACCCTGTCTTAAAAAACAAAAATTAAAAACAGAAGAAAAGACCTTAATCCCATGAGCAACTATAACAATTATAATAGAGGATACTTTTATGGCTATAATTCTTTGGGAAACTTCTACTGCCAGGTGGCGAAGCATTGTGAAGTTCTGGAATTGAACTCTAGGTTGAAAGATACCTGAAGGAACTCTTGGAGATCTGTTCTCTTAATTTATGGATGAGGCACAGAAGATGTCATTGCTGAAGTCAAGGTCTCACAGCAAGTCATAAAGGAGCCAGAATGCAAGGCTCAGTCTGCTGAGTCATAATCCACTGACCTCCCTTTGGGTTGCCTGCGCTCATTTCCTCACTCGCTCCTCAATTCAGCACACTCCATCCTTCCTCCAGGAATACAATTTTGCCCTCATCGCGAACCATCTGTAGTCTCACTCATTATTTGGTTAATTCAGTCATTTTGCAGCTATATATCCGGAACCCAGCATGTGCCAGGGGCACGACAGGAACATGACAGATCCAGCCCCTGTCCCAAGGTGATCAGGATTTCCTTCAATCCCTCACTGCAGCCATGCTTCTTGGATTCAGTCTTCCCCCTCAGAAAGAACTGCTTTTCTCCCTACGATGAGAGATGCTTTACTTTCATAGTGAAAGCATTCCTATTAACGTAGATATGACAGAAAAACAAAACACAACAAAACGAGACCTAGCTTATGGTAGACTTAGTGTCTAAAGATAGTGAATTGGCTTTGGATTTTAATCAAGCTTTCAGGCTCCAATAAGAATTGAATTGCAGGTGTTCCTACGGTTTATTTCACAGAATGACAGTTGAAGGTGGCCTCTGTATTTTTTACTATAGCTATAAATGCTGCTCACCCAAAGAGGTGTTTGCTCACATCAAATTTTTAAGGGATGTAGTCACTATTAATCCAAATGAAGCCCTAAAAAGCTGTGGCTACACTGGAGCATTCAAGAGGGTTAGCTATGGGAAGGTATGACTCCAGCAATGAAGTTATATAATCAGCAAGAAAAAAAAAATACAACCGAGACAGCTTAGACAGATTTTCTGCTTTTCTTTCTTAGAGGAGGTTTAATCTGGCCTAAGTCTAAGAAGATTTGTCTCAAATTGACAATATAGGCTTAAATAGTTTATTATTTTAAAAGGTGATATAACCATTTTCATTCTTCATTGACTTCTGAGTTCTTTTCTCAATTTATAATTATTGTGATGTTGGAGAGATTATTGGCATAGATAGCTTTCCTGATTCCCTCATTGTTATGTTTTCAAATAGGAATAAAAGAAAAGCAACCAGCAATGACTCCATGGGAAAGGAAATCCAAATGTGTGAATCCCCGTTTTCTTTGGAAATATGAATCAGTGTTTCTGACATTGAAAACAGATTTCTGCAGCAAAGTGTATCATTTATAAAGATTTTGACTCAGGATGAAGAAGGTAGAGAGATTATATTAATTTAATTGTACTTGTTCTTAGGGAAGCATTGTCAGTGGGTGAGATTTTCAAATTACCTCCTATGTGCAGGGTATACAGGAGATAGAATAAATTATTTTTACAATCAATAAACAAAGTTAACTTTAAAAATAAAGTTTTGGCAGGCGTGGTGGCTCATGCTTATAATCCCAGCACGTTAAGAGGCCAAGGCAGTAGGATTGCTTGAGCCCAGGAGTTCAACACTAGCCTAGGTAACATAGTGAGATCTGATCTCTACAGAAACCTTTAAAAATTAGCCAAGTGTTGTGGCATGCACTTGTACTCCCAGCTACTTGGGAGGCTGAGGTGGGAGGATCACTTGAACCCGGGAGGTGGAGGTTGCAGTGAACTGAGATTGTACCACTGCACTCCAACCTTGGCAACAAAGCAAGGTTCTGTCTCAAAAACAATAAATAAAAAATAAGAAAGTGTTAAGGGTGAGAGATATCTGGACCATAATAAAATGCCTAACTCTGTGATGATGTGTTTGGGGAAGCAGCAAGTTGAAGTCATGTAAAAGGTACCATGGTTCTTTAACCCACTTTGAAGCTAAAGTTGAACACATGTTTTCCCCAATAACTGGGTTTCATTAAGAAATACAGAATGAAACATATTAAGACAATTTTCTTTTTTTTTTTTTTAAGATGAGGCCGGGCAAGGTGGCTCAGGCCTATAATCTCAGCATTTTGAGAGTCAGAGACAGGTGACTCTCTTGAGCTCAGGAGATCGAGACCAGCCTTGGCAACATAGAGAAACCCCATCTCAAAAAATATATATAATAATTGAACAAATAAAAAATGAACCCAATTAAAAACAAACAGACTTACCATATGCCATCTCTTCTACCTGATTCCTAAGGTGAAAAAGGGCCAAGAGGGGCCCCTGGAGAAAGAACGATTGTAAGAGGTGCAGAGTGACAAGAGGGTCTCCACACACACTCTTCTTTTCCTCTGTTTCTAGGGCAGTGTTCTATATTAGAAGGATCAGTGTTGAAATACCCAAAATAAGTTTAGAAATTGACCCTGAAGAGAGACATAGCATGGAGTCCTCAAATGGGTACTTAGGAAAGTCCATGTTATTTCAGGGACTAAGTGAGGCATCCACGCTTGAATATTTCTTTTGATTGTCATTAGAAATCTCCTGGATTTAGTTAAGTATTCTCTCTTTATCCCCTGGCACTCATTGTAGACTAATGATGTGCATACTTGACACAAAATCTCCTAACACATTATGCTTTAGTAACTTCCTAGTTAAAATTTTATTTCATTTTCTTTACTGGGGCCAAGGTACAGTTTTACTATTTGACTGTGAAAAGTCTATATTTTACCAAGAAACAAAGAGCAATTTTTAAAGTAATAAACCCACAATTTGTGGCAGATTTGTAAATGTATCAAATTTGCAGAAAGCAGAGGCAGATAGTAATTCTCATAATGACAGGAAAGCAAATGACAATTGTTTCCCTGAAGGCATTCTGGAGTATGAAAATGTCCTTAAAAAATATATGTTCCCTCTTTGAGATACGTACACTTGTAATAGAGTTTCTAATATGCACAACGATGAAAGCTTGCCCCATGTATTCTTAGATAAATAAAATCAGGTAACCAAAGGGGAAAGTAAACAGCATTTTCTTTCACTTAACCGCTTTCAAATTTTTCTTGCTGTTATTTTATCATTCAATATGGTTTTTTGTTTCGTTTTGTTTTATATCTAGGCTGTGACAAACATTAAAAAAAACGTGGAAACCCTTCTGAAAATAGAATTCCTTCCTTCGTTATCAGGAATCTAGGATAAAGTAGATGTAAGGAGACATACGGATTACCTTACAGGCCTTTTGGAATGCTCAGTGTGACTCCAAAGGAAAGAGTGGAAGTGGTTGGATTGTTTTAAAAGCCAGTTTGAATTTGCCATCGTTTGCCAGTTCCAATCTAGCAATGGCATATTACATATATATGTGTGTTACATATGTGTGTGCATGAATATATGTATATATATTCATATAGATACCTGTGTGGGTTATATATGTGAATGTATATATACACACATGTGTGCATATATATATACACACGTGTGCATATATATATACACACACACATATAGATACCTCTGTGTGTGTGTGTGTGTGTGTTTGTGGGTGTATATATATATAGAGAGAGAGAGACAGAGAGAGAGAGAGAGAGGAAGAGAGGGAGAGACAAGTTTAAATCAATGAGAGCATTTCCTACATAGGGGTGCTGACCCATCAAGATTCCTCCATGACTCAAGGCAAATTGAAACTGACTTTTAAAACAATCCAGTCACTTCCACTCTTCCCTTTGGAGTCACACTGGGTATTCCAAAAGCCCTGTAAGGTTATTCTTACATCTCCTTTGTCAAATAAGATAAATGTCATTCTTTCAGCCAATACTCATACACCCCATCCTTCCTAGGCAAATCTTGGCACTTTGATTAAGCACTCAGTCTTCAGAGAGTTAACAGCCAGCCATAGACAGCTACTTCAGCACAGTCGGGGGGAAAAGTACATTTTACCTCCACCCCAAACAAAGCCATTATATTTACCTGCTACTTTGAAGATAGTAAAATGCGGTCGGCAATGGAAAGAACCCAACGCGTTACCTGCGCAGTTCATCCACAGACCCTGGTAAACCCAAGTGGCTGTTATCACCGAGGAGGCTCGCGTGGTCACTTTCCACTCATTGGACGTGGTAGCAGCAACGAGAGCTCCAAACCCTCCGACACCAGACACCAGAGCCCAGATCTGCGCCCTGGACATGTCGCGCCGCCTTCTCCAGTGACACTGTCCGGTCAGAACGCTTTGGTGGTCTAGGCATGCAGCCGATAGAGAACACTTTGACAAGCGTCACAGCCAGCGGATGTGGGTAGGTGACAGCGTTTCATGCTCGGATGGCCTGAGGAAGTACAGGAATTTAGGATCAAGTATGGTTTACCAATGACATTTTAAAGATGGCCTGAAAGAGTCGTTCTGATTTTCTACACGGATATTTATTAAAATTTCGTAGACGAATTTTAAGGGTTTTGATTTCGCAGACTTTTTTTTAACTTGGCACCATAGTTAATGCTTAATTTTCTGTTAGCCTGAAGCTTAACGAACCATGCGACTACCAGATATTACAAAGTACAAATTATACAGTAACAGTTAAAGCTTATTTGACCAGTTGCTTTAGTCTCGCTTGCTTTTGAATCTTTACATAATTGAATCATATTGTAGAAATTCTCCCATAACCTATTTTTTTCATGTAACACTGTATTTGAGGGATTTATCCATGCTCAGGAATGTAGCTGTCATTCATTAAATATTACAGCTGAATATAGTATTTCATTAAATGCAATTTAACGAACATGATTTATTCATGTTCCTGGAGCTGACTGAACATTCGTGCTGTTCCGTTTTCTCCGTAATAACCATTGGCGTAGCTATAAACATTCTTGTGCATTTCTTCTTGTGCACGTGAGTGAGAGTTTCTCTAGGGCGTATCCTACAATCAGAATTTTGCTAGGGTGTAGGAAACAGTCATCTTTAACTTTATAGATAATGCTAAATTGTTTGACTAAGTAGTTATAGCAATTTAGAGTTCCACTGGCAGTGGGTAAGTCCTACGTGTTCCACTTCATAACACTTGGTATTGTGGGGTTGTCAAGATTATTATTTTTTCTTTTGGCCAGCCTGATGGGTATAAAGGTGTCACATTATGATTACTAATTTATATTTTCTGATTACTAAGGAGGTTGAGCATCTTTTTTTGTGTTTATTGGTTATGTTTTTGTCTACAGTGAAATATGCAACTTTTGCTCACTTATCTATTGAGTTGTTTGATTTTTTATAATTTATTTTTAGTTATCTATATACTCAAGATAGTAATCTTTTGTGGATTATTTATGTTGCAGGTATCTTCCCCCAGTTTGTGGTTTGTCTTTATGTGGCCATTTGAGAAAGAGTCTTGGTTTTAAGATAGCTAAATTTATCAAGTTTCACCAAGCGATTTGTGGTTTGAGATCTTGATTAAGAAATCCCTATCTTGGGCCTGGCATGATGGCTCCCAGCTGTAATCCCAGCACTTTGGGAGGCCGAGGTGGGAGGATCACTTGAGGCCAGGGGTTTGAGACTAGACTGGGCAACATATTGAGACACTGGCTCTATAAAAAATACAAAAATTAGCTGGGTGTTGTGGTGCAGGCCTGTAGTCCCAGCCAGTTGGGAGGCTGAGGTGGGAGGAGGATGCCTTGAGCCTGTGAGGTCAAGGCTTCAGTGAGCCATGATTGCGCCACACACTCCAACCCAGGTGACAGAGCTGAGATCTTGTCTCGAAAAAAAAAAAAAAAAAAACAGAAAAGAAAAAGAAATCTCTACCTAAAAAAAATAAATATTTCCCCTTTACTTCAAAAAACTTCAAAATTTTAACTTACGTATTTAAGTTTTTAAATCATCCAGATTGATTTTTCTGTGTCTTGTGATTTGGGACCTATGTTATTTTGCAATGTGGAAACCCACTTTTCCAGTTTTATTGAGTAGTCCCTTGTTTCTCTATTGATCTGCAATGTTACCTCTGTCATACATGTTGGGCATCAATATTCACATGATCTGTTTTTGGATTCTTTACTCTGCTCCATTTATCTGCTTGACTGTTCCTGGGCCAGTACAATACTTTCTTAACTCCTTTAATTTTATAAATATATCTCAAATCTTATTGGTGAGTGTTTTACCTTGCTTATCTTGCTCTTCTTTTTCAAGAATGTTCGGATTTTTTTTTTTTTTAGCTCTTGGCTATTTCTTATATAATTTATTTTATTTTATTTTATTTATTTCAAGACAAAGTCTCATTCTGTTGCCCAGGCTGGAGTGCAATGGCGCGATCTCAGCTGACTGCAACCTCCGCCTCCCAGGTTCAAGTGATTCTTGTGCCTCAGCCTCCGGAGTAGCTAGGACTATAGGCGCCCACCACCACACCCTGCTAATTTTTGTATTTTAGTAGAGACAGGGTTTCACCATGTTGACCAGGCTGGTCTCAAACTCCTGACCTCAGGTGATCCACCTGCCTAGGCCTCCCAAAGTGCTAGGATTACAGGCATGAGCCACTGTGCCCAGCCCTTATATGTTTTAGAATCAGTTTATCAAATTAGACACATACACATACATATAGATTGGGAGGTTTGCTGGAATTGTTTTGCAGCTATTTATTCAGTTTGAGGAAAATGGATAGCTTTATAAAATCAAGTCTTCCTGTTCATGAACGTCGTTATATCTCTTCATTTATTTAACCCATCTTTAATGCTTTTAGTGACATTCTTTAATCTCTAAAAATAGTTACTTTTTTGTTATATTTATTCTTAAAGTTAGGACTCATTCTAACATCTATTTTGTACTTAGTTTGTCCAGTTTTTTTCTTGATTATATGTAGGGAGACCCCCTGAAACTATTGCTATGGAATAAAAGATGAAATGCTCCTGATTATTGTAAATACAAAATTGCATGCAGGATTGTGTAAAGACAATGCCAGGTCGGACTGCCAGAACGAGCCAACAGCGCGTGATGTGCTTCCCCCTGCAGAGAGCCTATGAATGGACGTGCAGTCAGGGAGGTTTCACATCACCAAGATTCCTATCCCAGAAAAGCAGATGTTCATAGCTCTGGGAATGGAATGCGACCCTTGTGGGGAGCCTATAAACGGACTCATGGGGGGCGCCTGTCCATATGGATAAGATAGGGCTATAAACGCCCTCATCTTGCCACAGCTCTTCTAGGCCTCTTTAGGGTTAAAGCATACTCCCTTCTGAGAATTTCTGGTCTAACCAGTTGTCTAGCTTCACGTCCTGTTTCCACGGATTGTTTGTAACCAGCTTTTGTTGCAATTGTTACTGCTGATTAATATCTTGCTAATCATAGGTTATGGAAATACCGTGTTTCTGTTCTAAGGCTCTGTTAGAAGTTACTGACTCACACACTATATTGTAAATTCTTATCTCTGTATACTGTACTTCTACATACAAATGTACTGTACTTCTACATACAAATGTTATGTTAAAGAATTACTTCATCCCCATGTGACCATCTCACCTCATAATCAAATGACCCTAAATCCCTCACTAACCTACCCCCGCCCTCACTAAACTTAATAATAAATGCTGGTATATCCAGTGCATTGTTGGCATCATGGGACCAGAAGGCAGTGACCCCCCTGGATCCAGCTTTCACTATCTTGTGTGTGTCTATTATTTCTCAACCTGCCGATCTGCCTGGGAACAAAGAGAGAGCCCTGTTGCATTGCGGGCTGCTGGCCAGATCCCTCAATAAGTATACATATAGTTTTTCTCCTTTCTTGAGTTGTTTTAAATTGACACCTTTTTTCACATTTCAATTTTTCTGCTGCATTAAATTGGAAATTACACTTTATTTGCATTGTTTAGTGATTACTATAAAAGCTTTAATGTATATTTAGCTTAATATATAAAAGTAATTGGCCAGGTGTGGTGGCTTACACCTGTAATCCCAGCACTTTGGGAGGCCAAGGTGGGTGGATCACCTGAGGTCAGGGGTTTGAGACCAGCCTGGCCAACATGGTGAAACCCCCTCTCTACAAAAGTACAAAAATTAGCCGAGCATGATAGCATGTGCCTGTAATCCCAGCTGCTCAGGAGGCTGAGGTGGAAAAATCACTTGAACCTGGGAGGCAGAGGTTGCAGTGAGCTGAGATTGTGCCATTGCACTCCAGCCTGGGTGAGAGAGAGCAAGACTTTGTCAAAAAAAAAAAAAAAAAAAGTAATCATCTCAATAGATGCAGAAAAGACCTTTGATAAAATTCAACACCCCTTCATGCTAAAAACTCTCAATAAACTAGGCACTGATGAAATGTATCTCAAAATAATAAGATCTATTGATGACAAACCCACAGCCAATATCATACTGAATGGGCAAAAGCTGGAAGCATTGCCTTTGAAAACCAGCAGAAGACAAGGATGCCCTCTCTCACCACTCCCATTCAACATAGTATAGGAAGTTCTGGCCAGGGCAATCAGGAAAGAGAAAGCAATAAAGGGTACTCAGATAGGAAGAGAGGAAGTCAAATTGTCCCTGTTTGCAGATGACATGATCGTATATTTAGAAAACCCCATCATCTCAGCCTAAAATCTCCTTAAGCTGATAAGCAACTTCAGCAAAGTCTCAGGATACAAAATCAATGTGCAAAAAATAACAAGCTTTCCTGTACACCAATAACAGACAAACAAAGAGCCAAATCATGAGTGAACTCCCATTCACAATTGCTACAAAGAGAATAAAATACCCAGGAATCCAACTTACAAGGGATGTGAAGGACCTCTTCAAGGAGAACTACAAACCACTGCTCAGGGAAATAACAGAGGACACAAACAAATGGAAGAACATTCCATGCTCATGGATAGGAAGAAGCAATATCGTGAAAATGGCCATACTCCACAAAGTAATTTATAGATTCAATGCTATCCCCATCAAGCTACCACTGACTTTCTTCACAGAATTAGAAAAAGCTACTTTAAATTTTATATGGAACCAAAAAAGAGCCCGTACTGCCAAGACAATCCTAAACAAAAAGAACAAAGCTGGAGGCATCACGCTACCTGATTTCAAACTATACTACAAGGCTACAGTAACCAAAATATTGTGGTACTGGTACCAAAACAGATATACAGACGAATGGAACAGAACAGAGGCCTCAGAAATAACACCACACATCTACAACCATCTGATCTTTGACAAACCTGACAAAAACAAGAAATGGGGAAAGGATTCCCTGTTTAATAAATGGTGTTGGGAAAACTGGCTATCCATATGCGGAAAACTGGCTATCCATATGCAGAAAACTGAAACCGGAACCCTTCCTTACACCTTATACAAAAATTAACTAAAGATGGATTAAATAATTAAATGTAAGACCTAAAACCATAAACACCCTAGAAGAAAATCTAGGCAACACCATTCAGGACATAGGCATGGACAAAGACTTCATGACTAAAACACCAAAAGCAATGGCAACAAAAACCAAAATTGACAAGTGGGATCTAATTAAACTAAAGAGCTTCTCCACAGCAAAAGAAACTATCATCAGAGTGAACAGGCAGCCTACAGAATGGGAGAAAACTTTTGCAATCTATCCATCTGACAAAGGGCTAATATCCAGAATCTACAAGGAACTTAAACAAATTTACAAGAAAAAAAAAAACAAACAATCCCATCAAAAAGTGGGTGAAGGATATGAACAGATCCTTCTCAAAAGAAGACATTTATGTGGCCAAAAGTCATATGAAAAAATGCTCATCATCACTGGTCATTAGAGAAATGCAAATCAAAACCACAATGAGATACCATCTCCTGCCAGTTAGAATGGTGATCATTAAAAAGCCAGGAAACAACAAATGCAGGAGAAGATGTGGAGAAATAGGAGTGTAAATTAGTTCAACCATTGTGGAAGACAGTGTGGCAATTCCTCAAGGAAATACAATTTCACCCAGCAATCCCATTACTGGGTATATACGCAAAGGATTATAAATCATTCTACTCTAAAGACACAGGCATACATATGTTTATTACAGCACTATTCACAATATCACAATTGCAAAGGCTTGGAACCAACCTAAATGCCCATCAATGATAGACTGGATAAAGAAAATGTGGCACGTATACACCATGGAATACTATGCAGCCATAAAGAAGGATGAGTTCATGTCCTTTGCAGGGACAGGGATGAAGCTGGAAACCATCATTCTCAGCGAATTAACACAGGAACAGAAAACCAAACACCACATGTTCTCACTCATAAGTGGGAGTTGAACAATGAGAACACATGGACACAGGGAGGGGAACATCACACACCGAGAACTGTCAGGGGGTGGGAAGGTAAGCTAGGGCAGGGATAGCATTAGGATAAATACCCAATGTAGATGATGGGTTGATGGGTGCAGCAAACCACCATGGCACATGTATACCTATGTAACAAACCTGCAAGTTCTGCACATGTATTCCAGAACTTAAAGTATAATTTAAAAAAAAAACAGTAATCAGTGTCTTTATTCTCCTCCTGAATGGTCTTAAGAACCTTAAGATGTTTCCTTTTTTTTTTTTTTTGAGACGGAGTTTTGCTGTTGTTGCCCAGGCTGGAGTGCCATGGCGTGATCTTGGCTCACTGCAACCTCCGCCTCCCAGGTTCAAGCAATTCTCCTGCCTCAGCCTCCTGAGTAGCTGGGATTACAGGCATGCATCACCACGCCTGGCTAATTTTGTATTTTTAGTAGAGATGGAGTTTCTCCATGTTGGTCAGGCTGGTCTTGAACTCCTGACCTCAGGTGATCTGCCCACCTCGGCCTCCCAAAGTGCTGGGATTATAGGCATAAGCCACCATACCCGGAGAACCTTAAGATGTTTCAACATGAACTACTCCTCTTCTGACTTCTGTTATTACTTTACTTCTATCTTGTTTGACGTTTAGACCCACAAACTGGATTTTTAGTGATATAAATGTTAGCCCCACAAACGTTATTACAGTTACATACTGTCGTTTATCTTCTTTTTTTTTTTTTGCTTGCGATTCTATTTTGTATCTTAAACCTTCCTTGTCAGTTTATTTTTCTTCTTCCTAAAGTCCATTCTTGAGAAGTTTCTTTAGTGAGCAACATGTTTGTCAGATAATATCTTTACTCAGGCCACGCACTGCGGCTGTTGCCTGTAATCCCAACATTTTGGAAGGCTGAGGTAGGCAGATCGCTTAAGCTCAGGAGATTGAGATCAGCCTAGGCAACATAGTGAGGTCCCATCTCTACAAAAAATATAAAAATTAGCCAAGTGCAGTGATGCATGTCTGTAGTACCAGCTACTCGGGAGAATGAGGCGGAAAGATCACTTGAGCCCTGGAGGCAGATGTTGCAGTGAACCAACATCACGCCACTGTACTCCAGCCTGTGTGACAGAGTGAGACCCTATCTCAAATATCTATATATGCATATATAGCTATAGATATATGTATATGTATATACAGAGAGATAGATATCTATATGTATGTATATATGCGTGTATGTATAGAAATATGTATCTATACCTATAGATATAAATCTTTACTCAGGACTTATTTTTGTTAGGTAATTTTGCTAGGTATTAACAAAGATTCTCTTTAACAAAACTTTATTCAGGCTGCCCTGAGGTCTTTTTCAAGTAGGCCTTGACTTTTAGACTTCCATGTTTGTCTCTGGATTGTCTAATTTTGGAAGGAATTCTGCTAAGTCAGTTTAGCTAGAATCTCTCATCTTTGATATCTGATCACCCTCTGTATCAGATTGGGTTCCTCATGCTCCACCATCCCATAGGTGGTGTCTCATCACCCCAGCCTGCCTTCAGCAAGAATCTTGTCACAATGGCTTAGCCAGCATCCCCCTTTCCACTGATGTTTCCTCTTAGTCATTTCCCATCTACTAGCCCCTACCCTCTCCTTGGCTATAAATTCTCACTTGCCCATGCTGTATTCAGAGTTGGGCCCAATCTCTCTCTCCCCTACTGCAAAATCCCATTGCAGTGGTGTCTATAACTATTGCAATAGTCCCCCTTTTCCTTGAATAAAGTCTGCCTTACCATATTTAACAAGTATCATTGAATAATTTTTTCCCTTTAACAGTATAAAGTTAAAAGTAGACAATTATTTTAGCTCAGTACTTCGAAAACATAATGCCATTTACTTTTGGCTGCAACTGTTGCTGTTGAGAAGCCAACAACAAGATTTGTTTTTTCTTTTCTTTTCTTTTCTTTCTTTCTTTCTTTTTTTTTTTTTTTTTTTTTTTTGAGAGGGAGTTTCACTCTTGTTGCCAAGGCTGGAGTGCAATGGCATGATCTCGGCTCACCGCAACCTCCATCTCCCGGATTCAAATGATTCTCCTGCCTCAGCCTCCCGAGTAGCTGGGATTACAGGCATGCATCACCACGCCCGGATAATTTTGTATTTTTGGTAGAGATGGGGTTTCTCCATATTGGTCAGGCTGGTCTCAAACTCCCGACCTCAGGTGATCTGCCCACCTCGGCCTCCCAAAGTGCTGGGATTACAGGCATGAGTCACCGCGCCTGGCCAAGATTTGTTATTTCTTTATAAGTTTATCTACTTTTTTCTTTTTAGTTGGTTATAATATTCTCTCTACCTTTGGTTTTGACAGCTTCACTTTGATTTTCTTAGTGTGGATTTTTTTTTTCTTTTTTTTTTTTTGAGATAGGATCTCACTCTTTTGCCTGGGCTGGAGTGCCGTGGTGTGATCTTGGCTCACTTTAACCTCTGCCTCCTAGACTCAAGGTATCTTCCCACCTCAGCCTCCTAAGTAACTGGGACCAAAGGTATGCACCAGTATATTTGGCTAATTTTTAGGTTTCTTTGTAGAGACAAAAAATCTCACCATATTGCTCAGGCTGCTCTTGATCTCTTGGTATCAAGTGATCTTCATGCCTCAGCCTCCCAAAGTGCTGGGATTACAGTTGTGAGCTACCACACCCAGCAGTAAAGATTTTTTTTTTAAAGTCTTGTTTGGGATTCACTGAACTTCTTGAATCTGATGATTCATATCTTTAGTTAATTCTGAAACCTAACTAGTCCCTTTTGTCTCCGGATATTACCTCTGCCCCATCCTTTATCTCTTTCTGTAACTCTGATAAAATTTTATTTTTTAGTCTGTCTTATATCTCAGTCTCTCTTTAGTATTTTTCATCTCTCTATGCAGCATTCTAGAAATGTTTTCAGATATATTTGTCTATGTATAGATGAGCTCATGTGTAGATGAATCTATACATAGACATCTATGTATAATCTGCTGTTAACCCATCCAGAATATCTAACTTCTATTACTATCTTTTTAAAAAATTTTCAGAGGTTTTATTTTATTCTTTTTCAAGTCTACCTGCTTCTTTTTCAACCTCTTATTCTTTAGTCATAATTCAAATGCTATTCAGAAATGCCCCATTTTATTTTTAAGTTTAAACATACTTATTTTATAGTCTGTATCTAATTATTTTTATATCTGTTGTTTCTTCAGTTTGGATTTATTATATTTTTTCTACTGATTCTCTTACTCTTGGTGGTTTGTTAAGTCATATGCTTTGTGAGTTGTGATTGTAAGCTCATGTTCCTTCCAATTGTGTTTGTGGAAATATTTTGAGGTCTGAGTTGAAGATTTGTTCTCCCAGATAAAATTTATATTTGCTTCTGCCTGGTTATTTAGGGGAGCTAGCAACCCAAGACCACTTTAAATTAAATTCTCAGCTTTTTCTAGCCACTCAACTCTTGTGAATTCTGGTTTTAATTCAGAGTGAGTGTTTATGGTTAGAAATTCTTCGAAATTCTAGGCCAGGCATGGTGGTCCACACCTGTAATCCCAGCACTTTGGGAGGCCAAAGTGGGAGGATCACTTGAACCTAGGAGTGTGAGATCAGTCTGGGCAACCTAGTAAGACCTCGTCTCTACTAAAAAAGAAAAAAAAAATTAGCCAGTCATGGTGGTGTGCACCTGTAGTCCCAGCTACTCAGGAGGCCAAGGCAGGAGGATTACTTGATCTGGAGAGGTTGTGACTGCAGTGATCATGCCATTGCACTTCAGCCTGGGTGATACAGCAAGACCCTGCCTTTAAAGAAAAGAATGGAAGGAACAAGGAAGGAAGGAAGGAAGGAAGGAAGGAAGGAAGGAAGGAAGGAAGGAAGGAATTCTTAGGAATTCTTATGCTTTTACCCCTTGATATGGTTTGGCTGTCTCCCCACCCAAATCTCATCTTGAATTGTAGCTCCCATAATTCCCACGTGTTGTGGGAGGGAACTCAGTGGGGAATAATTGAATCATGGAGGCAGTTTCCCCCCTTCTGTTCTCATGGTAGTGAATAAATCTCACGGGATCTGATGGTTTGATAAGAGATTTCCCTTTTCACTTGGCTCTCATTCTCTCTTGCCTGCTGCCATGTAAGATGTGCCTTTCTCCTTCCGCCATGATTGTGGGGACTCCTCACCCATGTGGAACTGTGAGTTCATTAAACCTCTTTTTCTTTATAAATTACCCAGTCTCGGGTATATCTTTATCAGCAGTGTGAAAATGGACTAACACACCCGTCTACTCAGATCCAAGATCAAGACATCAAGACAGAAGATTTCTTTTTTTTTTTTTTTTTTTTTCAGATGGAGTTTCACTCTTTTTGCCCAGGCTGGAGTGCAATAGCGTGATCTCGGCTCACTGCAACCTCCACCTCCCAGGTTCAAGCGATTCTCCTACCTCAGCCTCCTGAGTAGCTGGGATTACAGGCATGTGCCACCACACCCGGCTAATTTTTTTTTTTCTCTATTTTTAGTAGAGACGGGGTTTGTCCATGTTGGTCAGGCTGGTCTCAAACTCCCGACCTCAGGTGATCTGCCCGCCTGGGCCTCCCAAAGTGCTGGGATTACAGGCGTGAGCCAGGCGCCCAGGCGACAGAACATTTCTTTACCA
Source organism: Homo sapiens (assembly GCF_000001405.40). Taxonomy (NCBI): domain Eukaryota; kingdom Metazoa; phylum Chordata; class Mammalia; order Primates; family Hominidae; genus Homo; species Homo sapiens. The sequence continues at coordinate 95,423,125 of NC_000013.11, read as the reverse complement.
TTATCCACGGCGTTGTGATGATGATGGAGATGACTAAGCATTACTTTTTAATTTTTCCCACTGCTTTGGGATGGGAAACAGCTTTATGCAGGGTTCTCTGATCTAGTCCACAGTCTTGCATGCACTAGCTGTAGGCAGCCAGGGATCTCTCGGGTCACTAGCTCTCGGTGACCAGGGATCCCTCCAGTAGCCTTTGGTTTCAGATTGGCTTACCTTCATGTCTTCTGCTTTGTCCTTATTTTCTCCGTATTTTTTGGCCTGTAAAGACTTTCTCTTTTTTCTTCTTACCTGCTCAGGTAATTTTCAGCATTTAAAAATATTTTTCAAATTTCTTTTTCTCACAACTTTTAGGTGTTTTGTTCCAGGAGAGTTGGGTAGTATATGTAACCCACCTTATGCCAGAAAGGGAAGTGGTCAAATGTTGTAAGAGAAACATCTCTAAAAATCAAATAATATATTAAGAAGTAACAATAACTGAATTGATCTCAAATAAGGGAAATCTCAGAATTTCATCTCTCTGTAAATCTTGCTGTTACATAATCACAATTCATATATAATTGCATTTGAAAGTAGTTATATATTTTCAGTGGAAAGAGCTTTCTCTTGGGGGAAAAAAAAAGATTGATAAACCTCCTTTTAGTACATTACATTTTCTTCATCACACTGTGAGTTGAATTCCCAGAAAAGATATGTTTGGTTCATTTAAGATGAAAACTCAGCAATTAAAAATGAAAAACCACCTATTTTCTTATATTGTTCAAATGAGATTTTTAAATAAATTTCTTAAAATTTAGAAACACTAACATCCACCTCATTTACCAATAGCTTGATTCCAGGGCTAAGTCAGAGCACAGTAAAAAAATTATTCCAGGCCAGGCACAGTGGCTCATGCCTGTAATCCCAGCACTTTGGGAGGCCAAGGCAGGCAGATCACCTGAGGTCAGGAGTTCGAGACTAGACTGGCCAACATGGTGAAACCCTGTCTCTACTAAAAATAAATAATTAGCTGGGTGTGGTGGCGGGCACCTGTAATCCCAGCTACTCAGGAGGCTGAAGCAGGAGAATTGCTTGAACCTGGGAGGTGGAGGTTGCAGTGAGCCACGATCATGCCACTGCACTCCAGCCTGGGTGACAGAACAAGACTCCATCTCAAAACAAAAACAAAAACAAAAACAAAAACAAAAACAAAACTAGGAGCTTGCAGTGAACTGAGATAGCACCACTGCACTCCAGCCTGGATGACAGAGCGAGACTCTGTCTCAAAACAAACAAACAAACAAAAAAACAAAAAACACTTCCAAACACCTAAAAAATGAAACAAATATCAAATAAATAATTCTGTCTATAAGTAGTTAATAGTCTTTCACTTTGTTAGCCAGAAAAGTACTTTGATTTTTTTTTCAGATGTAAACACATATTAGGGTCTCCTTTCTTATGTGAAGGTTCAGATCAGCACCTGAGAAAGAAAGCTGAGAGAAATATCACCTGGGTGAGCCTGCAAGTGTTTCGAGCAAGGACTGCCTTCCTAGCTCACCTCCTACTGTGGGGGGAACAGAAGAGATGATTTATCTCGGATAATTCACCAAACACTGTTCACCAACCCATTGTCAAATTTGCTAAGACATATCAAATTTTAGATGTTTTGATGTTTTATAAAGCTTCCTGCAATTCAAAAGGTAAATGCAGGGCAGTGAGGTGACTCAATTGTAACTAATCATAGGAAAAAAATAAAAGGGGAGGAATTAAATCTGCAAGGACAGAAATATTAGGGGAAAAAAAAACAGTTTAAAGCACAGAACACACAGCCTAAGTAACATGGCGAAATCCATCTCTACAAAAAATACAAAAATTATCTGGGCGTGATGGTGTGCACCTGTGGTCCCAGCTTCTCGGGAGACTGAGGTGGGAGGATTGCTTGAGCCCCGGAGGACAAGGCTGCAGTGAGCTAAGATTGGGCCACTGTACTCCAGCCTGAGCAACAGAGGAAAACCCTGTTTCCAAAAAAAAAAAAATTAAATATATGTATATATTTTAAAGCCCAGAACACAAAACTCTAGGGATGGTGTTCTTTGAAGGGAGGGGCCATCTGTGAACTCTTCTAGGTTAATAAATTTTATTATATCACAAATACCTCCCTCCTTAGTCGGTGTGAGGATCAATGACATAATACATGTAGAGCACAGAGTAAGTGCTAAATAGATGTCATCGATCACTCTTATTATTAATATTCCCAGAAAAATGAGGATACTGCTATGCGAGTGACTGACTGTCTCAGTCTGCCCAGGCTGGCTGGGCTTCCGTACTGACGGCTCTATGTCCTGGGAATCTCCTGGGCTCAGAGGAAGTAAGTGGCCCGCGGCTTTTAGCTTTTGTTGAGGTAGGAGTGGGTGGAGGAAACAGACAGAGTTGGTATGTTTCGCAAGCAAATAATAACCACCTCTTGTCACAGGCCTACCACGTTTTCTGTTTCTACCCTATCTTCCCCTCACACCGACACCTGCCTGCAAGCTGAAGTGAACTCTTGCCTTCATGTTCTCTGCAACATTCAGCAGTTAGCACAGAGGGCAAGCTCCAAATTACCCAGTTAACAGTCAGCCTCCAGAACTAACTTCCCCTGATCCAGGCAGGTTCTATGCCTCCCTTTAAGTTTTAGTACAAACTATCTTCCAAGCTAAGATGAATGTTTCCTTTCCCTCCATCCCTCCTTCTTTCCACCTTCCTTTTTTCTTTTCTTTTCTTGTTTTCATTTCTGATTTTATTATTCATTTATTATTTTTTCAAAAAAAATTTTAGAGACAGGATCTGGTTCAGTTGCCCAGACTGAAGTGCAGTTGTACAATCACAGCTCACTGCAGCCTCGATCTCCTGGGCTCAAGCAATCCTCCTGCCTCAGCCTCCCAAGTAGCTAGAATTACAGCTCTGTGCCACCATGTCCGGCTAATTTTTCTGTATTATTATTATTACTTTTTTAGAGATAGGGTCTCACCATGTTGCCCTGGCTGGTCTTGAACCCCTGGCCTCAAGCGATCCTCCTGCCTTGGCTTCCCAAAGTGCTGGGGTTACCACAACCTCGCTTGGTCTAGTTCTGATTTTAGATGCAGAAGGTTGAATTAATCCTATATTTCAGTTCACAATGCAACATCTTCTTTGTACTCTATGAAGCCACTGTCTAATTTATTACCTTTTGTCTTCATTCCTCATTTCTATTTTCTTCCCTTCCTTTTTTTTTTTTGAGATGGGATTTTCTCTGCCACCCAGGCTGTAGAGTGCAGTGGTGTGATCCTAGCTCCCTGCAGTCTCGACCTCCTTCGTTCAAATGATCTTTCCACTTCCACCTCCTGGGTAACTGGGACTACACGTGTACGCCACCATGCCCACCTAATTTTTATATGTTTTTGTAGAGATGAGGCTTTGCCATGTTGCACAGGCTGGTCTTGAACCCTTGGCCTCAAGCGATCCTCCTGCCTCAGCCTCCCAAAGTGCTGGGATTAGAGGTGTGAGCCACTGCACCCGGCCAGCTATTTTTTTTTTTTTTTTTTGGTGAGACAAGGTCTCACTCTGTTGCCCAGGCTTGAGTGCAGTGGGCAACACGAGTGATCATGGCCCACTGCAGCCTCAATCTCCCTGGGCTCAGGTGATCCTCCCACCTCAGCCTCTGGAGTAGCTAGTCCTGCAGGTGTGCACCACCATGCCCGGCTAATTTTTGTATTTTTTATAGAGACAGGGTTTCACCATATTGCCCAGCTGGTCTCAGTCTCCTGGGCTCAAGCGATCCACCCACCTCAGCCTCCCAAAATGCTGAGATTACAGGGCTGAGCCACCATGCCAGGCCGAGAGCAGGGTTTCTCAACCTTGGCACTATTGACATTTGGAGGCAGATATTTCTTTATTGTGAGGAGTTGTGCATTGTAGGATATTTATCAGCACCCCGATCTCTATCTGCTATGTGCTAGTAGCACTCTTCCACCCCCTCAGGCATGGCAACCACAAATGTCACCAGATATTGCCAAATTGCTCTCAATTAAAAACCACTGGGGTAGAGGACCCGAGTGAGATAGTGCTGTGCCTTGAGTTAATACCAGCCTGCAGGTCGTTACCCCAAGACTGGAAGGAACAGAGGGAGGGGAGTGGCTCCCAGAACTGGGTGACAGAGAAGTTTTGTGGAAAAGACTGCCTTATAGGAGCTGGATCCCTCAGTGGAGGGTCAGGGTCAGTCCTGCTCTCCTCCCTAACCCTGATCTTCCACCCGAGGGCAAGCCTATTGATGACATCCAAAGAAGTTGCCTTCCAGGTAAGGAGCAAGGTGGGGAAGAGGACAAAGTGGGGCTAGAGAGGAAAACTAAAGAAACCCAGCACAGCCCCAACACTGATTTGGTGGCAAAATTCAACTGGAACTAAGCCAAGTCGATTTCAGTTATTTACTCCATTTACTACAGAAATACATAGGACTTTGATTATAGGATGCTACCCTAGACCCAGTTGAGGGTGTTATACAATATATATACCGTCTTACCTTTCTAAAATTTGAAAACTTTTGAATTCCAAAATATAGCTGGCTCCACGCATTCCAGACACAATTGTAGAAATACACTTTTCATAGTTAGGTCTTAAATCCATCTGGAGTCCATCCTTGTGTAATGTAAGACAGGGATTCAGTTTTTTTGGTTTCCACATAACGAACCAGTTTATCCACACCACCTATCCCTCCTTCTCTCATTGGTTCATTGCAGTTTTCATCCTATATTAAGTTCTCATATATATCTGTGAATCTATCTTTGCATTCTTCTGCCAGTCCCACACTATTTTTATTACTTTGGCTTCCTGATATGTCCTAATATTTGGTAGATAAATCCTTTCTGTTTGCTATTTATTTATTTATTTATTTATTTATTTGAGATGGAGTCTCACTCTGTCACCCAGGTTGGAGTGCAGTGGCGTGATCTTGGCTCACTGCAACCTCCATCTCCTGGATTCAAGCAATTCTCCTGCCTCAGCCTCCCGAGTAGCTGGGACTACAGGCACTTGCCACCAAACCCAGCTAATTTTTAATTTTTTTATTTTTTAGTAGAGATGGGGTTTCATCATGTTGGCCAGGCTAGTCTCAAACTCCTGACCTTAGGTGATCCACCTGCCTTGGTCTCCCAAAGTGCTGGGATTACAGACGTGAGCCATCACACCTGGACTGCAGCTTACTTTCAAATGGTTCAGAAGAGTAAGTACATAGAAAGCAAAGGTGGCAAGATGTTGTGGATAATTGTTGAATCTGGATGAAGGTGTCTGGTATTCTTTACATGACTTTCAACTTCTCTGGCTTGCAAATTTTAAAAATAAAATGTTGTGAAAAAAGGAAATCATAGAATATTAACAATGTGTATTGAGAATTGTCTAAATGGGCTTTTATCTCCTCAGAAGCAAAGCACCCAGTCTTCCAGGGGCAGGAGTGAAGACTGCATTCCACGATCCCTCTGCTTCCCTGAGAGGAGCAGGGTCCTGTGCAGATTCATTCTTCTTTCTCCAGCCTCCTCAGCCCTATGTCCTTCACACTTCAGCAGTGGTCTCTGGAGCCTGGGCAAAATTAACCCTGTATTGACCAGAACCCTCACCAATGTTGCAACTCCTAGGTCTCCATGGTGAAGAAATTTGGGTTCAGCACACCTACAGCCTGCCTCGGTGGCCAGACAGCCCTAGTCTCCTTCTTGAAGGTTGATTTTGCTATTTGTGTATCAGAAGTGGATTTGTCATGAAGAGTAAGAAGCTTAAGCTTCAAAGTCCCTCATTTGTACACATCTGGGGATCCCTGAAAGTAGTTGGGAGTCATAGAATGTTCTAGGTGGAGAAAGAAAAGTAAGTTGCAGTCAGTCAGCATTTCTAAGTAAGCACATCTGGTAAGTTACATAAAGAGAACTCATAAGAAAGGGACCTGAATTTCCAAGCTCCTAGTATTTTGTACTTTCTTTTCTCATTTTAAATGAATATTCATTTTCACATCTAATTTTGAATTTATTCAAAAGATCCCTCAAAACTAACTATGTAAATCTTTATTTTCTGAGATACATTTAATCTACTATTATTTTTATTTTTTGAGACAGGGTCTGACTCCGGTTGCCCAGGCTGGAGTGCAGTGGTATGATCTTGGCTCACTGTAGCCTCGACCTCCCAAGCGCAGGTGATCCTCCCACCTCAGCCTCCCGAGTAGCTGGGAGTAGAGACGCACACCACCATGCCTGGCTGGTTTAGTTTTTAGTAGAGATGAGGTTTCACTATGTTGCCCAGGCTGGTCTCAAACTCCTGGAATCAAGTAATCTGCCTCAGACTCCCAGAGTGTTGGGATTATAGGTATGAGCCACTGCACCCAGCCCTACATACATTTTAGAATAAGTTTATTGATTCTTCACAACACCGTAGTGGAATTTGTATTAGTATTGCCTTGTATCTATTGACTAATGAGAAGGTGATTAACATTTTTGTAACAGCAAGTGATCACTCTGAGTATGAACTGTCTCTCCATTTGTTCAGATCTTCTATGTCTTTTATTATAGTTTTCTTCATAGAGAGGGCTGTTGTGTCTTTTGAGTTAATTTCTAAATATTTTATGATTTTTATTAATATTATGAATTGTAGCTTTTTAATATTTTCTAGTTAATTATTACTCAAGTAAGGAGATGCTATTGAGCTTTCTATGTTAACCTCACGTCTGGTATCTTACCTAGGTTCTGTTATTAGTCCTCATAGTTTGATTCTGTTAGTTTATTCTAGATGAATGTTTATGTAGTCTGCAAATTATGACAGGTTTTTTTTTTTTTTTTTGAGACAAAGTCTCACTCTGTTGCCTAGGCTGGAGTACAGTAGCATGATCTCGGCTCACTGCAACCTTCACCTCCCGGGTTCAAGCAATTTTCCTGCCTCAACCTCCCGAGTAGCTGGGACTACAGGTGCACACTGCCACACCAGGCTAATTTTTTGTATTTTAGTAGAGATGAGGTTTCACTGTGTTGCTCAGGCCGGTCTCAAACTCCTGAGCTCAGGCAATCTGCCTGCCTCAGCCTCCGAAAGTGCTGGGATTACAGGCATGAGCCACTGTGCCTGGCCAGGTTTTATTATTTTATTTTATTTTATTTTATTTTTGAGACAGGGTCTTGCCCTGTTGCCCAGGCTGGAGTGCAGTAGCTCAATCATGGCTCACTACAGCCTCAACGTCCCAGGCTCAAGCGATCCTCCCACTTCAGCCTCCTGGGTAGCTGGGGACTATGGTGCATGCCACTATACCTGCTAGTTTTTTTTTTTTTTTTGAGATGGGATCTCTCTGTGTTGCCCAGGCTAGTCTCGAATTCCTGAGCTCAATCAATCTACCTGCCTTAGCCTCCCAAAGTGCTAGGATTACAGGCCTGGCCAATTATGGCAGTTTTGACTCTTTTCTACCAAGCTTAAAGCTTCTTATTTCCTTTTCTTGCCTTATAGCATTCTTCAGCTCTCCAGTTCAAGGCTACATATCTACAGTAATACCTTGTTACTAGTCTTAATATTAATAAAATGCATCTACAATTTCTCTGTGAAGTATAATATTTGCTCTGGGGTTTGGCAGTGGGCCTTTACCAAGTTATGAAGGTGCTCTTCTATTTTTAGTTTGCTCTGAGTTTCTTTTTTTTTCCCCTTAATCATAAATAGATAATGCCCTTTATCAATTGCTTTTCCTGGAAAAATTGAGTTAATCATATGATTTTTCCCTTTCAGTCCATCGAAGTGATGGACGATATTGACAGATTTTCTAATGGCCAAGGCTTCTTGCTTTTCTAGGTTGAGCCCCACTTGATCATAATGTATTATTTTAATATGCTGTTGGGTGCAATTTTCTAAAATTTTATTTAATGTTTGTACATCCTAATATAAAGATGAGATGGACCTGTAATTTTCTTTTCCTGAATGTCCCTTTTGTGATTTGGAATCAAGATTACATGGGCTTCAGAAATTAAGCTAGAAAGCTCTTACTCTTTACATAAATTTGGGGGCTGGCCGTGGTAGCTTACATCTATAATCCCAGCACTTTGGGAGGCCAAGATGGGCAGATAACTTGAGGCCAGGAGTTTGAGACCGGGATGGCCAACATGGCAAAACCCCATCTCTACTGAAAATACAGAAAAAATTAGCCAGGCGTGATGGCACATGGCTGTAATCCCATCTACTTGGGAGGCTTAGGCAAGAGAATCGCGTGAACCAGGAAGCAGACATTGCCGAGATTGCACCACTGCACTCCAGCCTGGGCGACAGAGCAAGACTCTGTCTCAAAAAAAAATGGAACAACTTGACTGGGGACATGCTTTCCTGCCACATTGAGCTGCATGAGCCCTGCAGGCAGCTTCTGTCGTAAGCGTGGAGAAGTCTGGCAGCCTCTGGGTCTCTTTGAGTTGCAGATCTTGAGTTTTCATGGTAAAGTTAAAGGAGCTTATTTTTCGGCTTAATTCTTCCTCACCTTATTTCTAGCTGACCCCCCAGTTTTTTTGTTTTTTTGTTTTGTTTTGATTTTGGAGACAGAGTCTTGCTCTGCTTCCCAGGCTAGAGTGCAGTGGCATGATCTTGGCTCACTGTAACCTCCGCCTCCGGAGTTCAAGATGATCCTCCTGCCTCACCCTCCTGAGTAGCTGGGACTACAGGTGTGCACCACCACACCTGACTAATTTTTGTATTTTTAGCAGAGATGGGGTTTTGCCATGTTGGCCAGGCTGGTCTCGAACTCCTGACCTCAGGTGATCCACCTACTTCGGCCTCCCAAAACGCTGGGATTACAGGTGTGAGCCACCATGCTCAGGAGATGATCAGAACTTTTAAACAGAGCAAAGATTTATTTATTTATTTAATATTATTTTTTGAGATGGAGTCTCTGTTGCCCAGGCTGGAGTGCAGTGGTGAGATCTCAGCTCACTGTGACCTCTGCCTCCTGGGTTCGAGTGATTCTCCTGCCTCAGCCACCCGAGTAGCTGGGATTACAGGCACCTGCCACCACGCGTGGCTACAGAGTGAAGATTTCTCAAGGCGTTTATTTTTGGTTAGGACTTGTCTCTTGCCATCAGGAGAAGTGGACACTGAGGAGAGATACACCTTTTGACACTAACGTAGGTGGCAACTCAATGGCTTGGCTGTGCCAGGGTTCCCTGTGTGCTTCACTGTGAAGCTGAGAACAGCAAGGCGGGGTGACTTCCCAGAAAGGGTCCTTGCACTGGACGGCCTGAAGGCCTGTAGAATTTCCTGTGCTCCTTCATCAGTTCAGTCCAAAACCCTAGAACCAAGCTCTTCCCTGACTGCCCGTGCCTTTCCCAATCTACCTCTATCTCCTATAATCTGTCCCCGGCCCATACACTCCAGTTCACCAGGAGGCTGCTCACCTCCGGTTTCACGATGTACAACATTGTCACCTGGCTTCCGCCTCCAAATAATGTTCTAACATACACAATACAATTTTAGCATTTTTAGGCAACAGTAAGATAAAGAAAAGAGACCATGGGAATAGAAATAAAGTAAATCTCTAGATATATATGCTTTCATTTTAGGTCTTAAATTACCTAAAAAATGTGACGCTTTTTTTTTTTTTTTTTGCTGAGACACAGTCTTGCTCTGTCACCCAGGCTGGAATGCAGTGGTGTGATTTCAGCTCACTGCAACCTCCACCTCCCGGGTTCAAGCAATTCTCCTGCCTCAGCCTCCTGAGTAATTGGGATTACAGGTGCATGCCACCATGTCCTGCTAAATTTTTTGTATTTTTAGTAGAGACGGGGTTTCACCATGTTGGCCAGGCTGGTCTCAAACTCCTGACCTCGTGATCCGCCCACCTTGGCCTCCCAAAGTACTGGGATTACAGGCGTAAGCCACTGTGCCCGACCAAATGTAATGCTCTTGATTGTGCTTAGACTTAAGTTTAGGCCGGGAGTGGTGGCTCACACCTGTAATCCCAGCACTTTGGGAGGCTGAGGTGGGAAGATCGCTTGAGCCTAGGAGTTCAAGACCAGCCTAGGCAACAGAGTGAGACCTCATCTCTACTAAAGATAAATAAAAATTTTAAAAATTAGCCAGGCATGGTGGCACACACCTGTAGGTGTAGCTACTTGGGAGGCTGAGGCTGGAGGATGGCTTGAACACAGGAGTTTGAGGCTTCCGTGAGCTATGATCATGCCACCGTACTCAAGCCTGGGTTGTAGAATAAGACCCCGTCTCAAAAAAAAAAATCACAGTATAAGATATTCTTGAGTAAAGAAGTCCAATTAAAAAATAGTGAGCTTGCTGACAGCAGGTAGAGAAGTAGAGGTTTACAGTATTATCCGTGCATATTCCTACACCTACCTCCCTTGGAGAAACTCATTATTAACAGTAACTGTATTTTTTGCACCATGTCACTGAAAAGTATCTAACATCAGGAAGGACTGCTATCCTGCATCTATTTCTCTGCGATTATACTAACATAATCACAAGTCATGATAACAGTTGCTGCAGGAAATTATAAAATGCGTTGCCTGGCCAAATGTGTTTTCACTTTGGCACACTTATTTTAAAGTGGCTTTCAAAGCAAATAGAATGGACTCATTATAGACAGAAAATTGAGTGGAGGTATGCTAAAGCAACCAGTGCTGGGATCAGTGAACAAACAACCCCATCAAAGAGTGTGGTGGTATAAAAACATGCTGCTGAATATTTATCATTTTATTCAACAAATGCTCTGATGCACGGTACTAGGCACACAGGAAGAACCAGAAAGTTCAGATAGTTCAGATTTATAGGTTTGAACTGAATTTTACAGAAAGCTGTTGTCTTCATGCAGTTCCTTCTTATTTTATTTTATTTTATTTTACTTTATTTTATTTTTTTGAGGCAGAGTCTTCCTCTGTCATTCAGGCTGGATTGCAGTGTCGTGATCCCGGCTCACTGCAACCTCTGCCTCCTGGGTTCAAATGATTCTCTTTCCTCAGCCTCCCAAATAGCTGGGACTACAGGCACGTGCCACCACGACTGGCTAATTTTTTTAGGAGAGCTGGGGGGGGGTCTCACTATGTTGCCCAGGCTGGTCTCGAACTCCTAAACTCAGGCAATCTGCCCACCTTGGCCTCCTAAAGTGCTGGGATTACAGGCATGAGCCACTGTGCCTGGCTTTCATCCAGCTCTTATTTCTTAATTTCAAGTTGGTCAGTGGCACCATGAATAATGAATCAAATTGCTTGATTTGGCTTTTACCCAGGATAGAAAGACTCATGCCTTTCTACTTATAAATAAACAAACAAAATTAGGAGCAATTATTCTAAGCACTCTTGTTTGCTATAAAGTCGGGCAAGAGCTTTCACTGGGTCCAGACAAGTGTGAGCTCGGCTGGTTCTCTTGTTTGATATTGCCCAGATCTGCCCTGGAATGTGCAGGATGGAGATCCTTGTGGGATATTCTTCCTGTGCATCCCCAGAAGGGCGGGTGGGAGCCAGGAATTTTGCTGCCATCTCAGGCTTCCATTTTCAAACCACAGCATTAACATAACCATCCTGCAACTTCAGAGACGGCAGAACATTAAAACAGCAACTAGCCTTTGTCTTCAGCTCCCAAATGAACTGCAACATGGTGAAGATCACACACAGCAGGGACGACGACATGAAGCAATGATAGACACGTCCTCCCCCCACCTTATGCTCAGACAGTGCACTTTTTCTTCTCTTTATTGTAAAATATAACACCACACAAGAGAGTAAAACGTAACATACAACATTACTGGGTGTGGATAACATGCTTACTAGGAGAATTTCAGCTGTTTCCACTCAGAGAGCTAGTTTACTCAATTCTCATTAATGGCCTGCAAATTTGTATTCATGCATTTGTTTTCATATTCCATGTCTAATTCCAAATTGTTCTCTTTAAAAACAAAATGTTTAAACCACTTTATTGTTGTATGACTGACACGTAAAAAGCGGTGCATATTTAACATATACAAGCCAATGAGCTTGGGGATAAGTATACACCCATGAAACCATCACCATCAAGGCCATAAACATATTTGTCACCTCCCAAAGCTTCCTTCCACTCCTATTATAATTATTATTTGTGTGTATGTGTGGTAAGAGTATTTAATATGAGACCTACCCTCTCAGAGAATTTTAAGTATACAATACAGAATTGTTAGCTATATGCACTATGTGTATAGAGATCTCCAGAATTTATTTATCTTGCATAATTAAAACTTCATACCCTTTGACCATCACCTCTAGATTGTTTTTTGATATTGTCGTTTTGTTTTGTTTTGACAAGGTCTTGCTCTGTCACCCAGGCTGGAGTGCAGTGGTGTCATCATGGCTCACTGCAGCCTCAACCTCCTGGACTCAAGCCATCCTCCCACCTCAGCCTCCTGAGTAGCTGGGACTACAGGCATGCACCACCACACCCGGCTAATTTTTGTACTTTTTATAGAGACAGGGTTTGCCATGTGGCCCAGGCTGGTCTTGACCCTCCGGGCTCAAGTGATCCACCAGCCTCGGCCTCCCAAAGTGCTGGGATTACAGGTGTGAGCCACTGTGCCCAGGCTAGATGGTTAGTTATCTCACCCAAGCATCTATCTTCTTGTTTCTCTGTATGGATGTAGGCTTAACTTTTATTTTTAAACACATTCCAGACCTCCTTTCCAGAATCCTCTCTTGTTATTGGTTGACATATTATTGGATCTCACTTCAGACTGACTCCCCAACTCACCCCAATAGGATCTAAACATACAGAGATTACTCCAGAATCATCTGTGGCATCTACACCTCCCTGAGCAGAAGGAGAAGCCATGTGAATTATGGCATGGATCGAGGTCGGGTTGCTAGCCTATAGCAAACCACCTTAACTTCCCTTGAGAAACTTCCTGACGTCTTTAGGAAGATGAAAGATCATTCAAAGCAAATATTTATGCTAGTTCAATATTTTGTAGCCCTCAACAGCTCCTTCCAAAGTGATTCCTCAACTCCAGATGACATGTCAAAACCTCATCCTCTCTCCACGTCTTTCCAAATTAATATGGATTTCAATACATTCTAGACAGATTTCAGATGACAATTTCATAACTATATCATCATTTTGTGCCACCACTGCCTTTTCTTGATTATTTTGCAATGATTCAAAGCTTGACCTAAAATTTAAAAAACATAATTATATTTTATATGGAGTCGAGTTGCCATTTGAGGCTGGCCCCATTGTCAAAACACCTACAGCAATGGACTATGAGCAAGAGGCTGGGGATGCTCGGGTGAAGAAGAGGAAACGACGGGTACAGCCCTGTCCACCCTCTGCTTCTATGAGTGGGGCCTAGGACAGACGTTGCCTTTAAGGAGTGAGGTATTGTGGTGACAAAGAACAGATAGGAGCTTTGGAGCCAGGAAAAGCTGTGTTGGCCAGAAACTTTTCAGCAGGTGCTATCTAAGACGAAGTTACTTATTTTAAACTTTAAAAAATACATATTGTGGGCCAGGTGCAGTGGCTCAGGCCTGTAATCTCAGCACTTTGGGAGGCTGAGGCAGGAAGATCAATTGAGCCCAGGAGTTTGAGACCAGCCTGGGCAACAAAGTGAGACCAAGTCTCTACAAAAAAAAAAAAAAAAAAAAAATCAAAAAATTAACTGGGTGTGGTGGTGCATACCTGTACTCCCAGCTATATGGGAGACTGAGGTAGGAGGATTGCTTGAGCCCAGGAGGTTGAGGCTGCAGTGACCTGTGTTCCTGCCACTGCACTTCAGCCTGGGAGACACAGCGAGACTCTGTCTCAAAATAAAAAGGAGGGGTGCTGGGCGCAGTGGCTCACATCTGTAATCCCAGCACTTTGGGAGGCCGAGGCAGGAGGATCACTTGAGGTCGGGAGTTCAAGACCAGTCTGACCAGTCTGGCCAACATGGTGAAACCCCATCTCTACTAAAAATACAAAAGTTAGCCAGGCGTGGTTGTGCATGACTATAATCCCAGCTACTCAGGAGTCTGAAGTAGGAGAATCGCTTGAACCTGAGAGGTGGAGTTTGCAGTGAGCCGAGATCATGTCACTGCACTCCAGCCTGGATGACAGAGCAAGACTAAAAATAAAAAAAGAATTATGGTAAAATATACATAACATAAAATTTATTATTGAGACAGGGTCTTGGTTTGTTGTCCTGCAGCCTCGACCTCCCCAGGCTCAGGTCATCCTCCCACCTCAGCCTCCCGAGTAGCTGAGACTACAGATGTGTGCAACCACACCTTGCTAATTTTTGTATTTTTTGTAGAGACAGGGTTTGGCCATGTTGCCCAGGCTGGTCTTGAACCTCTAGACTCAAGTGATCCTCCTGCATTGACCTCCCAAAGTGCTGAGATTACAGGTCTAAGCCACCATGCCTGGCCTCATTTTAACCATTTTTATCTTATTAATTCAGTATCATTAAACACGTTCTCATTGTTGTGCAACCATCACCACTATTCATCTATAGGGTTTTTTTCATCTTTCCAAACTGAAACTCTGTACCTATTAAACCATAACTCCCTATTTCTCCTATCCCCAACCCCTGACAACCACCATGCTACTTTTTGGCTCTATAAATCTGACTATTCTAGGCATCTCACTTGAACAGAATCATACAGTATTTGTCCTTTTGTGACTTGCGTAGTTCAGTTAGAATGATGTCTTGGCCAGGTGCAACATAGAGAGACCCCCATCCCTACAAATAATAATTAATTTAAAAAAACAATAATTAATTTAAAAAATTAGCTGAGCATAGTAGTGTGAGCCTGTAGTCCCAGCTATGGGAGGCTGAGGTGGGAGGATCAATTGAGTTCGGGAGGTCAAGGCTGCAGTGAGTCGCACTGGTGTCACTGCACTCCATGCCAGGCGACAGACCAAAAAACAAAAACAAAAACAAAAACCTAGAAAAAAATATGGAAAGCAAGCACAGTGCTTGGCATACAATCAATGGCCAGTAGTTGCATCCATATAAATGACCCCATCTCTACCTTCAAACTGGGCCTGATTTGCTTTTGTTTATTTATTTATTTATTTTTAATTTGAGACAGGGTCTCGCTCTGTCACCCAGGCTGGAGTGCAGTGGCATGATCTTGGCTCACTGCAACCTCTGCCTCCCAGGTTCAAGCAATCCTCCCACCTCAGCCTCCCGAGTAGCTGGGACTACACGTGCCTGCCACCATGCCTGGCTTTTTTTTTTGTTTTTGTTTTTTTTGAGACAGTCTCACTCTGTCACCCAGGCTGGAGTGCACTGATGCGATCTCTGCTCACTGCAACCTCTGTCTCCTGGGTTCAAGCAATTCTCCTGCCTCAGCCTCCCGAGTAGTTGGGATTACACACCTGGCTAATTTTTGTATTTTTAGTAGAGATGGGGTTTCACCATATTGGCCAGGCTGGTCTTGAACTCCTGACTTCAGGTGATCCACCCGCCTCGGCCTCCCAAAGTGCTGGGATTAAAGGTGTGAGCCACCATGCGCAGCCTGGCTAGTAAATCAGAGATGCCACCAGGAAGCCAATGAGCACAGAGCAGTCAGCCTCCCATCTGATAAATAGGAGTCACCTACCTGTGTACCAAGTATCACCTGGTGCCCTGGTCTGTGCGTGCAGTTTTTCCAGGGCTTGGAAGGGGTTCAGTACTGCTCCCTTTGTTCTAGCTTTCCGTTGTCCTGGACTCCTCCTGGGCTGATGACTGAACTGAGTAGTGCTGAATTTGTTTTTTTATATTATTATTATTATTACTGAGAAACAGTTTCACTCTGTCACCCAGGCTGGAGTGCAGTGGTGTGATCTCAGCCTCACTGCAACCTCTGCCTCCCAGGTTCAAGCAATTCTCATGCCTCAGCCTCCCAAGTAGCTGGGATTATAGGCATGTACCACCATGCCTGGCTAATTTTTGTATTTTTAGTAGAGATGGGGTTTCGCCATATTGGCCCGGCTGGTCTTGAACTCCTGACCTCAAGTGATCTGCCCACCTCGGCCTCCCCAAGTGCTGGGATTACAGGTGTGAGCTACCGTGCCCGGCCTGGAGTGCTGGATTTATAACTGCTGTGGATCAACTTGAATTTGCCGCAAAATCTGTTTAACGGACTCTGCAGATGGAGCGAGCTCTGTCGCAGGCAAGCCTTGGGGTCCAGGGTGAGTGCTTCGTACACACCCTCTGATGGATGTGGGGAAGGTGATGTGTAGAAGCAATGGCGGAAGTAATGTCCACGTCTCTTTGAGATGAGAAACACATATTTTACTAGCCTTAGAGAAAATGTAGATTTTTAAACCTGTAGTTGGGAGGCCCAGAACATTTTTCTTTATAAAATTTGCCAGATGCTTAGCAGGACCTCCATGAGTCAGAGTTGTGATTTAGGCAGAAGTTTGTCTTTGCCCTGGTTCGCAACCTAAGGATGACTGTGTTCTCTTCTCCCTTTTCCTCCCCTCTTTGATGAGTCCACCATCATCAGCACCCCCTGCCCACTCCCTTCCCTCCTCGCCCCCAACCCCAAGCTGCTCTCAGGCAGGGATCCGCTACCACCTGCAGGTTAGTGTGGATTTCACTTGGCATGTTGCGTTTCCCAGGAATAAATGTTTTTCAGTTCAGTGAAGGCTAATTCAGAGCTGCCCCCTCCCACCTCCGTCACTCTAAATAAAAAATGTGTTTGCTAAATGCTGTGGACTGAATTATGTCCCCCTAAAAGTCATTATGGTGAAGCTCTCTCTACCCCATTGTGATGCCTCTGGGAGGTGATGAAGCCTAGATGAGATCATGAGGGTGGAGTTTGCATGATGGAATCAGTGCCCTTATAAGAGACACCAGCGAGCTTGGTTCCTCTTCCTCTCTCCATCCACACACACTAAGGAGAGGCCATGAGGCATGGCAAGGAGGCAGCCGTCTGCAATCCAAAGAGAGAACCCAGACCCCAACCCTGCCAGCACCTTGACCTTGGACTTTCAGTCTCCATAACTGTAAGAAAATAAATTCCTTTTGTTTAAGCCACTGGGTCTGTGGCTTTTTGTTAGGGCAGCCAGAGCTGACTAATACACTAAGAAAATGCAGGTTCAGGCCAGGCACGGTGGTTCATGACTGTAATCCCACCACTTTGGGAGGCTGACGTGGGCAGATCACTTGAGGTCAGGAGTTCGAGACCAGCCTGGCCAACATGGTGAAACTCCATCTCTACTAAAAACTACAAAAAATTAGCTGGACATGGTGGCGCATGCCTGTAATTCCAGCTATTTGGGAGGCTGAGGCACAAGAATCGCTTGAACCCCAGGATGCAAAGGCTACAGTGAGCCGAGATCGTACCATTGCACTCCAGCCTAGGTGACCAGCGTGAAACTCCCCATCTCTAAGAAAATATAAAAGAAAAAGAAAAAAGAAAATACAGCCTCAAGACCAGCCTTCCAGCCTCTTTTTCCAAATAAACTGTTTTCCCTATGACCCTCCTACATAGAATTTCTGACACCCAAACAGCTTAACCCTTACCTGTACTTGTGTAGAAAATTACCTAGATGCACCAGTAGCTCCCAGAGCACCACCAAGGCGAGCCATCCCAGGGTCGCGGAGCAGAAAGACACACAGTCCAAAAGGTTAACAAGCTTAGGATAGGATGCAAGTGGGACAGAAGGAGCACACTGTCTGGATCCAGATCACGCAAAGTTTACATGTCTTATCCCTTTCTCAGCTATATCAGCCTCATGGTAGCACGGATGTAAGGACCAGCATGGAAGTTCCAGTAGAGGGACCCAAGAAATGGCCGCACCTGGAGCCGACACATCCCCTCCTCCACCAGAAGACACAGAGCACGCACACGTGCCCACCGCTGCAGCTGGCTGGTCAGCCCACTGAGCAGCACTGGGCTTATCTCCCTTTTCTTGGGCAGAGTGCATATGGGGCCAGAATGGGACCACACTGGGTCTCACCAATGTGTGGTTGACTTAGGCATGACATGACACAGCTGTCAGCTTATAAGGTGCAGAGTGATTTTCTATCTTTGAGGAACATTGCTGTCTGTTCCATTATACTGTTTATTCCATTTATCTTAATATGGCTTACAGATCACCAATTTACTTATTAACTATACTGAACATATGCTTTTAGTTTTGTGTACATTATCCAACTTGCTTCCTTACAGGGAGAACAAAGCACCTTAATATTGTCCTGAAATCACCCCAGGTGGGAAAGTCAGCCACAGCTTCTGCAAAGGAATCGTGGAACACTATCAGATGTGCAAGTAAGGGCTAGCACATACGTAACCAGATTTAGATATTACTCTTACATAGACATTTATTGCAGTGAGGAATATATATTTGGAGGCGTCTGTTTCCACAATGCTATATATTTTTGAAAAGTGCTACTGTCACAATAACTCATGCACTATTATTCTACTGTGTCTTTATAATGCTGGAAGAAGAGGGGCCAGGATTGTGCTAGTCATCACGCCCCTTGCAACCCGTCTTGCTCCTGCAGTCCTCTGCCTTTCTTTTGGCATGTGCACTTCTTGTTCCTGCCATATGAGTCTGTTAGAATACGAACATAAATTATTTTGAGCAGATGTGAACTAATGTTACCCTACTTGAAGAAAAGAAAGGAAAAACCTGCCGGACAACTCTGTTGTCACCTAAAAGAAAAGCACTGATGAGCTCCAAATAGATGGAAAGTCGATTCCTACAGTTGCCCTGTTTTGCCACGCGGTGGCGCTGATGCACCAGGAAGACACCACGGCTCTGGAGCGAGCAGCTGCTCTGCTGGCTTGGATCTGTCCCAGAAACGTCTGAGGGAGGTGGTGACCCTGAGAAGGGAAATGGACAAGATGATGAGCCAGAGAAAATGGATGAAAGGTAAGAACATGGAGACAGTGTAAGGCAGACGTTAAGAACGTTGACTTTGGAGCCGGGCGCCGTGGCGCACACCTGTAATCTCCGCACTCGGGAGGATCGCTTGAGCCTATGGGAATTCGAGACCAGCCTGGGCAATATAGTAAGACCTCCCAACTCCTCCAACCCCCACCCCGCAAAAACGGAATGTTGACTCTGGGATCCACTACGTTGCTTTCCAATCCCAGCTCTGCCACTCAGGCACCTCAGTTCGCACTTTCTTACTGAGAAAGTCAGAGGGACTGGCTAAGGGCAGACCATTTGGTGGGAAACAAGTGGGGATACGGTTTGGATGTGCGACCCCGCCCAAATCTCCTGTCGAATTGTAATCCCCAGCGTTGGAGGTGGGGCCTGGTGGGAGGTGATTGGATGGATCGCGGGAGGAGGGGTGGGTCTCTCATGAATGGTTTGGCGCCATCCCCTTGGTGCTGTCCTGGCGATCGTGAGTTCTCCTGAGACCTGGTTGTTTAAAAGTGTGTGGCATCTCCACTCTCTCCTTTTGCTCCTGCTTTGGCCATGTAAGGCGCCTGCTCTCCCTTCACCTTCCAACATGATTGGAAGCTTCCTGGAGCCTCCCCGGAAGCAGATCCCAGTATAATGCTTCCTGCACAGCCTGCAGAACCAGGAGCCAATTGAGCCTCTTTTCTTTATAAGTGACCCAGTCTCAGGCATTTCTTTATAGCAATGCGAGGAGGGGCTGATGCAAGTGGAATTACCCTGCTGAGGACAGGCACACACTAAGCACATAGTACTCATCTAAGGGCCTAGAACACAATAGAAACTCGAGAATATATCATGTTGGTGGAGGGGGAAGATGCAGTGACTTTGTATTTACAAACGGTCTTTTAGCTTAATTCTCTCTACTATTTCTCACTTTGTGGAAAAAGGAAATGAAAAATCCACTGAACTGATTTATCCACAGCAGGTACATAAAGCCACTAAAACTGACCCCCTGTTTACTCCTTCTCTTCCACCCACCCCAGCAACTTCCATTTGTCAGCAACACTGCTGGATAAAGTATTGCCAGGAGGAGGTACTAATTCACCAGAAACAGCCCACAGTTGCTGAAGACTGAGTTTTTGCTCCCCTCTCCCTAAGCAACCTGACACCAATTAATCTTTTATTAAAGAAAATTGAGGCCGGGTGCAGTGGCTCACGCCTGTAATCCCAGCCCTTTAGGAGGCCAAGCGGGCAGATCACCTGAGGTCAGGAGTTTGAGACCAGCCTGGCCAACACGGTGAAACCCAATCTCTATTAAAAATACAAAAATTAGCCGGGTGTGGTGTCACACACCTGTAGTCCCAGCTACTCAGGAGGCTGAGGCAGGAGAATCCCTTGAAACTAGGAGGCAGAGGTTGCAGTGAGCCAAGATCATGCCATTGCACTCCAGCCTGGGTGACAAGAGCAAAACTTCATCTCAAACAAAAAAAGAAAAAGAAGATTGAGAGTTGCTTGACAGCAGTTGACCAACTTGGCATCATTCTGTTGTCAGTTATCAGTCTAATGACTAATTTTTTGGTGAAAAGGAGGAGAAAAAGCGGGTGGGGGGGAAGTTCATGAGTCTAATCCACAATGACACTGGCTTCTTTTTTTGAATGTATATAAAAGCAAAGAAGCAATTAGCTTCACATAATGGATCATTTATAGATCATTTTTACATTTCGAAATTATTTTTAAAATATTTTCAGTGGCCAGGCGCAGTGGCTCATGCCCGTAATCCCGGCACTTTGCGGGGCTGAGGCGGGCAGATTATTTGAGGTCAGGAGTTTGAGACCAGCTGGCCAACATGGTGAAACCCTGCCTCTAACACAAGTACAAAAATTAGGTGGGCGTGGTGGTCCATGCTTGTAATCCCAGCTACTTGGGAGGCTGAGGTGGGAGGATGGCGTGAACCTGGGAAGCAGAGGATTATATATATATTTTTTCAGTTACCATTAACAATTGAGTGGTGCTGTAGGCTGTAATCATAACAAAACAGAGACTCATAGGGAAAATGAATCTTAGCTATAATTTGGCTGACATTCTGATATATCATTCATTTTGAATGAAAGCTAGGGTTTAGGCAAGATATGTTTCCTCCAAAATAAATAGGTAACAATTTTTATTCATTTATTATTGTATTTTAATTTGTTTTGTTTTTTGAGACAGAGTCTTGCTCTGTTGCTCAGGCTGGAGTGTAGTGCCGTGACCTCGGCTCACTGCAAACTTCATCTCCTGGGTTCAAGTGATTCTCCTGCCTCAGCCTCCCGAGTATCTGGGATTACAAGCATGCACCTCCACACCCAGCTAATTTTTGCATTTTTAGTAGAGACAGTGTTTCACCATGTTGGCCAGACTGGCCTCAAACTCCTGACCTGAAGTGATCCACCCGCCTTGGCCTCCCAAAGTGCTGGGATTACAGGCATGAGCCACCTGCCCGTCCCTAGGTAACAATTTTTATATTTCCAGTTGCTTATTTTCTCAGTTGTAAATACTGCAGTGCCTACTAGAGTGCTTGATACATTCTTCTCTGTGTGGTAGAGGCAATAGAAAAATGGTACTCAATGACAGTAGTTTATGTAGGAAAAATAATAATCTTATCTCCCCCTCCTACAACTCAACATCACCTCCAAAATTACTGAAGGAAACTGAAATATTTCACCCCAAAATAGATTTCCTTGACATGGTACAACATGGCTATTCAGAAGGTCTGGAAATAAAGGAAAAGCTGCAAAGCTACCCTTTGTTGGGGAGATTTGCACCTGTAGAGAAAATCCACACGGGTGCAACCAGGCTTTCCCTGAGGCCTTCCATTGTCCAATCTGGGAAAGATGAACTGAGAGTCCGACACCTTTAAACATCTGAAAAGAACATTCACCATCTCTTCTCTCTGAGAGCTGCTACCTGTGAGATTTCATCTACATAACAAGATGACCTTTGTAAGCCAAGCCCCCTCTTCTCTCCTTCCCATAACCTGTCTGGTCTTGCTCCAAGCCCTCGTTTTTTCTGAAACCTCAAGATGGTTACAGAAAAGCATCAACCAGGCTGGGCAA
This sequence comes from Homo sapiens, assembly GCF_000001405.40. Lineage (NCBI taxonomy): Eukaryota > Metazoa > Chordata > Mammalia > Primates > Hominidae > Homo > Homo sapiens. The sequence continues at coordinate 95,401,256 of NC_000013.11, read as the reverse complement.
GGTGGGACCATAATCCCAGCACTTTGGAAGGCCAAGGTGGGAGGATTGCTTGAAGCCAGGAGTTTGAGACCAGCCTGGGCAACAAAGTAAGACTCCGTCTCTACAAAAAAAAAAAAAAATATATATATATATATATGTATACATATATACATATATATATGTATATATGTATACATATATATATCACACATATATACACATATATATGTATATATATATGCAACATGACAAAACCCCATCTCTACTAAAAATATAAAAATTAGCCCAGTGTGCTGGTGCATGCCTGTAGTCCCAGCTACTTGGGAGGCTGAAGTGGGAGGATTTCTTGAGCCCGGAGGTTGAGGCTGCAATGAGCCATGGTCAAGCCACTGCACTCCAGCCTGGGTGACAGAGTGAGACCCTGTCTCAGAAACAAACAAACAAACAAAAAATTAGCCAGATGTGATGGTGTGCACCTGTGGTCCCAGCTATTCAAGAGGCTGAGGTGGGAGGATCGCTTGAGCACAGGAGTTCAAAGATCCAGTGAGCTATGATCGCACCACTGCACTTCAGCCTGGGTGATGGAGTGAGACTCCATCTCTAAAAAAATAGCTATTAAATTAAAAAAAAAACTTTTAAAAAAGAAGCATCAGCCATCCAGCCATGTATCTGAGGTCTTACGACTCCCATGCATATTAATGAATTTGTATGCCTTCTCTGTTCTTAACCTGCTTTTTGTCAGTTGACTTTTCCATGAGCCTTCAGAGGGTGAAGGGGAAGCTTGCCCTTGGCCCCTAAAGTACTGTGGGTTTTGTCTGAGAATTACCCAGAGGTCAGGGCACAGGTGGACACAGGGAACTCCATGCTGTATCCCCTGTGGTCTGAGGTCTACCTGAAGCTGGATGCCAAGGCCCTTGCCAGGGTAGGGGTGGGCTCCCCAAGATCACCAAGGAAAAGCCCAGAACTACTTCCTTTCCTTTCCAGTCCAACACACCCAGAATTCTCCCTCTTAAAGACTTGGTTCAGGCCAGGTGCGGTGGCTCACACCTATAATCCCAGCACTTTGGGAGACGGAGGCAGGTGGATCACTTGAGGTCAGAAGTTCAAGACCAGCGTGGCCAACATGGTGAAACCCCATCTCTACTAAAAATACAAAAATTAGCCGGGTGTGGTGGCAGGCGCCTGTAATCCTAGCTACTCTGGAGGCTGAGGCATAAGAATTGCTTGAATCCAGGAGGTGGAGTTTGCAGTCAGCTGAGATCGTGCCACTGCACTCCAGCCTGAGTGACAAAGTGAGGCTCCGTCTCAAAAAAAAAAAAAAGACTTGGTTCAAATGGAAGCTATGCCTATAGTACACAGCTGTATGTATCTGTGTGTAGGTGTCTTCAAAGTACGTTTTTTTTTAATTAAAAAAAAGTTTTTGAGACAGGATTTCACTCTGTTCCTCAGGCTGCGAGTGCAGTGGCACGATCACAACTCACTGCAGCCTTGACCTCCTGAGCTCAGCAATCCTCCCACCTCGGCCTTCTGAGGAGCTGGAACTACAGGCACACACCACCATGCCCAGCTAATATTTTCATTTTTCATAAATATAGGGTCTCACTATGTTGCCCAGGCTGGCCTTGAACTCCTGGGCTCAAGCGATCCTCCCACCTGGGCCTCCCAAAGTATTGGGAACATAAGTTACCAAGTTAGTTCCTTTAAAAATATTTTTTGAGTCACTGTGCCTGGCCCAAAATATGTTTTTAAAGGAGCTAACTTGGGCTGGGCGCGGTGGCTCACACCTGTAATCCTACCACTTTGGGAGGTCAAGGTGGGCAGATCACTTGAGGTCAGGAGTTCGAGACCAGCCTGGCCAACATGGTAAAAACCCATCTTTACTAAATATACAAAAATTAGCCCGGCATGGTGGTGCACGCCTGTAATCCCAGCTACTCAGGAGGCAGAGGCAGGAGAATCACTTGAACCCAGGAGGCAGAGGTTGCAGTGAGCCAGGATGGTGCCACTGCACTCCAGCCTGGGCAACAGAGAGAGAATGTGTCTCAAAAATAAAAAATAAATAAAATAAAGGAGCTAACTTGGTAGCTTAACCAGAAATTATTGAGCAAAGCACAACTTTATTTAATCCTTTGTTCAAATCACAAATTCAAAATAGTGATATTATTGTAAGCTCTTCAAATTTGGACGAGAGCAAACCTCTTGGGGATTTCGACATCCTTTCTCACTAATAGTTAAACAAGACCTTTTTTTTTTTTTTTGAGATGGACTTTTGTTCTGTCACCCAGGTTAGAGTGCAGTAGCACAATCTCTGCTCACTGCAGCCTCTGCCTCCTGGGTTCAAGCGATTCTCCTGTCTCAGCCTCCTGAGTAGTTGGGACTACAGGCATGTGACACCACACCCAGCTAATTTTTGTATTTTTAGTAGAGACAGGGTTTCACCATGTTGGCCAGGCTGGTCTCGAACTCCTGACCTCAGGTGATCCACCTGCCTAGGCCTCCCAAAGTGTTGGGATTACAGTTGTGAGCCACCATGCCCAGCCACAAGTCCTTTTTCTTTAACTTGTATTTTAGGTTTGGGGTACATGTGAAGATTTGTTGTATAAGCGAACTGGTGTCATGGGGGTTTGTTGTACAGATTATTAAGTCTCTTTTAGGAGGCTGTTGTAGTTCTGTAGGTGAAAGATGATGGCAGCCCAGGACATGTGGTGGCAATAGAGAGAGGCAGAGTTAAGACAGTTTGAGGCTGAATTTAATTTAAAATGTTTCCATTAAAAAGATAGAAGCTGGGTGCAGTAGCTTACACCTGTAATCCCAGCACTTTGGGAGGCCGAGGTGGGTGGATCACCAGGGCAACTTGGTTAGCTAGGTGTGGTGGTGGGCGCCTGTAATCCCAGCTACTCAGGAGGCTGAGGCAGGAGAATCACTTGAACCTGGGAGGCGGAGGTTGCAGTGAGCTGAGATTGCACCATTGCACTCTAGCCTGGGTGACAGAGTGAGACTCCGTCTCAAAAAAGAAAGAAAGAAAGAAACTTAAGAAAGAAACAGACGTAAGGCAGTGACCAAAGAGGGTTGTACATTTAAAAGAGTTTGTTTCTGTTTTAAGACAAGAAAAACTTCTCCATGTTTGTGTGCTCATGGGTATGATTCAGGAAAAGGGAAGAATGTGATGATGCAGAAGAGAGATTGGGGAAAATGGAAAAAAAGCCAAACTATTTTTTTTTTTTTTTGAGACAGAGTCTCGCTCTGTTGCCCAGGCTGGGAGTGCAATGGCGTGATCTCGGCTCACTGCAACCTCTGCCAACTGAATTCAAGCGATTCTCCTGTCTCAGTCTCCCTAGTAGTTGGGATTACAGGCATCTGCTACCATGTCTGGCTAATTTTTTGTACTTTTAGTAGAGATGGGATTTCGCCATATTGGCCAGACTGGTCTCGAACTCCTGACCTCAAGTGATCCGCCTGCCTCAGCCTCCCAAAGTGCTGAGATTACAGGCTTGAGCCACCGCATTTGGCCTTTCTTTCTTTCTTTTTTAGAAAAAGCCAAACTCTGAACAGGCGAGAAGGAGTGGGATTCCTATTGGGAGCTTTTGTGGAGGCAATGGGCCTTTGTCAGGGAATATGGGGAGGGGCTGTGGCAAACTCACCTGAGCCAGTTGGTTATGCACAATCTTGGTTGAAAGAAATTACACCAGGTCAGGGCTAGCCAATCGCCCACCACCCCCACACACAAAGGCAGAATGAAAGCAAGCCTCTGATAGAGACATTTGTTAGACAGTCACTAGCCAAGCAGGTACAAAGCAGCTCACGCCACCAGCTTTGCAAACTCAGTCAACTCCCGGCTCCCTGGCCCTGTAGGATTAGGAAGCTGCATTTTTGTCCATGTTCCTTGCTACTGGCCCATCAACTCCAGGCTTGGGTGTGGTTTGCTTTGGCCAGTGAAGTGTGAGTGGAAGTGATATGTGTCACTTCCAAATGGAGGCTTTAAAGTCCTTCTCTTGGTTCCACCATCATCCTCGCCCTCAGCCTTGAGACCAGCATTTCCCAGAGAGGGACTGCTCACTCAGCCTTGGATGTAGAATGAAGAGGACACAGAGCAGGGCCTTGGTGGACCTGCAGTCAACATGCAATAAACTTTGGTTGTTGTAAGCCACCTTGAATTGGAGGACTGTTTATTACCACAGCGTAAGCTAGCTAAGGCTGACTGATACATAGGAATTCCAAACTGTATATTCCAACTCCATGAAGGATTCACTTGAACAACTTTCTGCAGGCAACATTCTGTGCCTTCTATTTGGTATCATGAAATCAGAAAGCCCCCTGATCCATTGGCTGGACACAGGAATGTCTCCTCTTGCAATGGGACTTTTTACAGGAGCCCCATCTGTAATAGCTTTAGGCTGAAGTTTTCAGTGGATGCTTTTACTGTATTCATGTAAGGCATATAGGTGTGAGTGTCAGGGGTCTTTTTTAGCTGTTTTACTTGGTCCACACATCTTGTATACCTTAACGTCCCCCAAAAAGCAGCCCTTTCTAACATCTATCACCCTAATTAACAAGCCAATAGCTTTGCCAACAAAATCCCTCTTCTTGACATCTAATACATTAGTGAAGGGTCAGCTCTGGACTAAGATAGGGACAATATAACAATTTGTTGTAGTCACCTTGGAGTATGGCCCTCTCAAATATAATTCTGGACGTGCTGCACTGGGCCTTTTTTGCTTAGGAGCTCTGTAACCCTTTATCAGCAACAAAAATAAACAGTATCTATTGGTTGGGAGCGGTGGCTCATGCCTATAATCCCAGCACTTTGGGAGACTGAGTGTTGCTTGAGCCCAGGAGTTTGAGACCAGCCTGAGCAACACAGCAAGACCTGTCTCTACATTAAAAATAAAAATAAAAAATAAGGTATCTGTTGTACAACATGAGTAATAGTTGACAACACCAAAAATGTATTATATGTTGACACAGATAATTTTATTTTATTTATTTATTTATTTTGAGACAGAGTCTCACTCTGTTGCCCAGGCTGGAGTGCAGTGGCACAATCTCAGCTCACTGCAACCTCCAACTCCCGGATTCAAGCAATTCTCCCTGCCTCAGCCTCCCAAGTAGCTGCGATTACAGGCACCCGCCACCACACCCAGCTAATTTTTTATTTTTAGTAGAGACGGAGTTTTGCCATGTTGGTGAGGCTGGTCTGGAACCCCTGACCTCAGGTGATCCGCCCACCTTGGCCTCCCAAAGTGCTGGGATTACAGGCATGAGCCACCATGCCCGGCCGACGCAGATCATTTTAAAATGCCATTTCTTTATTAACATATCTGTCCCAGCTGGGCCTTTACGTCCATCATTTTTTAAATGGAAATATTTTGATGCTAGTCTTCCTTTCCACTACCCTAAACAAACGTGGCATTTTTCTAATGAGTAGCCATTAAAAAAGGACTACATCTCGAAAAAAGAATATTTCCATTAGTTTGAGGCTTCAGCATCCTCCAGGAGCAGCACCGATGCCTCTGTGAGGTTCAGGCTGGGAGTCATCTTGGTGTGGGGTGGTGCGGGTGGCATCCCAGAAAGATCAGTGCCTCTATGGACCTGTTCCAACCACATGGCTCACAGAACTGTCTTGCCATTTTCCACACACACTTGATAGGCATCATTCAAAAAGGAGAAGCTCATGTTGGGGCTCAAAAACCAATACCCCAAAATAGGATGCTTTGTACATGCTGAACTGAAAATAGGGTGCTTTGTACATGCTGAACTGAAAAAAAAACTTCAAGATCTCTCTGTCCTCTCCCCCAACCCTCCTCCATCTCTCCCAAAGCATTGGACGGAGTTGTTCTCTAGAGTTCCCTTATTTGCCTAAATTCTGGACCTAACAAAGAAGAAAACAATTAACTCTAGTCCCTTCCGTGAAGTTTTTCCCCCAGAAGCATTCTGGTTTTCCTTTCCTTTCCTTTCCTTTCCTTTCCTTTCCTTTCCTTTCCTTTCCTTTCCTTTCCTTTCCTTTCCTTTCCTTTCCTTTCTCTCTCTCTCTCTCTCTCTTTCTTTCTTTCTTTCTTTCTTTCTTTCTTTCTTTCTTTCTTTCTTTCTGTCTTTCTTTCTTTCTTTTTTGAGATGGAGTCTCACTCTGTCACTCAGGCTGGAGTGCAGTGGTGCAAATGTGGCTCACTGCAGCCTCAACCTTCCAAGCCCAGCAATCCTCCATGTCAGCCTCCCAAATAACTGAGGCCACAGGTTCACACCATCAAACCCAGCTAAGTTTTTAAGTTTTTTTGTAGAGACATTGTCTTGCCACATTACCCAGGCTGGTCTAAAACTCCTGGGCTCAAGCGATCCTCCCATCTAAGTGTCTCAAAGTGTTGGGATAATAGGTGTGAGCCACCACACCAGGCTGCTTCCCTCGATTTTCATTAACTGAACCCATAGAACAGGAATGAAGATTAAAGTCTGTCAACAAACCTGGATGGACTCTTGTCACCAACCATTATCCACTCTATGGGCCCAACAGACTTTTCCCAGACCACCGTATACTCTTGCAGCCCGCCAAATCCTCCCTAGGAATCATGCATTGCCCTGCAACAGAACTCCCCTTCTCCTGCTCCCATAACCTGTTTTGCCAGGACTCAAACCCCCGTTTTTTTTGTAACCTCAAGATGGTATCTAAACTTCTAGACTCCAAGGGGGAGTTGGGTCTTCATTCTAAAGGCTCCTATGCCACATAAAACTGTGATCAAATAAATTTATATGCCTTTTATCCAATAGACCCGGCTTTTGTGAGTTGATTTTTCAGCAAAGCTTCCAAGGGTGAAGGGCAAGCTTTCCCTTCACCGCTGCATTCATATTCACTCCACTCTTCTGGAGCTCCGTGACAGCATGTAATAACATCCACTGTAATGGCCTCCATAAGTTATATTATGGGATTCCTTGAAGTAATTGCTCAAAGATATGGAGCCCAATTTTTCCCTAATACCAATACTTATTTTACTTAGATGTCCAGTGGGTCCACAACTCTCCCCCTGGGTTTCATTTTAATAGCTCTGCTGGAACTTTTGAGCCCAATGGTAAATGTCAGAAGAGCCTCAGAGAGATTATTAGGATCTCTAGGTATTAACTGAAAAGTTTTGCCAGATTCTGTTCTGTTGGTTCACACTGAGCTCCACCTAGTTCAGGAATAACAATAAATTCATTTTTGTGGTTTTCCACAGCTTTAGCTGAGTAAGAAAATGTACTTCATTGGTGTCTTCAGCTTTGTAATGGGTTAATTTGTGTCCTCCCAAAAGACACATCAAGTTCCTAGCCCCCAGTACTTCAAATGTGACCTTATCTGGAAATAGGGTCATTGCATATGTAATTAGGTAAAATGAGGTTATACTAGTGATATAGTTTGGGTCTGTGCATCTGCCCGAATCTCATATTGAAATGTAATTCCTGGTCGGGCACAGTGGCTCACACTTGTAATCCCAGCACTTTGAGAGGCTGAGGTGGGAGGCTCACGAGGTCAAGAGTCCAAGACCAGCCTGGCCAATATGGTGAAACCCCATCTCTAATAATAATACAAAAATTAGCCGGGTGTGGTGGCATGTGCCTGTAGTCCCAGCTACTTGGGAGGCTGAGGCAGGAGAATTGCTTCAACCCAGGAGGTGGAGGTTGCAGTGAGCTGAGATTGTACCACTGCACTCCAGCCTAGGCAACAGGGCAAGACTCCATCTCAAAAAAAAAAAAAAAAAGTAATTCCCAATGTTGGAGGTAGGGCCTGGTGGGAGGTAATTGGATCATGGGGGCAGGTTTCTCATGAATGATTTAGCTCCACCCCCCTTGGTACTGTCCTTGGCCATAATGATTGAGTTCTTGTGAGATCTGGTTGTTTAAATGTGTGTAGCTCTTACCTCGCGCTCTTGCTCCTGCTCTGGCCATGTGACTGGCCGGCTCCCACTTTGCCTTCCACCAGGACTGTAAGTTTCCTGAGGCCTCCCAGGAAGATAAGCAGATACTAGCACCACACTTCCTGTACAGCCTGCAGAACAGTGAGCCAATTAAACTTCTTTTCTTTATAAGTTATCCAGTCCCAGACCAGGCACAGTGGCTCATGCCTGTAATCCCAGCAGTTTGGGAGGCTGAGGCGGGCAAATCACTTGAAATCAGGAGTTTGAAACCAGCCTGGCCAACTTGGCAAAACCCCATCTCTACTAAAAATACAAAAATTAGCCAGGCATGGTGGTGCATGCCTGTAATTCCAGCTACTCAGGAGTCTGAGACACGAGAATCACTTGAACCTGGGAGGTGGAGATGGCAGTGAGCCCTGATTGCACCACTGCACTCCAGCCTGGGCAACAGAGCAAGATTCTGTCTCAAAAAAAAAAAAAGTAAGTAAATAAATAAATTACCCAGTCTCAGGTATTTCTTTATAGCGATGTGAGAACAGACTAATGCAACTGGAGTAGGGAGGTGCCTAATCCAGTATGCTTGGTATCCCTATAAGAGGGAACTTTGGACCTAGATACACACAGGGAAGATGATACAATGGAACAGGAAGAAGATGCCCAAGTGAAGATGAAAGCAGAGACTGGAATGAGGCATCTACAATCTAAGAAACAGAGAGATGCTAGAAACCAGGAGACGCAAGGACCTCCCCTGTAGATTTTAGAGAAAGTGTCGTCCTGCTGACACCTTGAGCTCAGGCTTTTAGCCCCCAGAAATGGGAGATAATTCTCTGTTGTTTCTTTTGTTTGAGACAGTGCCTTGCTCTGATACTCAGGCTGGAGTGCAGTGGCCTGGTCTCAGCTCATTGCAACCTCCACCTCCCAGGCTCAAGCAATCCTGACACCTCAGCCTCCCAAGTAGATGGGACTACAGGTAAATGCCACCACACCTGGCTAGTTTTTATTTGTATTTTTTGTAGAGACAGGGTTTTGCCATGTTACCCAGGCTGGTCTCTGTTGTTTTAAGCCATCCAAGTGTTTGGTATTTTCCTACAGCAGCCACAGGAAAAGGATACAACCTTCATTGATCTGCAGAGACATGGGTCTATGCCTTCCGTGGTTGACCTAAACCATGATCAGTAGGAAGGCCATACAGAGCAACACATGGAGGGAGTGGGGGTAAGGGAGGGAGTGAAGATGGGAAGGCCAAGAATAAAAATTCTCCAGGTGATGGATGGATCCACTCCAATGTGAACATCAGCAGCACAGGAGTCTGATGACTCCAGCAGGGTTTGGAGGTCCTGAGGCTATGCCAGCTTCTGGGGACCAGGTGGTGTGTGTCTTGGTGCCTGCATGCCTCCCTCTCTCCACCACATCCCGTCAGCGCTCCTCATGCCCACCACAACCAGGTCTGGGCCCCTTGACTGTGCAAGATGGCATGTTACTAACCACACTTAGAATGAAGTTTAAGCTGACAGGCACATGCATAACATCACATTGATCATATGGGAGTTTTACAATGTGAATTGCAGACATCAGGATAAGGGAGGAAGGGGATGGGGGTGCATGTGAAGGCTTGAGGAGAGAAGAAAAGGCCTGAGAGAATTACTTTAGGGAGTGGGAGAGTGAACTTATTAGTGAAGCATTGTACAATTTCTGGCTACTTAAAGCCCATGTAAAGTTTATGACTGTGTTTCTAAATAAGATCAGTCTGCCCAGATGGGTGAATTTTTCATTAAAGTTCATCTGCAGGCGTGGACACAGTGGAGTTGCTGTTACGTAGAATTGGGTTTTTCTTCCAGAGGGAAAGAGAGGAAGTTGAGAGTGTTTGCCAGGGAGTGATTATAACTCTGGGTTGCAAAATCCTGGCTGGACACTGTAGAATGAGATGATGGATTAATGAAGAGACATCTCAATGAGGCCCAAGAATTGTCCCTGTGGGTACCCAGGCACAGTAGCTCATGCCTGTAATCCCAGCACTTTGGGAGGCTGAGGTGGGTGGATCACAAGGTCAAGAGATCGAGACCATCCTGGCCAACATGGTGAAACCCCATCTCTACTAAAAATACAAAAATTAGCTGGGCGTGGTGGCGAGTGCCTGTAGTCCCAGCTACTCAGGAGGCTGAGGCAGGAGAATTGCTTGTACCTGGAAGGCAGAGGTTGCAGTGAGCTGAGATTGTGCCATTGCACTCCAGCCTGGCAACAGAGCGAGACTCCATCTCAAAAAATAAAATGAAATAAAAAAATTAAAAAGAATTGTTCTTGTAGGTATCCTGGAGCAAATAAATTGGAAGGATAGGAGATGGGATGGAGAAGGAAATGTCTGACTTTGAGATTTCTGAGGTGGCACACTTTCTGGTGATGACAAGATCCAGGGTTTGGCAATGGCATTGGGTGGCTGAGATAGATGGAGTGACAGAAAAGGTTGCTATTGATGAGATGGCTAAGGAAAGGTGGGGCTGGCATGTAAATAGTAGCAGAAATTGGGGCAGAAAGGCAGTCAGGAGTGTACTTTTCAGTGATCGGGGACAGTGTCTGGGAAGCTGCTTGATACAGAAGGCGGAAGGGGAGAGGAGGGTGTAGTTGATGATCTGAGCATTAGGAGAGCTGGGATCATTTTGCAATAAGGAAAGGGAGAGGCCAGGCATGGTGGCTTACCTCTGTAATCCCAACATTTTGGGAGGCCAAGGAGAGATTTCTTGAGCCCATTAGTTCGAGACTAGCCTGGGCAACATAATAAGACCCCGTCTACAGAAAAAAAAAAAAAGAGCTGGGCATTGTGGCATATTATACCAACCCCCTGACTTTTTTCTGAGCTTTTTCCTTTTTCCACATTTACATATCCACACTAACAGGTTATATGGTATCCATGTAAGAAAAGGGAAATTTGAACCCAACACACACGGACAGAAGGTGATGCAATGAAACAGGAAGAAAATGCCCATGTGAAGATGAAGGCAGAGAGGAGGCACATGCCTGTAGTCCCAGCTACTTGGGAGGCTGAGGTGGGAGGATCGCTTGAGCCTGGGAGGTCGAGGCTGGAGTGAGCCATGATCACATCACTGCACTCCAGCCTGGGTGACACAGTAAGACCTTGTCTCAATAAATAAATACATAAAAATTTTAAAAGAGAGAAAGGTCTGCAAGGCTGGGAGGAAGGGCGCTGAGCCCATCTTGGGACCTGAGATGAGTGATGTGTATAAAAATGAAAGATAATCTCTTGAGATGATTATGAAGGAACTAGCTGTTCTGGAAATGAGGTGAGGGCTCTATGGGACAAAAGGTGGGAATGTATAGAAATTTGCTGGACACAGAGCAGGTATTCCAGGAACTCAGTGGATGGGTTGAAGAGTGATGAGGATGGGAACTGGATGACATCAGAGGATGAATGGAGCAGTTTGGGGACAACACTTGTTTGTCCTAAGAGACACCAGGATGTGAGTCCTGACTTATTTGTAGCCCAGTTTCTCAAAAGATTTTTCTAGAGTCATGATGGCACCAAGGGATGGGGATTCTGCTCTTCAGGTTGCTTGGAGGTAAGGCAGGTGATCAGGAAGACCTCTGACTCCGAATTTTCTGGGGACATGGTGGTCAGCGTCCCTTCCTGTCACCCCCAGTTCTGCTTTGCTGCTCCCTCCCTCCCATTCCTGCCCCTCCACTGTGCATTTTCCAATTTTTCCTACCTGCTTTCTTTTTCTAGCTGGTCTCTCAAATATATCTTTTTATTTTCAGTTCTCTTGCTTCCTCTTCTTGATAAGAACAAATACAGTAACAGATTCATCTGTCGTTAGCATGGATGTATGATTGTGGAAAAAGGAAAAAGCTCAGAAAAAGTCAGGGGTGGGGTGAGAGAAAAATCGATGGAGAATATACAAGTGGCCACAAGCCTATGAGAAGATGCTCAACATCACTAATCATCGGGGAAATGCAAACTAAAACCACAGTGAGGCATCACGTCATGTCAGGATGGCCATTTTCAAAAGCATAGAAAATACCAAGTGTTGGCAAGTGTGTGGATAAATTGAAGCCCTTGGGCACTGTTCGTGGGAATGCAAAATGGTGCTGCCACTGTGGAAAACAATATGGAGGTTGCTCAAGTTAAACGTAGAATTACCACATGATCCAGCAATTCTACCTCTGAATATATTGCAACAACAGGATCTCAAAAAGATATTTGCACACCTTTGTTCACTGCAACAGCATTCACAATAGCCAAGAGGTGGAAGCAACTCAAATGTGCATTGATGGTTGAATGGATAATGAAAATGTGGTATGTTCATACAATGGAATAATATTCAGCTTTAGAAAAGAAAGAAATCCTGTCATAAGCTACAACATGGATGAAGCTTGAAGGCATTAAATGAAACAAGCCAATCACAAAAACATAAGTGCTGCATAAAGCCACTCACATGAGATGTATAAAGTAATTAAACTCAGAAACAGAAAAGTAGAGTGGCGGTCTCCAGGGGCCAGAGGGAGAGGAAAAAGGGAAGTTGTTCAATGGGCATAGAGTTTCAGTCATGCAAGATGAAGAAGTTCTAGAGATCTGTTTTACAACAGTATGCTTATAGTTAACAATACTGAAAACTTAAAATTGTTAAGAAGATAAATTTATATTGTGTTCTTTACTGCAATTCCAAAAAAGCAACAGAGGCTCATACTACAACACGGATGAAACTTGATGACATTATGTTAAGTGAAATAAGCCAGTCACAAAAGGACAGATACTGGATGATTCTACTCACATGAGGTACCTAAGAGTAATCAAATTCATAGAGACAGAAAGTAGAAGGGTGGTTGCCAGGGACTAGCAGAAAGGGATAATGGGGAGTTATTTATGCAGGGAAGGGGGAATGGGGAGTTAACAGGTACAGAGTTTCAGTTTGGGAAGATGAAAAAGTTCTGGAGAGGGATGCAGTGGTGGTTGCATAACACTATGAATATACTTAATGCCACTGAAACATAAGCTTAGAATGGTTAAAATGAAAAATTTTATTATGTATGTTTTACTATAATTTTTTTAAAGGAAAAACAAAACAAAACAAAACTGTGGAGGCCCTCCAGAAAGCCTAGATGAGACGATTTATAGATGGCAGAGAAAATACAAAATAGCAGGAAGAAGCGAGGTATAGGCACCACACTCTGCCCATCCCCATCACTTTCCATGTCTGGTAATTCCTTGTCTTGAGCTCATTCGGTTTGGAGCCAGAAAACCTTCTAGATTCCATGAGCACTAGCTTTCCCCCACCACCGCTCCCCCTGTGTTTTTTGTGTGCAGACGTCGTTTTTCTTCTCTTGCAGGAAAGCTTGCCAAACTAAAGAACAGGCAATTAAGAACTGGTGTTGTTAACAGATTATTTCTGTTTTCATTCATAATAACAGAGCTTCCAATTTCAATATGGAAACAACATCTTGATTTCTACAATAAATCCAAAACACAGAAAGAATGGAATTAATTGAAGATCTCCTTTGGCCTTTGCCCAAGTTGGCTGTGGGAGAGTTTGGCAGGGTACAGGAACATCTCTTGGAGAAATCAGCTGACACAAAAAAATCCATGCAGCAGAGCTCCCTAGGGAAGGAGATCAAATGAATTCAGAACTTGATTTAGGCCAGACCTGGTGGCTCATGCCTGTAATCCCAACACTTTGAGACACTGAGGAAGGAGGATCGCTTGAACCCAGGAGTTTAAGACCAATCTGGAAAACATAGCAAGACCCTGTCTCTATTAAATAAAGATAACAAAATAAAACATTTTTAAAAGAAAAAAAATATTGTGAACCTAGACTGGAATAAATATTATACACACACACACACACACACACACACACACACACACACACATATAGTAAAGTAGAGTGGTGGTTTCCAGGGGCCAGAGGGAGAGGCAAAAGGGAAGTTGTTCAATGGGTGTAGAGTTTCAGTCATGCAAGATGAAGAAGTTCTAGAGATCTGTTTTACAACAATGTGTTTATAGTTAACAATACTGAACACTTAAAATTGTTAAAAAGATAAATTTATATTGTGTTCTTCATTGCAATTCCAAAAAAGCAACAGAGGCTCATACTACAACAAGGATGAACCTTGATGACATTATGTTAAGTGAAATAAGCCAGTCACAAAAGGACAAATACTGGATGATTCTACTCACATGAGGTACCTAAGAGTAATCAAATTCATAGAGACAAAAAAATTATATATATATATATAATTGACATGAAGTGTCACTCTTGTTGCCCAGGCTGGAGTGCAATCATGCGATCTTGGCTCACTGCAACCTCTGCCTCCTGGTTCAAGTGATTCTCCTGCCTCAGCCTGCCAAGTAGCTGGGATTACAGGTGCCTACCATAATGCCCGGCTAATTTTTTGTATTTTTAGTAGAGATGGGGTTTTACCATTTTGGCCAGGCTGGTCTCGAACTTCTGGCCTCAAGTGATCCACCCACCTCAGCCTCCCAAAGTGCTGGGATTAAAGGTGTGAGCCACCATGCCTGACCAATAAAATACATTTTTAAAAAGGAAGAAAAATAAGAACTTGATGCAAGGATCACATGGGAACGTGCCAAAGACATTGCTAGTAGCTGCAGCAAAATGCCTCCCACACCGAGAATGGAGAAAAGAGACTCCTACAAACCTCACCAAGGGCTGTTCCTGACTTTGGGGAATGTATCCTACTCACCCATTTATGACCACCTTTTTCCTACAGAGATGTAAGCACCTGATGAGTTCTTCCTGCCCACTGCACAGACAGATCAACCCACTGAGACTGAGGCATTGCAGTAAAGAGTTTAATTGACATGAAGCCAGCACACATGTGAGAACTGGAGTTATTACTCAAATCTGTCTCTCCTCCCTCCCAGCGCCTACCAAAGGTTCAGGTGTTAGAGGTTCTTTTTTTTTTTTTTTTGAGATGGAGTCTCCCTCTGTCGCCCAGGCTGGAGTATAGTGGTACAATCTTGGCTCACTGCAAACTCTGCCTCCCGAGTTCAAGCAATTCTCCTGTCTCAGCCTCTCGAGTAGCTGAGATCACAGGCATGTGCCACCACACCCAGCTGATTTTTGTATTTTTAGTAGAGACGGGTTTTGCCATGTTGACCAGGCTGGTCTCAAACTCCTGACCATAAGTGATCCACCTGTCTTGGCCTCCCAAAGTGCTGGGATTACAGGCATGAGCCACCTCACCCAGCCTAGAGGTTCTTATAGACAATTTAGTGGGCAGAGGGCTAGGGAATGGGCACTGATGATTGGTTGGGGATGAAATCATAGGGGTGTAGGAAAGGGTCCTCATGTGCCAAGTCTACCTCTGGATGGGGCCAGTCACAAAAGGACAAATACTGGATGATTCTACTCACATGCTGAGTCATGACTCACAAGTCTGGGTGGGGTCAGTCTGAAAAACATCTCACAAAAACCCAATCTTAGGTTCTGCAATAATGAAGTTATTTATAGGAGAAATTGAGAAGGTCACCAATCTTGACCCTCTGGCCACATGCCCCTGGAACAGCAAAGGATTATAAAAAGTCCTCCTATCGTGTGACCTCTGGCCATGACCTGAGCAGTAAGGGCTTACAGAAACCACACTTATTTTAGGACCTCTTGTTAGTCTTACAAAGGTGGTTTCAGCCCTGAAAACAGGGAGAGGATTCATTTTAGAGTGGACTGTCATCATCCTTGTTTCAAAGTTAAACTATAAACTAAATTCCTCCCAAAGTTGGCTTAGCCTACACCCAGGAATGCCCAAAGACAGCCTGAAGGTCAGAAGCAAGATGGAGTCAACCATGTCAGATTTGCTCACTGTCATAATTTTGCAAGGGTGGTTTCAGAGATACAGCAAATTCCTCATTGCCTTCCCCAGAAGATCGAGGCTGAGGCCAGCAGAAGATCACCATGCCTCTGCAACCAGCCTCCTGATGTTTGAGTGGACTTATGCCTAAGAGTGGGAGACAATGATGGAGAGAGTTTGAATGAGAGCTCCCAAGCCTCCTAGCAGATCCTCCCCTGTCCACTTCTGCCATCATCTCCGCCCTTCTCTTCCCATCTGCCCTTGTATCCTGCCCGTGGGCTTCAAATGGATTCAGGACTTCTCCAGAGTTCTACCACAGACTCAAAATCATTCTGAAGTGAACTTATACGTGGTTTAAAAGTATGTTTCTTGATATTTGAGCAGCTTTACCCATAAGAGCAAGTGAAGGAGGGGAGGGGACAGAAATGGGATGAGGGTCAGAGGTATTGATTTGTTACTTCTCTCTGCTTTTAAATTGGGGTATGGGGCATGGAACATGATGCAAAAACAATCATCATAGCGTTTTTGCCAGAACCAGGCCCCCTAAAATTGTGACAGGTAGGAAAAGTTGCCATGACCACCCCTCCCAATGCTCTAGGCCTCCCTTAAAATTAGTTTTAATTGTTTGGTTTTAAATGTTGGATAGATGCCAGGCACGGTGACTCACACCTGTAATCCCAGCACTTTGGGAGACCGAGGAGGGTGGTTCAACTGAGGTCAGGAGTTCAAGACCAGCCTGACCAACATGGAGAAAACCCTGTCTGTACTAGAAATACAAAATTAGCCAGCGTGGTGGTGCACATCTGTAATCCCAGCTACTGAGGAGGCTGAGGCAGGAGAATCGCTTGAACCTGGGAGGTGGGGGTTGCGGTGAGCCGAGATTGCGCCATTGCGCTCCAGCCTGGACAACAAGAGCGAAACGCCATCTCAAAAAAAAAAAAAAAAAAAAAATTATGTCTTGGGCTGCTTTTGGTTAGAAGGGAAATTCCAGTGAGGACTCTGTTGCCCTCACTATCTGCCCAAATAATTTCTTTCTACCTCCGGCATAATTATGTTTATCATGATTTATTGTCATTTTAAATCTTATTTGACCTGGGAGCCCCTGCTTTTCTTCACTTCTGGAACATGCTCAATTTCTCTTCAAAAATTACCATTTTAGGTTGGGTGCGATGGCTCACATCTGTAATCCCAGCATTTTGGGAGTCCGAGGCGGGCAGATCACCTGAGGTCATGAGTTTGAGACCAGCCTGGCCAACATGGCAAAACCTTGTCACTAATAAAAATACAAAAATTAGCCAGGCATGGTAGCAGGTGCCTGTAATCCCAGCTACTTGAGAGGCTGAGACAGGAGAATTGCTTGAGCCTGGGAGGCAGAGGTTACAGTGAGCCAAGACCGTGCCACTGCACTCCAGCCTGGACAACAGAGTGAGATTCCATATCAATAATAATAATAATAAAATAAAAGTAAAAAATACATTGTAATATATAATGAAATAATTATACAACTTAACATTATGTAGAATCAGTGGGACCCCTGAGCTTGTTTTCTTGCAACTAGACAGTCCTATCTGGGGGTGATGGGAGACAGGGACAGATCATCAGGCATTAGATTCTCATAAGGAGGGGGCAACCCAGATCCCTCACAAGCACAGTTTGCAATAGGGTTCGTGCTCCTATGAGAATTTAATGCCCTGCTGATCTGATAGGAGGCGGAGCTCAGGCAGTAATGAGAGTGATAGGGAGCAGCTGTAAATACAGATGAAGGTTCGCTTGCTAGCTCACCACCCACCTCCTGCTGTGCAGCCCAGTTCCTAACTGGCCAGTGGCCCAGGGGCTGGGATGCCTGGTGTACAGAACTCCAGCCCCAACATGCTAGAGAGGGTAACAGAGAGAGAAAGGGTGGGTTTAGGGCTAAGAGATACTAGATTACTAATTTTCCCTTCTCCTTTGACTATGCCATACCCTTCTACTCATATTTGAATCCCAATTTGCATCCTATAATAGTTTTGTGCTTTTTAAAAAGTTGTAGTAAATTATACAGCACATAAAATTTGCCATTGTAACCATTTATTCTTTTTAGCGATGAGGTCTCGCTATGTTGCCCGGGCTGGTCTGGATCCTCCTACCTCAGCCTCCAGAGTAGCTGGAATTATAGGTGCACATCACCACGCCCAGCTCATCTTAACCATTCTTAAATGTTCATGTTAGTGGCATTAAGTACATTCACATTGTTATACAACCATCACCACCATCCATCTCCAGAACTTTTTTATTTTCCCCAACTGAAACTCTGTACCCATTAAACAATAACTCAGTCTGTCTCTAGTTTATGTTAATTATTTTCTAGTTCAGTCATCATCCCACTGGAATATTCTTTTGTTTTTTGTTTTGTTTTGTTTTGTTTTTAAGACAGAGTCTCACTCTGTCACCCAGGCTAGAGTACGGTGGCACAATCTTGGCCCACTGTAGCCTCTGCCTCCCGGGCTCAGCCAATCCTCCCACCTCATCCTCCCTGAGTAGCTGAGACTACAGGCATGTGACACCACGCCTGACTAATTTTTGTGTTTTTAGTAGAGATGGGGTTTCACCATATTGGCCAAGCTGGTTTCAAACTCTTGGACTCAAGTGATGCGGGCTCCTTGGCCTCCCAAAGTGCTGAGATTACAGGCATGACCCACAACGCCCAGCCTGGAATATTCTTTTACCTAAAGAATAGATTATAAACTTAAACTCCATCAATAATTCTTATATAAATAATAAGTGTATAACAAGCAAAGTAGAAAATATGCATAGCTGCTACAGTCCTCATTTTTGTAACTGAGCATAAGGCTTTAGTTGATATTTATAATTTTTTCAACTACCAATTTTGTCTTCTCTTTGACCACAGCAAGGAACACAGCTAGCTGGGATTCTTTACCTTATGGTGTGACATAAACCTTCATTCTTGATGAATCAGAATCCTAGTCACTCAGGCTTCATTGAGTTGATGCAATAATTCTTTTAACTGTTACTACTGGACTTGGAGGTATTAAGAATCATTCAGAGGGCAGGCACGGTGGCTCATGCCTGTAATCCCAGTACTTTGGGAGGCTGAGGCAGGTGGATCACCTGAGGTCAGGAGTTTGAGACCAGCCTGACCAAGACGGTGAAACCCTGTCTCTACTAAAAATACAAAAATTATCTGGGCATGGTGGCGCACACTTATAATCCCAGCTACTCAGGAGTCTAAAGCAGGAGAATCAC
The DNA here is from genome assembly GCF_000001405.40 of Homo sapiens. Taxonomy (NCBI): domain Eukaryota; kingdom Metazoa; phylum Chordata; class Mammalia; order Primates; family Hominidae; genus Homo; species Homo sapiens. The sequence continues at coordinate 95,382,339 of NC_000013.11, read as the reverse complement.
TTGAACCTGGGAGATGGAGGTTGCAGTGAGCCAAGATTGCTCAATTTTTTTTTGAGACTCTGTCTCAAAAAAAAAATCATTCAGAGAGGTTTTTGGACTTAGTCTTCCCTGCTCCACTATGTAGTAACAACTCTACGTCTTCTTGTAATTGGAATTAATTACTCCAGTCAGTAATTTGCCTCTTTCTTTGCATATTGGTTCAGTGACATAAAGAGTCCCAAATAGTTGGTTCACTTGGAACCAATAATGTGTCCCTTGGTGGAAGCATTCTTCTCTTGGAAATAAAGAATGACCCGTAAGGCCAGGCACAGTGGCCTTCACCTGTAATCCTAACACTTTGGGAGGTCAAGGCAGGAGGATTGCTTGAGTCCAGGAGTTTGAGACTAACGTAAGCAACATGGCGAGACCTTGTCTCTACAAAAAATTAAAAAATTAGCTGGGTATGATGATGTGTGCCTGTAGAGTCCCAGCTACTTGGGAGGCTGAGGTGGGAGGATCATCTGAGCCCAGAAATTTGAGTCTGTAGTGAGCCAAGATTGTGCCACTGCACTCCAGCCTGGGAGATAAAGTGAGACCTTGTCTCAAAAAAAGAAAAAAAAAGATGTAAAAAAACACAAAAATATTCAGGAGCAGGAAGCAAAACTTAGGACTACTAAATTTAACAGTGAGAGGAGCTATTCCAACTTGTACCACTTGATTCCTGGACCTGTATTCTGACTATGAGAGAAATATTATTTTGATTGCTGGTTCAAAGCACATGCCCCATCACATAGAACAGACTCCAACTAACGGGGTGTTTTCACCCTGGAAAAGGAGCCTAGTCTTCTCAGAAATGGGAGAGAAGCGTGATTCCACTTGCAATGGGTATTCAGGGCCTTTGGTGTTTCTCAAGATTTTTATATTCTTCCAAATCCACACAAATATCCCCAATTCTCAGCCAGCTGCAGTGGCTCACACTTGTAATCTCAACACTTTGAGAGGCGGAGGTGGGAGAATCGCTTAAGCCTAGGAGTTCTAGAGACCAGCTTGGGTAACACAGGGAGACTGTCTCTACAAAAAAAAAAAAAAAAGGAAAAAATGTTAAAAAAAAAAAATTGGCCAGGCGCTGTGGCTCACGTCTGTAATCCCAGCACTTTGGGAGGCCGAGGCGGGTGGATCATTTGAGGTCAGGAGTTTGAGACCAGCCTGACCAAGCTGGTAAAGTCTACTAAAAATACAAAAATTAGCTGGGCGTGGTGGCCCTCGCCTGTAATCCCAGTTACTTGGAAGGTTGAGACAAGAGAATCACTTGAACCAGGGAGACGGAGGTTGCAGTGAGCTGAGATCTCGCCACTGCACTCCAGCCTGAAAGAGCGAGACTCTGTCTCAAAAAAAAAAAAATTTCTCAAGGTCTCAGTTCTCAATTTATGCCCCAGTTTCCACATGAGAAAAAAGGGAGAAGCTGGCAGGAACCAGCAGGTGGCACCAAAGGAAACCTCTGGCTGCCCTCGCTGCTCATTAGCGTTAAGACACTCCCATCAGCCCATGACAGCTTACAAATGCCAGGGCAAGGACCCAAAAGTTACCGCCCTTTTCCTAGAAAGTTCTAAACAACGCTCTCCTCAATTTGCATTAACCCACTCCTTAATTTGCATATAGTCGAAAGTGGGCATAAATATAGTTCCCAACAGCCCGTACTCTGCAGAGGCTGGGGACACTGCCCATGAGTTATCCCTGCTCCACAAGGAACAAGACCATTCAATAAAAGATTGTCATCTGATACTACCGGCTTGCCCTTGAATTCTTTCCTGGAGGAAGCCAAGAACATTCCTAGGCTAAGCCCCAGTTTTGGGGGTTCCTTGTCCTGCATCAGCTTCTAAATCAGTTTATCATAATTCTGCAACCTCGGCCAGGCACAGCGGCTCACGCTTGTAATCCCAGCACTTTTGGGAGGCCGAGGAAGGTGGATCACCTGAGGTCAGGAGTTTGAGACCAGCCTAGCTAACATGCGAAACCCCATCTCTATTAAAACTACAAAAATTAGCTGGGTGTGGTGGCACGTGCCTGTAATCCCAGCTACTCAGGAAGCTGAGGCAGGAACCCAGGAGGCAGAGGTTGCAGTGAGCCCAGATTGTGCCATTACACTCCAGCCTGGGCGACAGAATGAGACTCTGTCTCAAAAATAAATAAATAAATAAAAATTTAAAAAAATTAATTCTGCAACCCAAACCACCAAAACTTGGGTCTTTATTAGTCCTATGGCTACCAGAAACCAGAGTTTGTTTGTTTGTTTGTTTTTGAGGTGGAATCTCGCACTGTCACCCAGGCTGGAGTGCAATGGCACCATCTCGGCTCACTGCAACCTCCGCCTCCCAGGTTCAAGCGACTCTCCTGCCTCAGCCTCCCGAGTAGCTGGGACTACAGGTGCCTGCCACCACACCCGGCTAATTTGTATTTTTTGTAGAGACGGGGTTTCACCATATTGGCCAGGCAGGTCTCGAACTCCTGACCTTGTCATCTGCCTGTCTCGGCTTCCCAAAATGCCAGGATTACAAGTGTGAGCCACTGCACCTGGCCGAACAAATTATTACTATTATTATTATTTTTTTTGAGATGGAGTTTCTCTCTGTTGCCCAGACTGGAGTGCAGTCATGCAATCTTAGCTCACTGCAGCCTCTGCCTCCCGGGTTCAAGAGACTCTTCTGCCTCTGCCTCCCGAGTAGCTGGGACTACAGGGGCATATCACCAAGCCTGGCTAATTTTTGTATTTTTTAGTAGAGATGGGGTTTCACCATGTTGGCCAGGGTGGTCTCGAACTCCTGACCTCAGGTGATCCACCTGCCTCGGCCTCCCAAAGTGCTGGGATTACAAGCATGAGTCACCGTGCCCGGCCGGTCATTTCTTTTTATACCATTCTGGTACCAAACACTGTATCAGTTAGTATCCAGTCCAGAAAAACCTGACGATATGTATTTCAAAAACCATTCTTCTGCACTGAATAATATTAAAATCCCAGGTTTCTTAAACACTGCAGCAGGCTGGTAGGAGAGTGTGTGTGAAGTTATTCCAAGAAGAGCAGGGCACACTGGACTTCTGGTTAATGGAATAGGTGGGTACTCCATTCTGGTTAACGGAGTAGTGTTTTGATGGAAAAACGAAAGTGGTGTGACTGTATTTGTACTTGGACTTGACACCTTCAACAACTTGCCTCCTATACTGGAGGCCCACTGAGTCAAGCTCTTTCATATAAATTACTCCTGCTCTTTTTGTCTCATCCAGCCTTTGGTGCCTGACACACATGCCTTTCAAGCATAGGAGCACTTGAAACAGGGAATTGGTTACAAAAAGGGTTAGGAGACCTATAGGAACAAATGGGGAAGGGTGGTGTCACCCTGCAGGCAGCTGCTACTGCTCCTGGGCTGGAGGAGCTTACAGGGACAGTTGTGTTATCCAGAGCCCCAAGCCTACAGCCAGGCTAGAGCTGCCCTTTATATTTACAGGGCAGGACACTTGGAGCCTGGGATTGCTCCCTGTTACTGATACCCAACAGCAACCCATGGCCCAGAACTCCTGCCAACACCTCTGCCAGAAACAGAATTGCACAACCTTCCTCCACTTTCTAATCTGGATGGATGCCTCTCATGGCATCCATCAGAATTCACCGGTCAGGTGAGTCTGAGACATATAGTTTGCATACTTTCAGCCTCAGTGGTAAAGGAAAGATTACAGCATGGCAGTTATGAGGCTGAATATCAACAATTTCTAGAATGCAAGGCAATTTAGGGCACGTCCCCATTTATTTTGTGTAGAGAAGGTGTGCAATGTGTAAATGGTTTACAATGGCAGTATATATTTTGGTTGAAAACATTGGATTTGTTAGGCCACTGTGGAGAGTTCTTGTGACAATACAGATTAGGATCTTGTAAAATGTTAATAATAAATTTTAGAAGTGTTAATAAGGCAGTCTGTAAAGCTGGCAATTTAGCCACTTTGCTGACAAATTAGCTGTTAATTTCTTTGGTGAGAAATAACCAGGCAAGTGCACAATTATGGGAGGGACTAAGTTAATGAGAAATATTACTTTCTGGAAGCACATTCACAAATTTTCTTTCCAAGAGTTGGTTAAAAAAAAAAAAAAAAAAAAGCTTGGCCGAGCACAGTGGCACACCTGTAATCCCAGCACTTTGGGAGGCCTAGGGAGAAAGATCGCTTGGGGCCAGGAGTTCAAGACCAGCCTGGCCAACATAACGAGATTCTGTCTCTACAAAAATAAAAAAAAACCTAGCTGGGCATTGTGGCTGGTGCCTGCAGTCCCTGTTATTCAGGAAGCTGAATGGGAGAGGATCACTTCACTTGAGCCCAGGAGTTAGAGGTTACAGCAAGCTGAGATCACACCACTGCACTATAGCCTGGGTGACAGAGAGAACTTGGCTCAAAAAAAAATATATTGTGCAGTTAGAGGAAACAGTATAAAAAAGAATAAAAATTCTGGGCACAGTGGCTCACACCTGTAATCCCATCACTTTGGGAGGCTGAGGCAGGTGGATTGCTTGAGTTTAGAAGTTTGAGACAAGCCTGGGCAAGATAGTAAGGCTCCGACTCTACAAAAAATACAAAAATTAGCCAGGCGTGGTGGTGCACACCTGTTGTCCCAGCTACTTGGGGGGCTGAGGCGGGAAGATTGCTAGAGTCTGGGAAGTTGAGGCTCCAGTGTGCCATTATTACACCACTGCACTCCAGCCTGAGCAACAGAGTGAGACCCTGTCTCAAAGAAAAGAACAAATAAATAAATAAAATAAAAATAAATTAATGAGATCAAAATGGAGCAAGAGTCATCTAATTTGGCAGGAAAGTCATCCTTAAACCAGGTTCCCAAAGATAATTTTATAAACGATTATGCCCTTCCTACTCTCTTCTTTTCCATTCCTGAATTACTTCATTTAGAATAATGGCTTCCAGCTCCATCCAAGATGCTACAAAAGACATATTATTCTTTTTTTATGTCTGAGTAGTATTCCATGTTGTATATATACCACATTTTCTTCATCTTTGGTCAATGGACACTTAGGTGGGTTCCATATTTTTGCAATTGTGAATTGTGCTGCAATAACATTACACATGCAGCTGTCTTTTTTATATAATGACTTCTTTTCTTTTAGGTAGATATCCAGTAGTGAGATGGCTGGATCAATCCCACGGATAGATTTACTTTTTCTTTTTTTATTTTATTCTCCTGGACTCCAAAGGCAGATAGATCTACTTTTATTTTTTAAGAAATCTGCCTTTTCTTTTCTTTTTTTTCTTGAGACAGAGTCTCTGTCTGTCTCCCAGGCTGGAGTGCAGTGGCGTGATCTTGGCTCACTGCAACCTCCACCTCCTGGGTCAAGCGATTCTCTTGTCTCAGCCTCCCAAGTAGCTCGGACTACAGGCGCATGCTCTCATGCCAGCTAATGTTTGTATTTTTAGTAGAGATGGGGTTTCACCATGCTGGCCAGGCTGGTCTCGAACTCCCGACCTCAAGTGATCCACCCAGCTCAGCCTCCCAAAATGCTGGGATTATAGGCATGAGCCATCATGCCCGACCACGTATTGTTTTCCATAGAGATTGTATTAATTGGCCGGGTGCAGTGGCTTACGTCTGTAATCCCAGCACTTTGGGAGGCCGAGGCGAGTGGATTGCCTGAGGTCGGGAGTTTGAGATCCCCCTGACCAACATGGAGAAACCCTGACTCTACTGAAAATATAAAATTAGCCGGGCGCCGGGCATGGTGGTGCATGCCTATAATCCCAGCTACTTGGGAGGCTGAGGCAGGAGAACTGCTTGAACCCGGGAAGCGGAGGTTGCGGTGAGCCGAGATCGTACCATTGCACTCTAGCCTGGGCAACAAGAGCAAAACTCTGTCTCAAAAAAAAAAAAAAAAAGAGAGAGAGATTGTATTAATTTACTTTCTCACTAACAGTGTATAAGCGTTCCCTTTTCACCACATTCATGCTAATATCTATTGTTTTTGGACTTCTTAATAATGGCTGTTCTTGCAGAAGGTGGTACCTCGTTGTGGTTTTAATTTGCATTTCTCTTATGATTAGTGATGTTGAGCATTTTTTCATATATTTGTTAGCCATTTGTATATCTTCTTTTGAGAAATATCTATTCACGTCTTTTACCCACTTTTTGATGGGATTACTTGTTTTTTTTCCTTGCTAATTTGTTTGAGTTCCTTGTAGATTCTGGATATTAGTCTTTTGTCAGATGTATAGTTTGCAAATATTTTCTCCCATTCTGTGGGTTATCTGTTTACTCTGGTGATTATTTCTTTTGTTGTATTAAAGCTTTTTAGTTTAGTAAGGTCTCATTTGTTTATTTTTTGTTTTGTTACGTTTGCTTTTGAGTCTTAGTCATTAATTCTTTGCATAGGTCAATGTTCAGAAGAGTTTTTCCTAGGCTTTTCTTCTGGAATTTTTATGGTTTCTGGTCTTAGATTTAAGTCTTTGATCCATCTTGAGTTGATTTGAGTTTATTTTTGTATAAAGTGAGAGACAGGGATCCAGTTTCATTCTTCTACATGTGGCTTACCAGTTTTCCCAGCACCATTTATTAAATAGGGTGTCCTTTCTGCAATTTATGTGTTTGTATGCTCTGTTGAAGATCAGCTGGTTGTAAGTATTTGGTTTTATTTCTGGGTTCTCTATTGTGTTCCATTGGTCTATATGTCTACTTTTATATCAGTACCATGCTGTTTTGGTAACTATAGCCTTGTAGTGTAATTTGAAGTCGAGTAATGTGATGCTTCCAGATTTGTTCTTTTTGCTTAGGATTTCTTTGCATTTGGGGTCTTTTTTGGTGTCATAGGAATTTTAGAATTGTTTTTTCTAATTCTGTGAAAAATGATATTGGTATTTTGATAGGAATTGCACTGAACCTGTAGATTGCTTTGGGCAGTACAGGCATTTTCATGATATTGGTTCTTACAATCCATGATCATGGGATGGGTTTCCATTTGTTTGTATCATCTATGATTTCTCTCAGCAGTGTTTCGTAGTTCTCCTTATAAATTGAAGATAACTTTCATTCATTCATTCAGCAAATATTTGTTAATCTTCTTTTATATACTAGGCTCTGCTGTAGATGGCAAACAAAACAAGGCAAAGTCATAGCTCCTACAGAACTCATGTTCTAGTGGAGAGATAGACAATAAAGAAGACGCACGGATAATTTCAGATAATAACTAGAGATCTGAAGAAAGTAAAATTGGGTGGTGAGTTTATGGATGTTGTAAGGTGTGAGATTGTTGTGGTCAGGGAAAGCTTCTCTCAGGAGATGACTTCATACCTGCAATCTGAATGAGAAGGAGGTAAGGATCTGGGTGAAGGGCCTTGCAGGTGTGCAGGTGGAAGAGACAGTGATTCCACAGGCTAGATGCCAGCATCAAGCTTGGCAAGAGTGGGAATGCAAAGAATGGAAAGGAGGCCCCAAGTGACTGAGGCCAATGGTAAATAACAGAGGGAGGCAGCAGGCTCCTGTGAGAAACGACTTCTCTATCCATACAATAGATTATGATTTTACCATAAAGAGAAATGAAGTACCGACACATGCTACAACATGGATGAAGCTTGAAAGCATTAGGCTAAGCAAAGAAGCCACACACAAAACACCCCATATTGTGTGATAGGAAATGTTCAGATTGGGAAAGTCTGTGGAGACAAAAAGTAGAGTAGTGGTCTCTTGGGGCTGAGGTGGAGGGATGCCTAGCAGGGAAGTGACTGTGGAAGGCAAGCAGTCTTTCTTTTAGAGGTGATAAAAATGTTTTAAAATGCACTGTGGAGCCAGGCACAGTGGCTAATGCCTGTAATCTTAACACTTTGGGAGGCCGAGGGGGCAGGATCCCTTGAGCCCAGGAATTCAAGACCAGCCTGGGCAACATAGGGATACCTTGTCTCTACAAAAAAAAAAAAAAAAACTCAATTAGCCAAGCATGGTGGCATGCACCTGTGGTTCCAACTACTTGGGAGACTGAGGCAGGAGAATCGCCTGTGCCCAGGAGGTCGAGGCTGCAGTGAGCTATGATCACACCACTGCACTTCAGCCTGCACAACAGAGTGAGATCCTGTCTCAACATAAATAAATAAAAGGACTGTAGTGATGGTTGTACGTATCAGTGAATATACTAAAAACCATTTAATTGTACACTTTAAAAGGGTAAATTGTGTGGTACGCGAATTATATCTCAATAAGGCTCTTAAAAAAAGAAGAAGAAACTACAACTAGATTCTCAACTTCTCCTACCTAGGGATGGAGACTGCAGGTCACCTCAAAAGTGACTGTGTGGATCCAAGTCCTCTGGGAAGCAGACATGAGGTAGAGTTAGAAGTGCAAGAGGCTGGGCATGGTGGCTCATGCCTGTAATCTGAGCACTTTGGGAGGCTGAGGCAGGCGGATCACAAGGTTAGGAGTTGGAGACCAGCCTGGCCAAAATGGTGAAACCCCGTCTCTACTAAAAATACCCTGCTGGGCGTGGTGGCTCACACCTGTAATCCCAGCACTTTGGGAGGCTGAGGCAGGTGGATCACGAGGTCAGGAGATCGAGACTACCCTGGCTAACACGGTGAAACCCAGTCTCTACTAAAAAATACAAAAAATTAGCTGGGCATGGTGGCGGACGCCTGTAGTCCCAGCTACTCAGGAGACTGAGGCAGGAGAATGACGTGAACCTGGGAGGCGGAGCTTATAGTGAGCCAAGATAGCGCCACTGCACTCCAGCCTGGGCAACAGAGCCAGACTCTGTCTCAGCCTCCTGCGTAGCTGGGATTACAGGTGCCCGCCACCATGCCTGGCTAATTTTTGTATTTTTAGTAGAGACGGAGTTTCACCATGTTGGCCAGGCTGATATTGAACTCCTGAACTCGTGATCCGCCTGCCTCGGCCTCCCGAAGTGAGCCACCATGCCTGACCCCTAACAATCTAAAAAATTACTTTAAATTTAGAAAAAGGGTGTTAGTAGAGGGTATTAAATATATATATAATTCTTTTTTTTTTGAGACGGAGTCTCACTCTGTCACCAGGCTGAGTAGCTGGGACTACAGGCACGTGCCACCACGCCCAGGTAATTATTTGTATTTTTAGTAGAGATGGGGTTTCATCATGTTGGCAGTGGATGGTCTCGATCTCTTGACCTCGTGATTTGCCCACCTTGGCCTCCCAAAGTGCTGGGATTACAGTCGTGAGCCACCATGCCCGGCAAACAAACAAACAAACAAACAAACAAAGAATTCTAAAGGAGAAGGTAAAACAAGGTACAGATCTGAAATTTAAGGTTAAAATAAACTGTGTGTGCGTACAATGTTTCATAACTTTTAAAAAGGACGCTTGCTGTCTTTCCGTGCTTATTTTTAAGGTCCCTTTACCAGATGACCTTAAATTCACTCAGTTTACAGTTTCCGGCTGAAGAAAGCTGCTCTTGGATGTTTTTGGTTTTCTCCTTAGTCATTTGGAAGAATACAAATTTTGCAGTTCAGGGGCCAGCACATTTTATTCTCAAAGCAATGCCACTGAGATTTGTGTTTGTAGCTAGACATGGGAGAAAGTAAAACCAGAAACATCAAATGACTTACCCAAGGTCAAGCCAGGATTTGAACCAGGCCTGGGCAGCTCAGCGCAGGGTCATCTATCCTTTTGCATGAGCAGCTTGGAGTAATGAATTCTGCCCAGCAAGGATGAGGCAATTGGCTGAACAAAGCAGATGGGCTCCCTCTTGGGCTGGAGAAAGCAGAAAGAGTTGGCTGGTTATTAGACAAGGAGGGCAGAAGTCATCCATGGCATGAGGCGGAAGTGTTGAGTAGCAAGCAAGCTGGGCAACCAGGGGCAAGTGAGAACCCCCCAGGGCTGCCTGGCCCCTGAATAGCCTCAGACATAGATGGCTCACCAGTCCCTGTCCCTGGGAGCCCTAAATAAATATCTTTCCCTTTGGTGGGGCTTGTTCATTGCATCCAAAATGCAAGGAGCTCATCTACTAAATTATGAGAAAGGACAGGAGAGGCTGGGCGCAGTGGCTCACACCTATAATCCCAGCACTTTGGGAGGCTGAGGTGGGCAGATCACTTGAGGTCAGGAGTTCAAGATCGGCCTGGACAACATGGTGAAACCCCATCTCTACTAGAAATACAAAAATTAGCCAGGCATGGTGGCAGGAGCCTGTAATCCCAACTACGTGGGAGACTGAGGTAGGAGAATCGCTTGAACCTGAGAGGCGGAGGTTGTAGTGAGCTGAGATCGTACCACTGCACTCCAGCCTGGGCGACAGAGTGAACCTCCGTCTCAAATAAATAAATAAATAAATAAATAAACAAACAAACAAACAAACAAAAATTAAAAAAAAAAATTAGCCGGGTGTGGTGGCAAGTGCCTGTAGTCTGAGCTACTCGGAAGGCTGAGGCAGGAGATTTGCTTGAACCCAGGAGGCAGAGGTTGCAGCGAGCTGAGACTGCGCCATTGCACTTCAGCCTGGGCGGCAGAGCGAAACTCCGTTTCAAAAAAAAGAAAAAGAATAAGAAAGAACAGGAGAAATATGGCAGAATATTAAGGAAGGGGGGAATCAACAATAGAGCTTAACTTGGAGCATGATGTGCTGAATATCATGTCTTTGGAGTGTACTTTGAGAAAATGCAAAACATGCTGGAATTTTTATCTGTGACACTCGTACAGATTATTACTCCTTAAAGAAATTCTTGGCCAGGCACAATGGATGGCTCATGCCTATAATCCCAGCTCTTTGGGAGGATGAGGTGGTAGGACCACTTGAGCCCAGGAGTTGGAGACCAGTGTGGGCAACACGATGAGCTCTCTTCTTTAAAAAAAGAAAAAAGAGAAATTTTTATATCTTTTAATATTGGGATTGCTTTAATTGAGTAATCAACTTTTCTTGTCTTTATTCTATAAATATAGCATCAATTTGGGATCCTGACTTGGTTCTTACAAATGCATTTTGTACAAACTCCATTAACTGAAGCCAATTTGTTTTCTATTCTTTAAATATGCCATAATTGGCTGGGCATGGTGGCTCACGCCTGTAATCGTAGCACTTTGGGAGGCTGAAGCGGGTGGATCACTTGAGGTCAGGAGTTTCAGACCAGCCTGATCAACATGGTGAAACCCTGTCTCTTATACTAAAAATACAAAATTAGGCTGGGCACGGTGGCTCATGCCTGTAATCCCAGCACTTTGGGAGGCCGAAGCGGAAGGATCACCTGAGGTCGGGAGTTTGAGAGCAGCCTGACCAACATGGAGAAATCCCGTCTCTACTAAAAATACAAAATTAGCTGGGCATGGTGGTGCATGCCTGTAATCCCAGCTACTCGGGAGGCTTAGGCAGGAGAATCACTTGAACCCGGGAGGCAGAAGTTGTGGTGAGCCAAGATCTCGCCATTGCAGTCCAGCCTGGGCAACAAGAGCGAAACTCCGTTTCAAAAAACAAAGAAAAAATTAGCAGGGCATGGTGGCGGGTGCCTGTAATCCCAGCTACTCGGGAGGCTGAGGCAGGAGAATCTTGAACTTGGGAGGCGAAGGTTGAAGTGAGCCAAGATCGCGCCACTGCACTCCAGCCTGGGCAACAGAGTGAAACTGTCTCAAAAAAAATTTTCTACCAGCTTTTTCGAAGAGTCAGTCTGAGGATCCTTGCGCTGTGCTGTTCCCCTTGCGCTTGAGCACAAGCCCCAAAATAAAAGTCGTGTCTAGGAAATCTGCTTGGCCCAGTGTTACGTTTTTATTACATGGGGAGTCAAACAGCCTGTGGTCTGTAACATCTTGTAAGTTTTTATGAAGTCCAATCAGTAAATTATGTGAAAAATACGAATCAAACTATTAGTATAAGATCATTTCTATATGTTACTATGTTTAACTCTATAAATTAGTAATTCTAAAACTGTCCCCACAGGGTTGATAAGAATTGCATGTCTTGTTCTGGACAGAAATATAGCTATGATTAAGCAATGATCAGGCTGCACTTTAGCCTACTTTCTTGTTGCTAAAAGTTACTAGAGACTGACCATTCGCATACACCCCTTGTTCCTATAGAGGGGACTTCTGGCATTAGGGTCATAAGACTGTTTAAGAATTGATTTGATGGGAGACTGAGGTGGGAGGATCACTTGAGCCCAGGAATTCGAGATCAGCCTGGGTGACAAAGTGAGACCCCCATTTCTGTATTAATTTAATTTTAATTTAAGGGTCTTTTGTTTAAGGATCCCTGAAGATGTTTTTCATTTTTATTTTTAAGACAAAGTGTTGTTCTGTCCTCCAGGCTGGAGTGTACTGGTGCAATCTTGGTTCACTGCAACCTCCACCTCCTGAGTTCAAGCAATTCTCCTGCCTCAGCCTCCTGAGTAGCTGGGATTACAGGCGTGTGACACCATGCCCAGCTAATTTTTGTAGTTTTGGTAGAGACAGGGTTTCACCATGTTGGCCAGGCTGGTCTCAAACTCCTGACCTCAAATGATCCATCCATCTTGGCCTCCCAAAGTGCTGGGATTACAGATGTGAGCCACTGTGCCTGGCCTTCTTTAAGATGGTTTTTGGATACTGCATTCAAGCAACCAGTTTGAAGACCTCCACTGTGGAACAGGATTAGCATGAGAACACAGCTTCTTCATCCTTCTTTCCCATAACTTCAGCCTGCACTCTTCAACCAATCAACAATCTCTACACTTCAGCCCACCCTAAAACCCTTAAAAACCCTACCCCCAAGCTCCTCAGGGAGATGGATTTGAGGTTTCCTCCCATCTCCCCTGATATGGTTTGGCTCAGTATCCCCACCCAAATCTCACCTCAAATTGTAATCCCCACATGTCAGGGGAGGAACCTGGTGGGAGGTGACTGGATCATGGGAGTGGACTTCCCCCTTTCTGTGCTTGTGATAGTGAGTGCGTTCTCATGAGATCTGGTTGCTTGATCATTGTCTGGCTTTTCCCCTGCACACTCTCCCTCTCCTGCCGCCTTGTGAAGAAGGTGCTTGCCTCCTCTCCTCCTTCCACCATGATTGTAAATTTCCTGAGGCCTCTCAGTCATGCTTCCTGTTAAGCCTGCAGAACTGAGTCAACTAAACCTCTTTTATTCAAAAATTACCCAGTCTCAGGTAGTTCTTTATAGCAGTGTGAGAACTGACTAACACATCCCCGTTTGGTGAACTTATGATTACCCTTTCTCTGCTGCAACCCAATGTCTCAGCATATTGACTTGCTGTGTGCATATGGTTACGACTCAAAATTGGAGCAATTTGATGATTAAGATGAAGTTCATTTATTGGCTAGAATTCTGCTAGAATTCACAGAGCTAGTTCAACGAAAAAAATAGGATTGTTTGACCACAGAGTATGTCCATCCTGTTCTCCATGATGCCAAATCATCTTTGCAGGAAATTCAGGGAAGAATTCTGTTGCTTCTGCACCCATACCAGAAAACTACAAATGGCAAAACTAAATCCAACCTAGAGAAAATATTTTAAAATGACTATTAAAAAAAAGATAACAAAAAATAAAGAAAAAAACACAAGGGGAAAAAAAAAGAAAAAATATATATTAAGGGCCAGACATGGTGGCTCACACCTGTAATCCTAACATTTTGGGAGGTCCAGTTTCAAGGACCACTTAAGCCCAGGAGTTCAAGACCAGCCTGGGAAACACAGGGAGACCCTGTCTCTACAAAAAATAAAAAATTAGCCGAGTGTATTGGTGTGCACCTGTGGTCCCAGCTACTAGGGAGGCTAAGGTGCTCAAGTGGGATCACTTGAGCCTGGGAGCTTGAGGCTGTAGGGAGCCATGATTATGCCACTGCACTCCAGCCTGTGCCACAAAGTAAGAGTCTGTCTCCAAAAAAAAAAAAAAAAAAAAAGTATTAATTCATACTCTGTGACGTGTGTGTGTAAGAGCACAAATCTTTTTTTTTTTTTTTTTTTTTTTGACACAGAGTCTTGCTCTGTCACCAGGCTGGAGTGCAATGACACAATCTGGGCTCACTGCAACCTCTGCCTCCCAGGTTCAAGTGATTTTCCTGCCTCAGCTTCCTGAGTAGCTGGGATTACACCACCACCATGCTTGGCTAATTTTTGTATTTTTAGTAGAGATGGGGTTTCACCATGTTGCTCAGGCTGGTCTTGAGCCCCTGACCTCGCGATCTGCCTGCCTCAGCCTCCCAAAGTGCTGGGATTACAGGCGTGAGCCACCGCGCCTGGCCCAAAAGCACAAATTCTGAAGCCAGATTCTGGTCCAAATCCTAGCTCTGGGAGCGGGTGTGGTGACTCATGCCTGTAATTCCAGCACTTTGAGAGGCCAAGGTGGGTGGATCACCTGAGGTCAGGAGTTCAATATCAGCCTGGCCAACATGGTGAAACCCCATCTCTACTAAAATTACAAAAATTAGCCAGGCTTGGTGGCCAGTGCCTGTAATCCCAGCTACTTGGGAGGCTGAGTCAGGAGAATCTCGTGAACTATTGCAATTCCCCTGTCTTGATAAATCATCTCTGTCTAGTTGTTACAGGTAGTTAGATAGGCATGAGCCAGGCAGGAGAGGGCTCTCTTCCCATCCACTAGGAAGGTCAGGTGATTAGACAATTATCACACTGTCTTTCTAAAAATGATAACTCTGCAGTGGTGCCAGGGCACCTGGGAGAGACGGTCTCCTGATGATCCACAGCTGTTAACATTAAAGTGTTAATTGAATGCAGATGCCCGGGAGAAGAAACTTCCTGGGCATGCACACTAAGAGATAAAATGACAAAATATGGCCTTCCGGGGATACTTCACCAGAAAAGGGAAGAGAGCCTCAGATGGCATGAGTATACCCTCCTAAACACACTGCACATGCTCAATTCCCCAGGGTAAAGGGAGCGCTGTGCAAGCAGGAAGTGCCCACTAAGGGAAGAACCATGGTAAAGAGGTGAGCCTATGAAGTCCTGGAATTAATGTTAAATGCTCTTTTTGACCTTCAGGCGCGTCTTGGATCTCTTCCAAGTGAACTTTCCTTTCTTTCCTGTTCTAAAGCCTTTTAAAATAAACTTCTACTCCTGCTCTGAAACTTGCCTTGGTCTCTTTTTCTGTTTTATTCCTCTCAGTCAAATTCTTTCTTCTGAGGAGCCAAGAATTGAAGTTGCTGCAGACCCATATGATACACTGCTGGTAACTCGGGGTAACTCGGATATCTTCCACTGGTAACATAGGCAGTGGGCAGGGTGAACCCATTGGGCAGTTACAGTTTTGGAAGAGTACTTCCTTAAGGATGACTGGTAGCGTTGGCTGGGCACGGTGGCTCACGCCTATAATCCCAGCACTTTGGGAGGCCGAGTTGTGTGGATCACCTGAAGTCGGGAGTTCGAGACCAGCCTGACCAACATGGAGAAACCCCATCTCTATTAAAAGTACAAAATTAGCCGAGCATGGTAACACATGCCTGTAATCCCAGCTACTCGCGAGGCTGAGGCGGGAGAATCGCTTGAACCCGGGAGGCAGAGGTTGCGGTGAGCGGAGATCACGCCATTGCACTCCAGTCTGGGCAACAAGAGTGAAACTGTCTCTCAAAAAACAAAAAACAAAAAACAAAAAAGAATGACTGGTAGCATCTCGGCTGGGCGCAGTGGCTCACGCCTGTAATCCCAGCACTTTGGGAAGCCGAGGTGGGTGGATCACCTGAGATCAGGAGTTCAAGACCAGCCTGGCTAACATGGTGAAACCCCATTTCCACTAAAAATACAAAATATTAGCTGGGCGTAGTGGCGCATGCCTGTAATCCCAGCTACTCGGTAGGCTGAGGCAGGAGAATCGCTTGGACCCGGAAGGCAGAGGTTGCAGCCAACCAAGATCGTGCCATTGCACTCCAGCTTGGGCCACAAGAGTGAAACTCTATCTCAAAAAAAAAAAAAAAAGCGTAACTGGTAGCATCCCATCAAAATATAAACCAGCTGCCCTTTGCGCCCTCTTTGCCTGCCCCCCAACATCATGTTCTGGTTCCCGTTTGGATTTACTTTGGACAATGTGGTTGGAATGCATCTGGCTCAGAACTATGACATACCATATCAGGCTAAAGAACTTGAAGAAATTCGGCCAGGCACGATGGCTCACACCTGTAATCCCAGCACTTTGGGAGGCAGAGGCGGGCGGATCACCTGAGGTCGGGAGTTCGAGACCAGCCTGACCAACATGGAAAAAAACCCCGTCTCTACTAAAAATACAAAATTAGCTGGGCATGGTGGTGCATGCCTATAATCCCAGCTACTCGGGAGGCTGAGGCAGGATAATTGCTTGAACCCGGGAGGCAGAGGTTGCGGTGAACCGACATCACGCCATTGCACCCCAGTCTGGGTGACAATATTTTTATTGACAATATTTTATCTCTCCACTAGAACATGAGTTCTGTAGGAGGTATGACTTTGCCTTGTTTTGTTTGCCATCTACAGCAGAGCCTGGTACATAAAAGGAGATTAACAATAAATTTTTGAAACTCCATCTCAAAAAAAAAAAAAGGAACTTGAAGAAATTCAAAAGGACTTGGATGCCAAAAAAAGAAGTCCCCTGGTTCATGAGGCTGACTCTAGCACTGCCTTCTGAATATACTGATTCGACCACTCTTGAGGGCCTCCTTTACCATCTGAACAATCATCCCCAGGCACAGTGACTTTTTTCTTTGCTAGGGCCTGTGTTTTTTGCCTTAGAGCAAAATTGGGGCCCCAAGTTGAGAACTACCCGTCCACTTCCAACATCCTCACCTCTTCCTATATCTTCCTTTGAGCTTCATGGGAGGTTCTAAGACTGGAATTGCAGAGCTAAATTAGTAAAGATGAGTTTTAGTGAGGATTAATACATGAATGAATGAATAAATACATAAAATCAAGCCAAGCAAAAATGAAAACTGTTCAACCAACACACTTGCAGTTTATTTTACCAAAACCATACAGGTGTTTTGTTTTGTTTTGTTTTGTTTAAGAGACGGGGACTTGCTATATTGCCCAGGCTGGTCTCCAGCTCCTGGGCTCAAGTGATCCTCCCACTTCAGCCTCTTGAGTACCTGGGACTGCAGGTGTGTGCTACCACACACAGACTATTCCATCTTTACATGTAGCTCAGAACTCAGTAACAACTTGATCACAGGAACTGAATCTTATGTTTTCTTTTAGTTTTAACATCGAAGTTGAAAAGATTTGCAAAGAGAGTCAGGGCACAGTGGCTCACACCTGTGATCCTAGAATTTTGGGAGGCCGAGGGGGGAGGATTGCTTGAGACCAGGAGTTTGAAACCAGCCTGGGCAATATGGCGAGACCCCATCTCTATAAAAATAAAATTAATTAAAAATTATTTTTAAAAATCAATAAAAATAAAAAGATTTGCAAAGGGGAAATAAACAGAATATTTGCTTGACTAAATTAGGGAAGGGAAAGGTATGTGTCAAAGATGACTACTTTAGAATCTCAGCTAGAAAGAAAAATAAAGGGAGGGCTGTCAAGAATGGCCTCCTGGCTGGGTGTGGTGGTTCATATCTGTAATCTCACCAATTTGGGAGGCCTGGAATTAGAGACTAGCTTGAGCAACATAGTGAGACTCTTTTCCTACAAAAAAAAAACAAAAAACAGAATGGCCTCCAATTAGTGGTAGGAAAACAAGTTCAGGGGTTTGAGAAGCCTATAATGCCAAAGTGAATATCCAACATTCTCCTCATTATGTAAATTCTGACGTCCTAAAGAAATCATAGTTGTTAGGTCGGACACAATGGCTCGTACCTATAACCCCAGCACTCTGGGAGGCCAAGGTGGGAGGATTGCTTGAGCTCAGGTTGAGAGCAGCCTGGGCAACAAAGTGAGACCCCATCTCTACAAAAAAATCAAAAAGTTAGCCAGGCATGGCGGCTTGTGCCTGTGATCCCAACTACACAGGTTGAGGTGGCAAGACTAAGGCAGGAGGATTACTTGGGCCCAGGAAGTCGAGGCTGCAGTGAGTTGTGTTCATGCCACTGTGCTCCTGCCTGGGCAACAGAGCAAGACCCTGTCTCAAAAAAATTAATTAAATTTAAAAAAACTATAGTTGCATCTTCTAGCAAGATAACCACATGTTCTTGTCCTCACAGTTGGGATTCCAATAAGTATCCTGTAGTTTAGGGGTAATCAAAAGCCTGAGGCCAGGATCTGCTCTAGAAGTATCTTCCCTTGTGCCAGGCACAGTGAGTGGCTCATGCCTGTAATCCCAGCATTTTGGGAGGCTGAGGCGGGTGATCACGAGGTCAAGAGTTCAAGACCAGCCTGACCAAATGGTGAAACCCTGTCTCTACTAAAAATACAAAAATTAGCTGGGCACCTGTAATCCCAGCTACTCAGGAGGCTGAGGTAGGAGAATCACTTGAACCTGGGAGGCAGATGTTGCAGTGAGCCGAAGTTGCGCCATTGCACTCCAGCCTGGGTGACAGAGCGAGACTCCATCTCAAAAAAAAAAAAAAAAGAAAGAAAGAAAATATGTTCCCTTGCACACTTCCATGAGCTGTTCCTCCAGTAGCAAAAGCTGGGGTCCCTGTTGTCATTGAACTGTGGGTGCTGTTGTAGAGACAGATAATGAAACTGAGAAAGGGGAAATGGAGCTGGGAACCCAAGGCTCACTTAGCCAAGGAAGCTGTTTGTCCAGCCACTTTAGCTTAGGGGTGAAGTAAGGTCATGGAGACCCACTAGTGGTCTCCATGTGCCAGGGACTCATGGGAGACCATCTATGAGTCCCTTGCCCAGCTTCCTTCTGAACATCAATGAAATCCCTCTGTCCTCCAAGTTTCCAAGGCTGTTCCTGAACAGCATCACCCGTGCTCATGAGTAGCCTTGGCTCTCCTCCGGTTGTAACTGTTCAACAGGTTCTCCTTGCCTATAGTCCAGATAGAGCCAATTTATCAAGACAGGGGTACTGCAATAGAGAAAAAGTTTAATTCACGCAGAGCCAGCTAAACAGGAGACTGGAGTTTTATTACTCAAATCAGTCTCCCCCAAAATTCAGAGACTGGGGTTTTTGTTTTTTAAATTTATTTTATTTATTTTATTTTATTTTTTCTGAGATGGAGTCTTGCTCTGTTGCCCAGGCTGGAGTGCAGTGGTGCAGTCTTGGCTCACTGCAACCTCTGCCTCCCGGGTTCAAACAATTCTCCTGCCTCAGCCTCCTGAGTAGCTGGGACTACAGGCGCCCACCACCACGCCTGACTAATTTTTTTGTGTTTTTAGTAGAGACGGGGTTTCACTGTGTTAGCCAGGATGGTCTCAACCTCCTGACCTCGCAATCTGCCCACCTTAGCCTCCCAAAGTGCTGGGATTACAGACGTGAGCCACCATGCCCAGTCATACTTTTTAAGTTTTTTTAAATGATTAAAATTTTCTTCATTTCTCATTTTTTAATTTTTATAATACTGAGCCATCCATTTCCTATGAGACTGGAGTTTTTAAATGATAATTTGGACAGGGAGTGGGGAGTGCTGATTGGTCAGGTCGGAGATAAAGTTATACGGAGTCAAAGTGGGTACTTATTGCTGTCTTCTGTCCCCGGGTGGGATGGCAGAACTGGTTGATCCAGATTACGGGACTGGATGGTGTCAGTTGGTGCATCAGAATTCAAGGTCAGGAAAATATCTCAAGCACTGATCTTAGACTTTACAGTAGTGAGATTATCCCTAGGAGCAATGGGGGAAGTTTGGAATCTTGTGGCCTCTGGGGCTGCATGACTCCTAAACTATGATTTTTTTTTTTTTTTGAGATGGAGTCTTGCTCTGTTGCCCAAGTTGGAGTGCAGTGGCATGATATCAGCTCACTGCAACCTCCATCTCCCAGGTTCAAGCAATTCTCCTGCCTCAGCTTCCCAAGTAGCTGGGACTACAGGTGCATGCCACCATGCTTGGCTAATTTTTGTATTTTTAGTAGAGACGGGGTTGCACCATGTTGGCCAGGATGGTCTCCATCTCCTGACCTTGTGATCCACCTGCCTCGGCCTCCCAAAGTGCTGGGATTGCAGATGTGAGCCACTGCACCTGGGCAACTCCTAAACTATAATTTCTAATCTTGTGTCTAATTCGTTAGTCCTACAAAGGCAGTCTGGTCCTCAGGCAAGAAAGGGGTTTGCTTTGGGAAAGGGCTGTTATCATATTGAAATGGCCTTGTTGTCTGGAGTAATACCCAAGGTTTGTTGTCCCATGGTCATGGAGAACGAGGACATGGGTACAAAAAAGTGAGGTTAAGAGCAGAAGTTTAAAAAGAAAAAGAAAGAGAAGAGCTCTCTGCTGCAGAGAAGGGTCCTGGAAAAATGGGTAGCCAAATCCATTGTGAAATGCAGGGGGGTTTATAGATAAGCTTGTGAGGAGGTGGTGCCTGATTTACATAGGGCACAAAAAACTGGTTATGCCATTTGCATAGGGCGTGAATTTCTTGTATCCCCACCCTAATCTTTTTTATGCAGGCAGGTTCTCTGCCTGAGCTGTGCCATGTTGCCCTTTTCTCTATTACTGCACATGTGGTAACAAAAAAAAGGAAGATGAAGCCTCGATGTTGGACATGCCTGGCCCCCAGATAGCCCTTTTCTATTGGCACAGTTGCTGGCATTTGCCCACACAAGCTTCTAGCTTCCTTATCTATGTCTGCAGCTCGATTTTTCAGGCTGCTCTTTGTTAGAAAATAAATGATTTGGGGGCTGCTTTTGTCAGAAGAGAAGTTCTGCTGAGGACTCTGTTGCCTTCACTATTTGCCCATATAATTTCTTTCTACCTTCTGTGTCAGTATTTGTTTCAAAGTTAAACTGTAAACTAAGTTCCTCCTAAAGTTAGTTTGGCCTACATCAATGAACGAGGGCAGCTTGGAGGTTAGAAGCAAGATGGAGGCCGGGTGTGGTGTCTCATGCCTGTAATCCCAGCACTTTGGGAGTTCCAAGGCTGGTGGATCATCTGAGGTCAGGAGTTTGAGACTAGCCTGACCAACATGGTGAAACACCGTTTCTACTAAAAATACAAAAATTATCTGGGCGTGGTGGCAGGTGCTACTTCGGAGGCTGAGGCAAGAGGATTGCTTGAATCTGGGAGGTGGAGGTTGTGGTGAGCCAAGATTGTGCCATTGCACTCCAGCTTGGGCGACAGAGCAACACTCTGTCTCAAAAACTAAACAAAACAAAACAAAAAGCCCGGGTACAGTGGCTCACGCCTGTAATCCCAGCACTTTGGGAGGCTGAGACGGGCGGATCACCTGAGGTGGGAAGTTTGAGACCAGCCTGACCAACACAGGGAAACTCCGTCTCTACTAAAAATACAAAAAAATTAGCCAGGCGTGGTGGCACTTTCCTGTAATCTCACCTACTCCAGAGGCTGAGGCAGGAGAATCGCTTGAACCCGGGAGGCAGAGGTTGCGGTGAGCCAAGATCGTGCCATTGCACTCCAGCCTGGGTAATAAGAGCAAAATTCTGTCTCCAAAAAAAAAAGAAAGAAAGAAAAGAAAAGCAAGATGGAGTGAGTCAGGTCAGATCCCTTTTGCTGTCATAATTTTCTCACTCCGATAAATTTTGCAGAAGTAGTTTAACTGTAGTCAAGCAGTCACCTGCTGACAGCATGTATCTCCCGGGGGTGTTGTGATGGTATCTTGCCACTTGAGGTGGAAACTGTGTTTGTTGTCCTTCCAGCTCAGCTTTAGGAAAAACTCACACAGGGATGGGGGGAGGCACCCTCCTATTAATACTGTCAGAAATGCTTCAGCCAGAGTGACTCTATCTTGAATAGGGGCTGAGAAAAACGAGGCTGAGACATGCTGGGCTGTATTCCCAGAAGGTTAGGCATTCTTAGTCACAAGCTGTTTATGGTTAAGAAACAAATTAATAATGTTTACCAAACAGACACAGGACTTAACAGACCCAGAAAGGTCCTGATGTCCCCATATCTCAAGAACAAAAGCATTCCTAGTCCAAGAATAAGTTTAAAGATAATAATATCGATTCTTCGGAAAGGTGGTAATTACAAAGATTAATCCTTTATCATGAACCTTGTAGTCAGCACATCTCCCCATGATTTGTTTGTTATCTTATATGTAAACAAGCATTGCACCCAGGGTGGGTGCATTCCTCCTCTTACTGTCAGGAACACCCTATTCTGTCTATGGAGTAGCTATTCTTTCACTCCTTTGCTGCATTATTTCACTTTACTATGGCCTTGCCCTGAATTCTTTCTTGTGCGACATCCAAGAGCCCTCCAGTGGGGCCTGGATTGGGACCTCCTTACCAGTAACAATACATTAGACACTCAGTCCAGAGTTGCTGCCCATGCTTTGAAGAAATGCAGTGCTTTTCTTTCAGGTCAATGCTACCCTCTAGGACATAAACAGAGGTACAAATGACTGGGCCAGCACACCATGTGCATTATACCATCTTACTATGCTACATTCCAAATCCCTGTCTTCATGCAGACAAAGCTTGTGGACCTAGATCCTCCCTCACAAAAGGGCAAACTTTCCTTGGGCCAGGCATGATGGCTCTCTTACCTGTAAACCCAGCACTTTGACAGGCCAAAGCAGGAAGTTTGCTTGAGCCTAGGAGTTTAAGACCATCCTGGAGAGTATAGTGAGACCCCATCTCTACAAAAATAAAAAAAAAACAGCCAGGTGTGGTGGCATGTGCCTGCAGTCCCAGCTACTTGGGAGACTGAGGGAGGAGGATTGCCTGAGCCCAGGAGGTCAAGACTGCAGTGAGCTATGATCGCATCACTATACTCCATGCACTCTGGTCTGGACAACAGAGTAAGACCCTGTCTCAAAAAAAAAAAAAAAAAAAAAACAAAGAGAGGACAAACTTCCAATGCAGTACCCTGTGCAGGAAACAAAGCAATGGCCTTTGTCCCTCAATGCTTTAGATCTGGGGTTAGTGATCAGTGTCTTCCACTGTGTTCTCTGCCCTTCCTGGGGACCCTTCAGGCCCAGGTCAACCTCCCCTCCCACCACACTGGCAGGGGAGAGGGAAAAATGGCTTTCATCCACCTTCCTAGGACTTTTGACTGGGCTACAAATTAAATTGACATGAGACAGATTAACAGGAGAAAAAATATTGTAGCTGGGCACGGTGGCTTATGCCTATAATTCCAGCATTTGGACACCAAGGTGGGAAAAACAGCTTGAGCTCAGGAGTTCGAGACCAACCTAGGCAACATAATGAGACCTCATCTCTAAAAAAAACAAAAAAAAACAAAAAAAAACAAAAAAAAGGCAGGAGGATCGCTTGAGCCCAGAAGATCAAGGCTACAATGAGCTGTGATCGCACCACTGCACTACTGTCTGGGTGACAAAGTGAGACCCTGCCTCAAAAAAAATATGAAAAAGAAAAGTCATTTTATTATATGTACTTGCATGGGAACCCCACAAAAATGACTGAAGGGCCAGATGACTGAAGCTTATATAACATCCTGAGCTACAAACAGGAACAGTGGCCTGGGGCTTCTGATGGGAGGTGGGCAGGGTTAACAAATTATGGGAGAGCAGGAGGAGAAATGTATGGTAAATAAAATTTGCCTTGTTAGGCAGATAAAAGTCTTTCAGGTGTCAAAAGTTGCCTGGAACAGCTTTCTTCGTGGTACAGGCACATTTACTAATGAAAATTTCCTTCATAGATGTAAATTTCCTTTACAAAAGGGCAGGTTTTCAGAGCTGCTCATTTGTCTGCAGTTTCTAAAAAAAAAAAAAAAAAAGACAACAAGCCAAGCAGGCTAATAATATGCCAAAGAGGAATAGTTTGGGTATTTCGGGGTGGTATGTCCTGGGCCCCAACAACACCCTCACTCCCACCCCACTGGTGGGACCCAGTGTGGTCACTTTCTCTAGGACCCTTATTACGATCAATGATTTCATAAAGCCCTCCATAATCACCCAGGCAAAATGTGGGCCAGCTCTCTTTCTTTTTCATTATCCTTTAAGTTGCCTTCTTGCATAGTCTCCAAGGCACTCCTGGGATTGTCTTTGGTTTTACCAGGACAAAAACAGGGAGAGGTGGTGGAAAGGCAGTCACACATGACTGAGGAGGCAGGTCTTTGAACCTCCCTAAGGACAGATCCTGACACTTAGGGGTCTCTCCTAATTTTCCACAACTGGAGGAATTAGATTTTGCTCTGTTGGTCTTGTGAGGGTTTCCTTTGTGTAATCACCGAATGGATTCTTCCTGCCGACTGCACAGACAAAATGAATTCACTGAGACCTCAGCACCGCAGTAAAGAAAGAGTCTAGGCTGGGCTTGGTGGCTCACACTGAAACTGCCATTGCAAAATCATAACTGAGACAGTGAAAGAGATCTGACCTAACCAACTCCATCTTGCTTCTAACCTCTAAGCTGTCCTTGTTCATTCTTGGGTGTAGGCTGAACAAACTTTGTGGGGAACTTAGTTTATAGTTTGAAACAAAGAGATAACAGCCCGTTCCTGAAACAAACCCCCTTCTTGCCTATGGACCAGTTTGGCCTTTGTAGGACTAACAAATTAGACAGAAGATTAGAAATTATGGTTTAGGAGTTATGTAGCCAAAGGCTACAAGATTCTGACCCTCCCCAAATTGCTCCTGAAGATAACCTCACTATTGTAAAACCTAAGATCAGTGCTTGAGATATTTTGCAGA
Source organism: Homo sapiens (assembly GCF_000001405.40). Classification (NCBI taxonomy): domain Eukaryota; kingdom Metazoa; phylum Chordata; class Mammalia; order Primates; family Hominidae; genus Homo; species Homo sapiens. The sequence continues at coordinate 95,357,747 of NC_000013.11, read as the reverse complement.
CCCTGCACTTGATGGATCAGCCGACATCACCCAGATCAAGAAACTGGCTCATTTGGTCTTGTGGCCCCCACCCAGAAACTGACTCAGCACAAGAGGACAGTTTTGACTCCCTATGATTTTATCTCCAACTCAAGCAATCAGCAAATCTCAACTCACTGGCCCCTACCCAGCAAATTATCTTTAAAAACTCCAGTCCCCAAATGCTCGGGGAGACTGATTTGAGTAATTATAAACTCTGGTCTCTCATCCAGTTGGCTCTATGTGATTACTCTTTCTATATTGCAATTCCCCTGTACTGATAAATTGACTCTGTCTAGGCACTGGGCAAGGTGAACCCACTGGGCAGTTGCAACACCTGTAATCCCAGCACTTTGGGAGGCAGTAGGATAACTTGAGTCCAGTGTTAGCAGCGGGTCTGCGGCATACGGGTCTGCAGTAACTCGATTTTTGCCCCTTCAGAGGAAAGAATTCATCTGAGGGGCATAAGGCAGAGTGAGAGACTGAGGCAAGTTTCAGAGCAGGAGTAAAGTTCTATTAAAAAGTTTTAGAGCAGGAACAAAAGGAAGTAAAGTACCCTTGGAAGAGGGCCAAGCAGCTGACTTGAGAGATCCAAGTGCTTGGTTTGACCTTTTGATACCAATAGATATCAAAATAGCTGGGCTCCTGGCTAAACCCCACCCTTAAGCCTGGAACTGCAGCCCTAAGTGAAAAGAGCTGATCCTTACTTTTCTATCCAAATGTTTACTTTTTGGCCTGCCATGCCCCTATCCTGTGCCCATAAAAAGACTTCAGCTGGCAGAGCAACACAAGCAGCTGAGTGGCGAGCAGAGAAGCAACTGAACCTTGGAGACTGTGGATAGACACCGCTAACCTCAGATGGTGCAGCTTCAGGGAAAGATCACCTTCCTGCACCATCCCCTTTCCAACTCCTATCCCACTGACAGCCACTTCCATCGTCAAATAAAATACTCCACATACACTACCCTTCAATCTGTTTGTGTGACCTGATTCTTCCTGGATGCCAGACAAGAACCTGGGTGCCGGCCGGGCGTGGTGGCTCATGCCTGTAATCCCAGCACTTTGGGAGGCCAAGGCAGGCGGATCATGAGTTCAGGAGATCGAGACCATCCTGGCTAACACGATGAAATCCTGTCTTTACTAAAAATACAAAAAAAGTAGCTGGGTGTGGTGGCAGGCGCCTGTAGTCCCAGCTACTTGGGAGGCTAAGGCAGGAGAATCACTTGAATCTGGGAGGTGGAGGTTGCAGTGAGCCAAGATCACACCCTGCACTCCAGCCTGGGCAACAAGAAATGAAACAGTCTCAAAAAAAAAGAAAAAATTCAAGGTTATGGGTTTTTGGCCAGAATACCACAGACATGATATTGTGTCCTTGTCAGTATATCATATTAGGAGATACATGATGTAGATATGTTTCAATACTGGTGATATTAACTCCATCACACATTTCTCCACTGTAAATTTACTATTTTCCCTTTGAATTTAGGAAGACTCTTATCGGAGTATACTTTGAGTCTATGCAAATATCCTGTTTGCCTTCATGCTTTTGCTTACTAATAATTTTGCCATTTACTCTTGCTAGCAACTATTATTATTTTTATTATTTTGAGACAGGGTCTTGCTCTGTTGCCCAGGCTGGAGTGCAGTGGTACAATCATGGCTAATGTCAGCCCCCTAAGTAGTTGAGACTATAGACATATGCTACCATGCCTGGCTAATTTTTGTAGAGATGAGTTTTCACCATGTTGTCCAGGCTTGTCTGGAACTCCTGAGCTCAAGTGATCCTCCTGCCTCGTCCTCCCAAAGTGCTGGGATTATAAGCATAAGCCACCACACTCAGCCGCCTGCAACTATTATTATGGTGGTATTTGCCACAAGGGGTTTTAAGTTTCTTTCCAGATACTTTTGAGTTCATCTCCTTGTCTCTGAATCCCATTTGCGTGTCCCCAGCTCCGCCTCTACGTTTATTGACTGGAATTTCCTGTATAAAGGAGGCTTCTGCTCACTCTTAAGTGAGAGTGGGGCTGACTGTTTTCTGACTGTGTTCTGGCTGGTTTGTGATGATGATTCATGGATGCCTCTGTCCAGGGGAGAAATTAGAAGGCCCGTGGAAAGGTAGCAGCTTTTTGACCCTGAAGAAAGGAATTAGATTTCAGTTTTCTGTCATTTTTCTATGAGTTTTGATACGCTTACATTGCCATGAACTTATATAATTATGACACTTTTTAAGTAAAATAGATCATAACATGACTGACTACCTTCTGGGTGATTAGATATACATTAAGTCAGAAAAAAAGGAAAGAGGGCCAGGTAGCAACAAAAAGAAAACTTAGCCTTCAATTCCAGCTGCTTGTCAAAAGCAGAGAAAGAACACTGTCCTCAAACCCAGCGTGAATGAAATGATGACCTTTATGAACCCTGACAGCTTTAGAGAATCAAACAAAGCCTTTTCATTGGACTTGGCAGGAGCCTCAGGAGTGCCTTTGACTCAAGAACAAAACTTTGATTTGAAAGGGGCTATGGCTTCTATTTTTCCTTCATAGGAGCGAAAAATGCAACCTTTCCTTTCTTACAGAAAACTGCACTCTATAGGTAATGAAATAAAGGCAGGATGTTTTGTTGAATGAATTCCAAGTGTTTTAGGGTTGGGAATTCACCATTCTTCACAATGCTTCCTTACAGGCAGGCAAGGGATAGGGAATTATTATTCTTTGTGTAAAAACCAAGGAGTGGGGGCACTGCTGAAATGAAAGAGAACAAGCTGGTCTCTGCAGACAGGCAGGCTGAGGGTTGGGAGGCTGGACAATTGCAGCCCTCATTGGTCCAGGTTTGTTGGCAGTCTCTCATATAACTTCATTCCAGAACCCTCCCTCTGCTGTTGTCACCTCTCATGGTTTGCTATTCACATATCTAGACTTCCCTTGTTCAAACATAAACCTGGAAACGCACTGCCTCGCTGATCTTCAATCAATTCCTTGGTCAGAGTTTAACCCTCCATGCACATTGTATCAACCAACAGCAGAAGGGTGGAAATGAGCTCTCTTCCTCATGTTATCCTTTTTGCCATCTGACTATGAGTATTTCTCAACACAAATTAGACTGGATTCTTTTTTCAGAGCAGGTAGAATGTGGAAGGAAGAAAGTAGAGAGGAGAGTTGAGGACAGGGCTGCCGTGATGGCTCTGTCCACCCAGATACTGTTGAGTTCATCACCTTGTCTCTCAAATCCTATCTGCTCATCCCCAGCTCCACCTTGGCCACTCAAGTCCAAGTAATCATTATTTCTCTCCTGGATGACTGTAATAGTGAGAAAGAAGCCCTGTATTCACTCTAGCACAATGGTTCCCAAACAGGGGTAATTTGGCTCCCCCTGGGGACATGTCCAATGTCTGGACATATTTTTTTTCTTTTTTCATTTTTTTCAGAGACAAGGTCTCACTCTGTCACCGAGGCAGGAGTGCAGTGGTATGATCATGGCACCTGCAGCCTTGACCTACTAGGCTTAAGCGATCCTCTCACCTCAGCCTCCTGAGTAGCTAGGACTATAGGTATGCACCACCAAGCCTGGCTAATGTTTTTTGGTTTTTGGTTGTTTTACTTTTTGTAGAGATAGGATCTCTGTATGTTGTCCAGGCTGGTCTTGAACTTTTGGGGTCAAGTGATCTTCCTCCATCGGCCTCCCAAAGTGTTGGGATTACTGGCGTGAACCACCATGCCCAGCCTGGACACATTTTTGGTTGTCACAACTAAGTGGGGAGAGGTGCAAATGCCATCTACTGAGTAGAGGCCAGAAATGCTGGTAAACATGCTGCAGTGTGCAGGACAACCTCACACAGTAAAGCATTACCTAACCCCGAATGTCAGTAGTGCTGAGGTTGAGAAGCTCTGCTTCTAGTTCCCCTGCAATACCTCATATATAGAACCATGATGTTTCCTGAAAGGGTAAGTCAGATCATGTCACTCTATTGCTTATGTTAGGGCACAGAGAATGATACCCCAAAGTATGATACTTGGGCATGCTGAGCATTTTTAAATGAATGGAAATCCAAGGGCCTTAGAAGCTGCTCAGAATCAAGGCCTCTCTAACCTCTTGTTTCTCTCCCCCTGGTGCAGGGAGGAGCTCTCCCTGGAAGTTACCTTATCACACTGAGGAAAGCTTCTTCCAAAAGAAATGCAATTATCAGTGGCTCACACCTGTAATCCCAGCACTAAGGGAGGACAGGTGGGTGGATCACCTGAGGTCAGGAGCTTGAGACCAGTCTGGCCAACATGGTGAAACCCCATCTCTACTAAAAATACAAAAATTAGCCAGGCATGGTGGTGAACACCTGTAATCCCAGCTACTCAGGAGGCTGAGGCATGAGAATTGCTTGAACCTGGGAGACGGAGGTTGCAGTGAGCCAAGATCATGCCACAGCACTCCAGCCTGGCCAAGAAGAGCAAAACTCCATCTCAAAAAAAGTAAAAATAAAAAAAATAAATAAATAAAAAACCCCTCCCTAGGAAACTCATCAAATAGCCAGGAATGATTAACCACCAGAGAAAAGACTAAAAGTCATCACCATCACCATATCCAACAGACTTCATCTATTCTCCTGAGGGCAGCTCTAAGACATTATCTGGGAGACTTAATCTACATAATAAGACAACCTTTTTTCTCAGTGAAGTTCCACCCCTCAGCTTTCCGAAACCTCCCTCAGAGCTCAGAAAACCTTTGTCCCAGGACATTTTCTGTTCTTTGGGCTCATTCATTATTCCCTCACAATCACCTATGTCCTCCATCTCCCTTTCCCCTATGAAAAGGGTGCTATTTAAGCCTCAACTACCTGGCCCTTCTTTGAGTCTCTTGTGTTCATGGGCACTTTAATAAATTTGTATGCCTTTTTTCTTGTTAGCTGCCTATTGTCAGTTTGTTTGAGCCTTCAGAGGGAAAGTTTAAACTTCCCTACACTTAAAACCTTTCAGGCTGGACACCATGACTCATGCCTATAATCCCAGCACTTTGGGAGGCTGAGGTGAGCAGATTGCTTGAGCCCAGGAATTTGAGACCAGCCTGAGCAACATGGCAAAATACCATCTATATTAAAACAAACAAACAAAAAACTTCTCAGTGGTTTCCTATTATTCTTGGTGCCAGAGGTGTTTGAACCAGAGCAACTTCATCTTGAACGGGGCTGGGTAAAGTAAGGCTGACACCTACTGGGCTGCATTGCCAGGTTAGGCATTCTTAGTCACAGGATGAGACAGGAGGTTGGCACAAAGTACAGGTCACAAAGACCTTGCTGATAAAAGATGCAGTAAAGAAGCCGGCCAAAACCCACCAAATCCAAGATGGTGACAAAAGTGACCTCTGGTCATCCTCACTGCTCATTATACACTAATTATAATGGATTTGCATGCCAAAAGACACTCCCACCAGCGCCATGGCAGTTTACAAATGCCATGACAACATCAGGAAGTTACCCTATATAATCTGACAGGGGGGAACCCTCGTTTCCAGAAATTGTCCATCCCTTTCCCAGAAAACTTATGAATGAATAATCCCCGCCTTGTTTAGGATATAATCAAGAACTGACCATAAAATTAGCCAACCAGCAGCCCTTGGGGCTGCTCTGCCTGTGGAGTAGCCATTCTTCATTCCTTTTCTTTCTTAATAAGCTTCCTTTCACTTCACTCTATCTACCCAGATACTGTTGAGTTAATCTCTGCTGAGGTTTTCCTTTGAATTCTTTCTTGTGCGAGATCCAAGAACCCTCCCTTGGGATCTGGATTGGGACCCCTTTCTGGTAACGTTAGTATGAGAATTAAAACAAAAAATCCATAGTTCCTTGAAAATGCACGATCCATCCTCCACGCTCCCTCTTTTCTTGTGTGTAGTAGCCAAACTGACTATTCCTTTATTTCTAGAAACCATCATACTTCTTCCTACCTCATGGGTTCTCAACTCATGTGATTCCTTCTTGTAAATAAGTTCCCTCGTTCTTACCAGCCTCTCCCCTTTTGCCTACTTACAACAGCCTTTGAACCCCTCAGAAGACCTCAGCTCAAAGGTTACTACGTCACCGAATCTCTCCCTGACCACCACGCTGTGAAGTAGCCTGGGAAGAAAGGCCATCTCAGCTCTTCCAGCTGTCCTACCTGAAGCCTGAACATGTGAGTGAAACCACTGTGGACTCCCAGCTTTTGCTGAGCCCTCAGGTTTCTGCAGCTGTAGGAGTGAATTCACGTGAGGCGAGTGGCAGAGCTACCCGATCGACCTTCACAATTGTGCTAAATAATAAATAAGTAAACGATGACTGTTTTTAATCACCTGTGTCTTAGGGTGGATTGCTATGTAGTAACAGGTGCCTTATTCATTCTTCTTTTATTTATTTATTTATTTTATTTTATTTTATTTTATTTTATTTTATTATTATTATACTTTAAGTTTTAGGGTACATGTGCACAATGTGCAGGTTAGTTACATATGTATACATGTGCCATGCTGGTGTGCTGCACCCATTAACTCATCATTTAGCATTAGATATATCTCCTAATGCTATCCCTACCCCCTCCCCCGACCCCACAACAGTCCCCAGAGTGTGATGTTCCCCTTCCTGTGTCCATGTTTTCTCATTGTTCAATTCCCACCTATGAGTGAGAACATGCGGTGTTTGGTTTTTTGTCCTTGCGATAGTTTACTGAGAATGATGATTTCCAGTTTCATCCGTGTCCTTGCAAAGGACATGAACTCATCATTTTTTATGGCTGCATAGTATTCCATGGTGTATATGTACCACATTTCTTAATCCAGTCTATCATTGTTGGACATTTGGGTTGGTTCCAAGTCTTTGCTATTGTGAATAGTGCTGCAATAAACATACGTGTGCATGTGTCTTTATAGCAGCATGATTTATAGTCCTTTGGGTATATACCCAGTAATGGGATGGCTGGGTCAAATGGTATTTCTAGTTCTAGATCCCTGAGGAATCGCCACACTGACTTCCACAATGGTTGAACTAGTTTACAGTCCCACCAACAGTGTAAAAGTGTCCCTATTTCTCCACATCCTCTCCAGCACCTGTTGTTTCCTGACTTTTTAATGATTGCCATTCTAACTGGTGTGAGATGGTATCTCATTGTGGTTTTGATTTGCATTTCTCTGATGGCCAGTGATGGTGAGCATTTTTTCATGTGTCTTTTGGCTGCATAAATGTCTTCTTTTGAGAAGTGTCTGTTCATGTCCTTCACCCAGTTTTTGATGGGGTTGTTTGTTTTTTTCTTGTAAATCTGTTTGAGTTCATTGTAGATTCTGGATATTAGCCCTTTGTCAGATGAGTAGGTTGCGAAAATTTTCTCCCATTTTGTAGGTTGCCTGTTCACTCTGATGGTAGTTTCTTTTGCTTTGCAGAAGCTCTTTAGTTTAATTAGATCCCGTTTGTCAATTTTGTCTTTTGTTGCCATTGCTTTTGGTGTTTTAGACATGAAGTCCTTGCCCATGCCTATTTATTTTTTTTGAGACAGAGTGTCACTTTGTCGCTCAGGCTGGAGTGCAGTGGCACAATCTCAGCTCACTGCAACTTCCATCCAGTTCTCCTACCTCAGCCTCCTGAGTAGCTCCTCCTACCTCAGGCTCCGGCCACCACACCCAGCTAATTTTTGCATTTTTAGTAGAGACTGGGTTTCACCACGTTGGCTAGGCTGGTCTCGAACTCCTGACCTCAGGTGATCTGCCCACTTCGGCCTCCCAAAGTGCTGGGATTACAGGGGTGAGCCACTGAACCTGGCCAACCCCATTCATTCTTTTTTTTTTCTTTTCTTTTTTTTTTTTTTGAGATGGAGACTCGTTCTGTCACCCAGGCTGGAATGCAGTGGTGCAATCTTGGCTCACTGCAAGTTCCACCTCCCGGGTTCAAGCAATTCTCCTGCCTCAGCCTCCCGAGTAGCTGGGACTACAGGTGCCCACCACCACACCCGGCTAATTTTTTGTATTTTTAGTAGAGATGGGGTTTCACTGTGTTAGGCAGGATGGTCTCAATCTCCTGACCTCATGATTCGCCCGCCTCAGCCTCCCAAACTGTTGGGATTACAGGCGTGACCCACCGCACCTGGCCAACCTCATTCATTCTTACTGGAGTCTTTGAGTTGACCTCTAAGGAGAGCTCCTAGATATTGTATGGAATTTTCCCTTCACCCCCCAGCTCTGTCATCCCTCACAGGACTGTTGGTCAAGACCCATGTTGCTGAGTCATAGTGCACTTGAGAAGATGATGCTGCCTTCCTACCAGGCCAATAGAGGGGATGCCACGGGGTGGGAGGAGGCTGGCCGTCCTTCCCACTTCATCATTCTTTCCTATCAGCTTTCCTGAAATAGCAAATAGCAACAGCAGACTGGACATAGCCTGGGATATTCTAATGTAGTTAACTGGAGGGTTGGGATATGCATGACCAGCCTGGGCTACATAGTGAGACCCTATCTCAATTAAAAAAAAAATCTAAAAATTATGTGAGTTGGGATAAATTCAAAAGGGCAGTGCAGGAGGGGAATGCCTAAAGTTTTTGACAACTTGTCTTTTCCCAAGTTCCAAGACAGAAATCACTTAAAGAGTTGGGCCTTTTGCAAAAAGTTTCCTCCATGGGAACTCTCTATTCCCAAAATCTCTCCTTTTGCCCTTGTTTTCAAATTCAGGGCCCCCCTTCAGCTCTTTTCATGTGGAATCTCTACACATCTCCCTTGGCTAAGCCTCCTACTAGGGAAGGCTTATTCCCATGAAGGGTCTCACTATGAAATCCATCTCCTTTCCTCCAGCAATTCGTGCAAGTCTCATGTCTAGATCATGGTGGTGGGGCACTCCTTGGGGCACAGATCAGTAGTGTGGGGGGTCTGAAAGGGAACATGCTCTCATGCTATCAGCTCCTTGGTTTAGTGTGAGTGTGGGTCTCCAGAATGATGAATTTCCTTCAAGAATCTGGCCTTTGAGCAGTTCAAGAAACTGATTAAGACTCAGACTTAAGGAATAAGTAGGTCTATGAAACTCACCTGGCTTCTATTGGGAGGTGAGGCAAGAGCTGTACTTGAAGGGCCCTCAGCCACTAAGTTTGGAGTTAGTGACAATTCAGATGACAGAGATCCCAACTATATATAACTTTCTGCCTGTATTCCCCATACCTTTGCTGTTGTCCAGTTTGGGAAGGTTTTCATCTTCTCTTCCATGGAGGAAAACTTGGTCAGCTGGGTATTCTTGTTAATTCCAAAGTTTATGCAAGCACCATTGCCCTCCAGACTAAAATCCCAGAATTCCATTCTTTCATTCTTTTCAGCACTTTGTGTGGCCTCCTATGGGTTCCACACCAAGTGACTAAAACAACAAAAATGTTGGGCGTGGTGGCTCACACCTGTAATCCCAGCACTTTGGGAGGCTGAGGTGGGTGGATCACCTGAGGTCAGGAGTTTGAGACCAGCCTGGCCAACATGGTGAAACCCCCTCTCTACTAAAAATACAAAAATTAGCTGGGCATGGTGATGCACCTGTAATCCTAGCTACTCGGGAGGCTGAGGCAGGAGGATTGCTTGAAACCAGGAGGCAGAGGTTGCAGTGAGCTGAGATCACACCACTGCACTCCAGCCTGGGTGACAGAGCGAGACTCCGTCTCAAAAAAAAAAAAAAAAAAAAAAGGAAGGGCAACAGTGGAACAGTGGAACAAAGTGATTGCAGGGACGCAAAAATGATACCACACTGTTTATGTCAGGGGCACGAGGTTCTGACACCAGGGCATTCCCATTGCCACCAAAGAAGACAACAGGCATGATGCAGATGAGTGTGAGACACATTGGGTCAAACAGCAGGCCTGGGAACTTCAGAAACGGTGCAAGGAGGCAGAAGATCCCATCAAAACTGCTGAAGGGGAAAAAATAAAATCCTCTAACACAACCACACACACATCACAGCAAGCTGCCAAGCAGGATTTAGCCCACCCGGGTCTTCAGTGCCCTGCTCGGCACTGTGTGTGTGTAAGCACAATCTGAACATCAGCCATTGGGTCCGCCAGGTTGGAAGTGGAGGAACTGATCCAAAAAATTTGCCTGGAAAGTGTATTTATTCTGGAGTTTTGCTAGCCTACCCAGCAGCGAGGGTGGCAAAGCTACGAAATTGCCATGGAGACCTAAATCAGCTTTAGAGATTTAGCACAGATTCCTGTGCTAGTAAGTACTATTAATCTAGACAAGAATACTGATAACCACAAACAGACAGACTATTTAATATATCGTAAGCAACATAAGATCCTAGTAGTAAGAGGAAAACATCAATAGCTGTTGTTTTAATTTTTGGAGAGTTTTTTTAAAAAAATCAGTTTATTAATTATTACAGGTAGATAAAATGCTCTATACCCCATTTGGTCTGTAAGCCAGCAGCACCATCACCATCTGGGTGGTATGAGAAATGCAGACTCTCAGGCCCACCCCAGGCCTACTGAATTGGAATCAGCTTTTTTTTTTTTTTTTGAGATGGAGTCTTGCTCTGTTGCCCAGGCTGGAATGCAGTGGCATAATCTCAGCTCACTGCAACCTCCATCTCCCAGGTTCGAGCAATTCTCCTGCCTCACCCTCCCAAGTAGCTGGGATCACGGGCATGTACTACCACACCTGGCTAATTTTTGTATTTTTAGTAGAGACGGGGTTTCATCATGTTGGCCAGGCTTGTCTGAACTCCTGACCTCAAGTGATCTGCCCACCTCGGCCTCCCAAAGTGCTGAGATTACAGGCGTGAGCCACTGCGCCTAATGTGGAATCAGCATTTCAACAAGACTCCCCCGTGATTCATGTGATTGTTAAAGATTGTGAGGCACTGACCTAGGCCACTTAAAAATTACTATAAATAAGGCTGGGTGCAATGGCTCAAGCCTGTAATCCCAGTTCTTTGGAAGGCCAAGGCGGCTGGATTCATTGAGCTCAGCAGTTCAAAACTAGCCTAGGCGCTCTACTAAAAATAGAAAAGCTACTGGACATGCTGATGCATGCCTGTGGTCCCAGCTACTCAGGAGGCTGAGGTGGGAGGATTGATGCCTGGGAGGTTGAGGCTGCAGTAAGCCACGATCGCGCCACTGCATTCCAGCTTGGGTGACAGAGACCTTGTCTCAAAAAAAAAAAAAGTTATCATAAATAATAAAGGCACAGGAAAATGGCTTGAACCCAGAAGGCAGAGTTTGCAGTAAGCCGAGATCACCATTGCACTCCAGCCTGGGCAACAGAGCGAGACTACGTCTCAAAAAAAAAAAAAATTTGAAGAAAACTTAAACGACTGGGCACAGTGTCTTATGGCTACAATCCCAGCATTTTGGGAAACCAAGGCGGGAAGATCGCTTCAGCCCAGGAATTCAAGATCAGCCTGGGCAACATAGTGAAATCCCTCTGTTTAAAAAAATTAAAATGCTGCCTTTTTTTCTTTACTTGAGAAGAAAACCAAGGATTATGAAGGTCTTGAAAAGCTGAAACTCCAAGAATAACTCAAGGATAAGATGAAGGTTGAAATTCAACATTGAGCTCAGGTAGGGTAGAAAAGGATTCTGCTAATAGGCAGAAGTGAGGCTTGCTCTGTATAACAGCTGGATACATTCAGGCAAAATAAATGCCTTGTGGTCACTGGCTGCACCTCTCACTTTATATGTCATTGCTCATGGTGGGGCGGTGGGGTGGGGGAGTGTCTTTCAGAACACAGCTGTTACCACAAATTTAAAAAGCGGCCAGGTGTGGTGGCTCACACCTGTAATCCCAGCACTTTGGGAGGCCGAGGTGGGTGGATCACCTGAGGTCAGGAGTTTGAGACCAGCCTGGCCAATATGGTGAAATCTCGCTTCTACTAAAAAAAAAAAAAAAAAAAAAAAAAATAGTTGTGCCTGGTGGTGTGCACCTGTACTCCCAGCTACTCAGAAGGTTGAGGCAGGTGAATCGCCCAGGAGGCCGAGGTTGCAGTGAGCGGAGATCACGCCACTGCACTCCAGCCTGAGACTGTCTCAAACAAAAGAAAAAGAAAAAACAAACAAAAAACCCCCGCAGAGGTAGCCCTCATGGGTAATCGAGAAGCAGAAGATCATTCAGGTTGTAGCACAGTTGAGCCAGCCGTTGAGCTGTTACACCCATCAACAGGTACCTACCGCTTCTTAGTAACTCAGCTCCTCTCTATTTTTACTGATTCTACTGAAGCACTCAATATATGTCCACTGAAAGAGAACAAGTGGTCCCACCAGCAATCACTTAACATAAGGGGCCCTATGAGGAAGAGCCTTCAGGCCACTGTACCCATAGGCTACTGGCCACCCCATAAAGGATGATGTGTCAGGTCCCCCCATTGTCTGGCTAGGTGGTGGTCCATCTGGATGGCCATCCGTGTGTAAAGACCCACTCAGAAGGGACTCTTGGCAGTACTTTGAGGCTTCTAGGGAGGGAATTGGGGCTGATCGTGGAAGCTTACGCCTGTAATCCTAGCACTTTGGGAGGCTGAGGCAGGAGCATACTTCAGCTCAGGAGTTCAAGACTGGCCTGGGTAACATAGTGAGACCCTGTCTCTATAAATTTTTTTATTTTATTTTATTTTATTTTATTTATTTATTTATTTATTTTTGAGACGGAGTCTCGGCTCACTGCAACCTCTGCCTCCTGGGTTCAAGCAATTCTCTTGGCTCAGCCTCCCGAGTAGCTGGGATTACAGGTGCACACCACCATGCCTGGCTAATTTTTGTATTTTTCAGTAGAGACAGAGTTTCACCATGTTGGGCAGACTGGTCTCGAACTCCTGACCTTGTGATCCTCCCATCTTGGCCTCCCAAAGTGTTGGGATTACAGGCGTGAGCCACCGTGCCATGCCAACATTTTTTTTTTTTTAAAGGAAGGGAGTTGGCCTGTCCAGCAGAAATGTTCTTAGCATGTCATTCAACTGCCTTAAAAATCTAGTTTCAGCCCACTTTCCCTGTCTTTGCTGTCATTCCTCTTTCTTTTATCTTTTTTTTTTTTAGACACAGTCTCACTCTGTCACCCAGGCTGGAGTGCTATGGTGCAATCTTGGCTCACTGCAAACTCCACCTCCCAGGTTCAAGTGATTCTCCTGCCTCAGCCGCCCAAGTAGCTGGGATTACAGGTGCCCACCACCACACCTGGCTAATTTTTCTATTTTTAGTAGAGATGGGATTTCACCATGCTGGCCAGGCTGGTCTTGAACTCCTGACCTCAGGTGATCCACTCATCTCTGCCTCCCAAAGTGCTGGGATTACAGGTATGAGCTACCATGCCTGGCCTGTCATTCCTCTTTCATTAATACTCTACATTTCAGTAAAAGGTATAACACTTAGTGTCCTTGTACAGTCTCTCCTCTTCGCACGTGCTGTTCTCTCCCCCAGGGTGCCATTTCTCTACCATCACATTTAGAAGGTGTCCCATCCCTCAAGGCGCAGCACATGAATCTTCCTTTATGTAAGCAGGGTCGGAATGATGACCCCTGTTTTACAGGCAGGAGATTAAAGCACAGAGGTATTTGATGCCTTGCCAAAAATATGTTATTGCCAAAACATGATGTCAGGATTTAATCTCAGGCCCCTTGACTCTTTAGTAGGTCAATGCTCACCCCAAAGTTTGGCAGAGCACCATGAAAACATAACTTGAGTACTAAATCTGCCCTTGCATTAAGGATTTCAACCGGCTGTATTGTATTATTAGAGACAATACAAGGAAATGATGCATGAGGATGCAGAGATGACATTTCTGTTAAAGATTCAATTAACTGATGATGGTATGGAAAGTTGAATATCCAACAACTATTTCAAAAGTAAAAAAGCAGGCCAGGCATGGTGGCTCACGCCTGTAATTTCAGC